>NC_000020.11:43587446-43890476 GCF_000001405.40 Homo sapiens | reverse complement strand
ATTTCTGTCTTTCTGGGAATGTCTTAATGTCTCCTTCATTTTTAAAAGATAGTTTTCTTTGGATATAGAATTCTTGGTTGACAGTTTTTTGTCTTTCAGGGCTCTGACTATACCAACCCACTGTCTTCTGACATCTATGGTTTCTGATTAAAAGTGAGCTGACAATCTTATTAAGGCTCTCTTATACATGGTGAGTCACTTCTCTCTTGATACTCTGAAGATATTCTCTTTGTCTTTGCCTCTTAACAGTTAAATTATGATGTGTCTAGGTAAGGATCTTTCTTAGTTTATCCTAGCTGGAGTTTGTTGAGATTCTCGAATGTGTAGATTAATGTTTCTCATCAAATTTGGGAAGTTTTAGCCATCCCTTTTTTTTTTTTTCTTTTGAGACGGAGTCTCACTCTGTCACCCAGGCAGGCTGGAGTGCAGTGGTGCAATCTAGGCTCACTGCAAGCTCCGCCTCCCAGGTTCACACCATTCTCCTGCCTCAGCCTCCCAA
Source organism: Homo sapiens (assembly GCF_000001405.40). Taxonomy (NCBI): domain Eukaryota; kingdom Metazoa; phylum Chordata; class Mammalia; order Primates; family Hominidae; genus Homo; species Homo sapiens. Next base: position 43,889,977 of record NC_000020.11, on the reverse strand, counting down.
GTAGCTGGGACTACAGGCGCCCGCCACCATGCCTGGCTAATTGTTTTGTTTTGTTTTGTTTTGTATTTTTAGTAGAGACGGGATTTGACCATGTTAGCCAGGATGGTCTCAATCTCCTGAACTCATGATCCACCCACCTCGGCCTCCCCAAAGTGCTGGGATTACAGGCGTGAGCCACCACACCCAACCTAGCCATCCTTTTTTTTCTCAAATATTCTTTCTGCCACTCTATCTTCTCTTCTAGAAATCACATTATGCATATTTTTGTATTCTTGGTCTATCTCAGTATGCTTGATAGGTCTTTGAGACTCTTCATTTTTCTTCATTCTTTTTATCTTTCTCTTCCTCAGACAGATAATATCATTTGACCTATCATCAGGTTTGCTGACTTCTTTTTCTTCTGCCTGTTAAAATGTTCTGTTGAGCTCCTCTAAGTGAATGTTTCATTTCAGCTACTGTACTTTCAACTCCAGAATTTTTGTTTTAATAATTTCTATCTCTTTATCGATATTCTATATTTCATCAGACATTTTTAAACTTTTCTTTAGTTCCTTAGACATAATTTCCTTCATGCTTTAAGCATATTTTAAATAGCTAATTTAAAGCCTTTGTCTAATAAATCCAACATCTGGGGTTCCTTAGTGTAGTTTCTCTTGTTTTTGCCCCTTTTTCCTGTTTATGGGCCATCCTTTCTGATTTCTTTGCATAACTTGTATTTTTTGTTAAAAAAGTTGACCTTTAAAATAATATAATATGGCAACTCTGGAAATCAGATTCTCCCCCTCTCCAGAGTTTGTTATTATTATTTGTTGTTGCTGCTGCCATTTTTTTTAGTGTCCTTTGGAATTATTCTGTAAAGTCTATATTCTTTGTCACATGTTGCCGCTGAAGTCTCTGCTTGGTTAGCTCAGCCACTAAAGATTAAAGAGAGATTTCCTTAAATGCCTCAGACCACCACATCTCCCATTCTTCACTTTGGGGTTCTGTGTGGATGTTGAGACACTGCTAAACACTCTGCAGGGAAGCAAAAGAAAAGGTCTTCTGAAGAAAATCACTTGCTAAAAGAAAAGTTTAAGTTCCCAATAAAATTCAAGAAAATGTAGAGCCTATAAAATGTAAGATGAGAGACAAAATAATAATGCAGAAGAATGGGATGAACAGAAGCCTGGTTGAGATTGTTTTTACTGTGAGAAACTAATAATATAAGAAATAAACAATGCTATGGCAGAATTTTAGACTGTGGCTACAGTAATAAAGTACTGCAGCAAAACAAATGCATATCAAGTCATCGATGTTGATAAGATGTCAGGAATGCAGTGATAAAAGAATAAGGGTGAAAATTATAAAAGAGAAAGCAGGAATGCAGTGGGTAAAAGAAAAAGGATGAAAGGAGAACTAAATATGTGATCCATCGTATGGAAAACTGGTTTGTTCATTCGTTAATTCATTTAATAAATATTTATTGAACACAGACTTGGTGCTAGGAACTGAGAATAAATCATGAACAAAACAAAGTTTTAGCCTTAATGAAGCCCACATTCTGGTGGAAAAACAGAAAATAAACAAATAAGTATAATGTAAATAATAAATATTTAAATTATAGTAATATAATATAGTATATGCACTAGCATATACTATAATATACTAGCATATACTAACATATACTTGCATATACTAGCATATACTAGTAAATGCTAGTATATGCACTAGCATGGAATGGTAAGTTTTATAAAGAAAAATAACACAGAATGAAGGGTTACAGAGTGACTAGTGCATGTCAGTGGAGTGGCACTGCAGTTGGGAAGATAATATCTTAACAGAGACCTGAATTAAATGATGGAGAGAGTCCTGTGGATATCTGAAGGAAGACTGTCTTAGTCTGTTTAGTGTTGTTGCTGTAACAGAATACCTGAGACTGGGTAATTTATAAAGAAGAGAGGTTTATTTAGCTCACAGTTCTGCAAGCTGGGAAGTTCAAGGGTATGGCTCAGGCTTATGTTGAGGGCTATTGGTCTACAGCATAACATGGTAGAGAAGGTCAAATGGGCAGTGGATACATGCAAAAAGACTAAACCCAAGGGGCATCCTGGCTTTATAAAATCCAACTCTTGGAGAACTAATTCTGTATTGGACATTTCAATTTTGAGATGCCTATTAAACATCAATTTAGGTTTAGGCTTAGGAGGTGTTGAGTTGACAGATGAATATATAAACTGAAGATCAAGGAAAATGTCAAGACTGGAGGTACAACACTGAGAATCATCAGTGCGTAAATGATGTTTAAAATCATGGCACTTAAATCCCACTGGCTATTAGACCAAAGTGTTGGACCCAGAAATGAGAAGATCATGATAAAAGGGGACCAACAATAAGCAATAAAACCAACCGAGTGTGAAATCTACTCCAAATACAATAATTTCTAAAAATTAACTCTCAGAAAAGAATTACTCTAAATTTGCGTCCTTAAAAAAATCTCTCATATTATGGAGAGAGTCCTGTGGATGTCTGAAGAGAAAGTGTCTTAGTCCATTTAGTGTTGCTATAACAGAATACTTGAGACTGGGTAATCTATAAGAAGAGGCATGAGGGAAAAGACATGGACAGGCCATGAAAAAAATCAAGGACCCATCTCCCTACATAGACAGCATTCTGATCCATGGTAATAAGGCTGAACAAGAAGACCAATTTGGAAAGGCACTATTATGGAAATGCACCTTCAAAAAAAAATTTTTTTTTTGATATGGAGTCTTGTTCTGTTGCCCGGGCTGGAGTGCAGTGGCGCAATCTCGGCTCGCTGCAAACTCTGCCTCCCAGGTTCAAGCGATTCTCATGCCTCAGCCTCCCAAGTAGCTGGGATTACAGGTGCCCACCACCACGTCCAGCTAATTTTTGTATTTTTTAGTAGCGATGGGGTTTCACTATGTGGGCCAGGCTGGTCTCTAACTCCTGGCCTCAGGTGATCCACCCACCTCGGCCTCCCAAAGTGCTGGGATTACAGACATGAGCCACCGTGCCCAGCCTCAAATTCTTTATTTTGAACAAAAATCTTGTTTGGCAAAGAAACATCAGCCTGAAATGACCTCAATCAACACTGGTTTGCAATGATTAGAGATGTCACCTGACAGAATCAGTAAATAAGGAAGGCAAAGAAATTTGACACAGATTTAGTAATTATTGCTAAAGGTCTATCACCTCACAATTGCAAGTGTCAAATGTCTTTGTAAACAATCCTTCTAAAGCTCACTTGAAAATCAATACAGAAAACGGTTGTCTGTGGAAATCATGCACATATACCATCAGGACAAATTAAACAACCAAAAATCTGTCCGCACATAATGGGCTATTGTGGCTTGGGATAAAAGTTTCCGTGGGAGCAAACATATAGATACAAACATAAACGTGTCACAATGACTCAAATGGAAATGAACACAATGTACTGTGGAAAACTGTGCTGGACGATTTAAAAAAAATGGATCTACTGACGACAGAGACACTAATGTCCAAGACGCCAGTGAGGAGTTTCAGTAAAATTGTTTCTTACAACTTTATTATTATATGAGTAGGAAAAAAGCAGTAAATTAAATTACCTTTATAATATATAATTTTAAATTGTATATATAATGAAACTACTCCAATAAAATGTATAAGTAAATATCAATTTCAATAAGGTTCTAAAGGTTATTTATACTTAAATTGGCCAAAATTCTGGAGAATATTCTCAACTGGAAAAGGAATGGAGGTGTTTTATGTTCTGGGTTATCCTGTATTTAAACATATATGGTGCTGGATATTCCTATGGCTATAAAACTAAATGCAAAGTTATATCATTATCTTCAATTTGGTGGCATGAGGGAAAGACATGGACGGGCCATGAAAAAAATCAGGGATTCATCTCCTGACATAGACAGCATTCTGAGCCATGGTAATAGCTGAACAAGAAGACTAAAGCCCTCCCCATTGTTCTGAGTCAGATTCTTAATACTGATAAGGGTACACTCCAAAAAAGGAAGAAAATGTGTGTGTGTGTGTGTGTATGTCTGTGTGCAAGCACGCACAAGTGAGCACACACATGGATGTCAGGAAGGCAAAGGCAGAATCAGGGAGGCTGGAAAATATCATTTGGGAAATATTTTCAGAGCGATAGACCAATATCTTCAACAAATACCTGTTGGGTTGGGAATATTATTAAGTTGGTGCAAACATAATTGTGGTTTTTGCCATTAAAAGTCATAGCAACCTTCAACACAGAAAGCCTATGGTTATGAGCTTTTCCTTTAGTTTGACATCTCTTTGATATGGTTGGTCCGCCCCCAAAAAGGAGAAATATGTCAGTCAGAAGAGGCATCCACAGTGGGACAGGGCACTTCCATGGCTCACGTTGCACAGTGGGTTCAACAAATATGGAACAATGTACCAACTTCCAGTTAAAAAAATAATGAATTGAACCCAAGCTTTGAGCTCTGCTTTCTTTGGAAATGCCATTATAGCAACAATAAAGGGTTTTAACAAAAAACCAATAAGGCAAGGACCAATGGGAAAAAGCAACATCAAAATTTTGGAAACTGGAAAGCAGATAGACAAGCCGAGGACTGAGAAAGTTGAGTTATAAGCCCACGGAGGGTAAATTCAAGAACCAACCCAGTTTATACTAAAGAACCCCCGAGTCACTCAGCAATTGCTGTCCAGGATCTCTGGAAGTAAAGGTGAGGATTTGACTAAAAATTCAAGAGTTGCTGAAGGTCTGTTTAAGAGACATTTGAACTCCTCTGCCCCATTTTCCCCCTGAATCTTTACACCCAGGCAGATGACTGAATGTCTAGTTTTTGCAAAAGGGATGACAGGTATAATTGACAGACACAAGAGAATTATTAAGTCTAAACACACACATCCCAGATCTTGAGATTCTTAAGCCTCTTCCCCTGCTCAGATAGTGTAACTCGGGTGGCCAGGCCTTCTGCCTTTAGGGAGGAGACTGTACAAGTCTTCTCTGGGGAATTGACCAGCCCAACAAGAAAGACCCTGATATACTGACATGGGGATTGCCCAGGGAAATAGTCTGTCAAATAATCCACAGTTATACAGCCAATAAGCTCCACTCATGTTTTCAGAGCTTCCAATAAACTTTTTAATCTTTCATTCCTAAGTATGTGCAGATAGCTAGAGATTACCAGACATGTGAGGAAAACCTCCAAAGTGAAAATCAGAGAACAAAACTAAACAAAAAAAGAGAGAGGTTATGGGGATGGGATATGGTAGGTAGAATAATGCCCTCCCAAAATGTGCATGTTCGAATCCCCAGAACCAGGGAATGTATTATGTTACATGGCACTTTTGCAGATTTAAGGTTGCAAATGGAATTAAAGTTGTTAATGATCTGATTTTGAGATGAGGAGATTATCCTGGATTATCCTAGTGAGCCCAGTCAAATCACATGTGTCCTTAAAAGCCAAGAACTTTTCTTTGCCATGGTCAGAGGGAGATGTGGCAACTAGAAAAGAGACAGAGAGATGTGAGGAAACAGGCTATGAGTTAAGAAATGTGACTGGTCTCTAAAAGCTGAAAAAGGCAAGGAAACAGATTAGCCCTAGAACCTCCAGAAAGAAACATGATCCTTCCAACACTGTGATATCAGTTCAGTGAAACCCATATTGAACATCTAACCTACAGAACTATAAGATAATACACTTACATTGTTTTAATTTTTTTTACAGCAGCAACAAAAACCAGTACAGGGGTATTTAGAGAAACAGAAATTATCCAGAAAGAAGAAAATCTCTTTTTTAAAAAGTATTAGTTCCCTCAAAGGGATGAAGTATTGCAAACATGAAATAGGAACAGGATTCTATTTTAAGAAAAGCGACATTCTGAAACCAAAAAAGTGCTCATAAAGTTAAAAATACGATATGAAAAAAATTAAAGTCAGCAGCAGGCTTGGAAGCTATAGATGAGGAAATCTCCCAGAAAGTAGATCAAAAAGACAAAGATATAGATAATAGGAAAGAAAAGATAAAAAACAAAACAAAACAAAACAAAAAAAACTAGAGAAACCATCCAGAAGATGCCATCCAAATAAGAGGAGTTCCAGAGAGAACAGAGAAACACAGGGGAGTACATCAGCAACAAAACAACAATAAAACATGTCCCTAAGAGAGTGACAAGAATTGCCAGATTGAAAAGGCCCATGAGTACCAAGTGAGACGGACAAAAATAGACCCATGCTGAAACATATCATCGTGAAATTTCGGAACACTAGGAGCAAAGAGAAGATTTTAAAAAATAATTTCTGATCATTTTTAGACTACCTAATCTGTCCATTCCTTGGAGGAATACAATAAAAGATTCAACTGGGAATAATGAATTATCCTCTCCCTGTGGTTCTGTCACTTGTTGCTTGATATATTTTTAGTGTCTATTTTCAGGTGCGTATATATTTGTATTGGGTTTTTTGTTATATTGTTCCTTTTATTAGTATATAACCTCTTGCTTTGTTCATTATGATGTTTTGGCATTAAATGGTATTTTGTCACGTGTTGAAATTGCCAGATTATCAATATTTTCATATTTGCCTGGAATCCAGTCTGATTTTTCAACTTTCTTTGCCTTTTTGTATTGCTTATTTCTTATTTTAAAAACATAATATTGTCTCTTTCTTTTAAAAAATCTACTCTGAGCTGTCTGTGAATTTAATTAGTGAATTTAATCCATTTTCATTTATTATTATTATTGTTATAATGTATTTCACAATTTACACTTACAGGGATTTTTCTTTTTTCCTTCTTCTATCCAACTTTCTTTTGGGTAGGGAGAATTTCCTTTTGCTGCTTCAAAATTTATTTATTTTGCTTTGGGCCTTGTGTCAGTTGCCCTTAATTTAAGACCCATACTCAAGTTTATTTATCCTTATTTATTTCTTGAACTTGACTATATTTATATCTAGTCTTCCGTGTTTTTCATATCACTTGTAGTACCCACTTGACGTCGGTCTGATTCTTGTTTGTTGGCAATCTGCTTCAACTTCAAAAACATTTAGAATTTGTCTTTGATGTTCTTACGTTTCACTCTAATATAGCTACAGGTTTTTTTGAGGGGTTTGCTTTGTTTTGTTTTGAGACAAAATCTCACTCTATCCACCAGGCTGGAGTGCAGTGGCATGATCATGGCTCACTGCAGGCTCAACCTCCCAGGCTCAAACAATTCTCCTGCCTCAGGCCCCCCACGTAGCTGGGACTACAGGTGCACACCACCACATTCAGCTGATTTTTTATTTTTTGTAGAGAAGGGGTCTCACTATGTTGCCCAGGCTGGTCTTGAACTCCTGGACACAAGCAACCTTCCTGTCTCAGCCTCCCAAAGTGCTGGGATTACAGGTGTGAGCCACCACACCCAGCTAAGTATAGGTTTTTCTTATCTCTTTTGTTTGGTGTTCTATAGGACTTTTCAAGCCAGAGACTTGTCTTCAATTTTAGGAAGCTGAATCTTCACTGTTTCTTTAAATATTTCATCTTCTCAGTTTTTTTCTTCTCTTAGTGTTTTCATTTTTAAAATATTAACACTTTTACTTCTGTCCTCCATATTTCAAAGCATTTTGAAAATATATATTTTTCTCCCTCTTCATCATTTCCTACTGCCTCAGAATAATTCCTCTACCTAATCCTCCATTACATTAATTTGTTCTTCAGCTGTTTCCATCCTTTTATTAATTCTATCTCTTGTATTTTTTGCTTTAACTATTATACTTTTCATACTCGATATTTCCACTTGGTTCTTGTCCATGATTTCTTACTTTTCCTTCATATGCTTAAAATCATCTCTTATTTTCTTAATTATTTCTATAATGTTTATTTTAAATTCTGAAGCCATCTCTCAATAATGCTGCTTCAGGTGGAATGCATTCCATTTGTCTTTTTTTTTTTCTTTCTCTTTAACAAGACAGGTATTTCTCAGGTGTCTAGATATCTTGGCCTGTGAATTCATTTTCCCACAGTGGAATCAACTACTTTGTTTAGCAGAGTATGAATGAAACCTCAAGGGCCAGGCTCTCATCTGTGTCCCTGTGGATGAATGTCAGTTAAGGAGAGGGATGAGCCTCTGAGTAGAGAAGCTCAAGTACCACAAAACAACAGTTAGCCACTGCTCTTTGCTGCCATTGTAACTGACAGCTCCTCTAGTTGGGGTTTCATTTTGCATCAATTCCTCACTCAGCAGAGCACCCAGCACCATGTTTACTGGCACTGGAGGTTTGGACTATTGCTTCCAATTTCTATGGTGAAGTGGAAGTCAAAGATGGTATCAAGGCACTTCAGGAGAAGCAGCAAGAGAAGAGCTTTTTAAAAGCTTCCTGCCAACCCTGTGGATTTTAATCTTGGTTCAGCATTACACTCATATCTGGAACATTTTTCAGATGCCACTGCATCACAGACCAATGAAATCAGAATACCTGGGATGAGGCTTGGAGGTGAGTATTGATTTTCTCAACATTGTATTTTGAAAACAAAAATCAAACCAACAAATCAGTCTTAAAAAAAATAGTACAGAGAACATCACTGCTGTCTTCACCTGGATTCATCAAAAGTTGCCACAGTTGCTCTCATTCTCTCTCTCTTATTCTCTGTTACGAGGTGTTTTGTTTTGTTGAAGCATTTGGAAATAAGTTGCAGACAGCTAGTAATTCAACATCAGCTAAGGAGGAGGACATTCTCCTATATTTCCCTGTTATCTGGTGTGAATATTTTTTAAAGCTTCTCAGATGATATCTAACATGCACCAGGATTGCAAATCACTGCTCTAACCCACCTTCCCATCATTGCCTTTGCTTGTCCCATCCTTTTCTGCTTCCTACATACACGAGTGTGTGCACCCATATACATACACTCCAGCTCAAAGCAGCCATGAGACCCTTCCAGGGGCTTCCAACACTCCTTTGTTAGTTCCTCCAGTCCGTGTTTTATCCTATTTCTGTGGTTTCTCCAGAGTAGAGTTCATGGCAAGAACCATCGATGTGGGCTTCTGGGTCACCTTGACAGGCACTTGAAGCCCTCGAGCTCTGTAAATTTATTTTATAATGTTGATGTCAGGTCCAGCTCTTGATAAAGCAGTGAAGAAATCACATTTGAGGCAAAACATAAAAGTACAGAAAAACTGAAGGTAATCCTAATGCAAACTAAAGTCTGTGACTGAATTTGTTTATAAGGTTTCTTAAACATACATGAAATATTTATTTAGCAAAAACAAAATAAAGACTAAATTAACCCACTTTGTCCATAGGCCCATTTCAGTCTGAGTTTTAAATTCCTAAAATTAAGTTACCTGATCCAGTCTCCAAGTTCCTTTAAAAAAAAAAATCTTGAAATAGTGCATCTTTCTCAACATCTTTACCATGTTGGACATTATAACATTGTAAATCTTTTTCAATCTGATGTGCAAGTGATGATGTCTTAGTGTGGTTTTAGTTTGCACTTCACTGGCTATCAGCAAGGTCAAACATCTTTTTACATAGCAGATTAGTCATTTGTACATTCTATCTGATATTCTTAATGTTTGCCCATTTTTTAAGAGAGGTTTTTAAATTAAAGGTCAATAGTATTTCCCTCCAATCTTACCTTAAAGTAACCAATATTTTCTATTGGTTTTGCATCCTTCTGAATCTCTCAAAATGCATCCAGATATATATTCACTTATAGAGTTCTAGTAAGACGATTCTGAAGCTACCCAAATACCTAAGGGTAGAGTGCAAAGTGTGAGGAATCATGAAGGAAAATCTATCCATGCCAGCCCAAGGCAAGTACAAATCCTAAATAGAATCCTATTCAAAGGTGAGAAGAGAGTGAGAAGCAAGAACTTAGCAACCAATGACAAGGAAATGAACACAGCAGCGTAGAGAGATGAAGACCATATTTCTATAAACTGAACCCATAAAACAGATGAAAATTTGGGGCAAATCTACTTTCTATTCTCAGTGGCATGGGAAAAAGTTCAAGGACTCCAAAGAAAAAAATGGATGAAAAATGAGCTCCTGTAACTATGGATTGGGTTTACAAAAGAATGGGCAATGCTAAGAAAAAACAGTAAGAGGTCAAGCAACGCTACTGCAACATTTTTTAAATGGGTAGGAAGGGAGAACGGATTCATCATTGAAGGAACCCAGGTTGTCAAGATGGAGGGTCCTTGAGAGAAAATAATGCAGAACGTAGAAGCAAAAGACAAAGGATTGAGGAAAACCACAGAGGAAAGAAAAAGAGATGGAGTATAGGATAATTGGTGCTCCTAAAGAAGAGACTAGAGGCTGGGCGTGGTGGCTCACGCCTGTAATCCTAGCACTTTGGGAGGCCGAGGCGGGTGGATTGCCTGAGCTCAGGAGTTCAAGACCAGCCTGGGCAACACGGTGAAACTCCATCTCTACTAAAATACAAAAAAATTAGCCAGGCATGGCAGTGTGCGCCTGTAGTCCCAGCTACTCGAGAGGCTGAGGCAGGAAAATTGCTTGAACGTGGGAAGCAGAGGTTGCAGTGCGCCAAGATCACGCCACTTCACTCCAGCCTGGGCAACAGAGTGAGACTCCATCTCCAAAAAAAAAAAAAAAAAAAAAGACAGAAACAGAGTTCGAAACATAAAAGGAGAGATCTTTCCTAATATGAAAGAGGAACAAAGGAGGCAGTTTCAAGGCAAGTTCTCATAAAAAATTATTTCATTTTAGTTATAAAGAAAAATGTCTGTAAATATCTACACTGAAGAAAAACGACCCTGATGTTTCTGCCATACAATTCACTGCCAGAAGACAAGGCAGTGTTTTAAAGGAAGAAAAGGAATATGGTCCCAAGTTCTAAGCCCCCAAATTCTAAGCCCAGTCAAAGTGCCAGTCACCTGGTAAGGAAACAGGCTGTTATTAAACATCAGAAAACTTTAGGAGGAGGTCACATAAACACTCTCTCAAGAACTAGTTGAATAAGTATATATTTCTGAACATGAAGTCTGTGTTGCAGAAAGCCTGGGGTAAGAGCCAAATCCATCCAAACTGCATCCAAATTCCAAACATGAAATGAAGACTAAATAGCCATGGAAAGTATTGTTATAAGAAAGAACAAAAACATTAAGTTCCTTGACAAAGAAAGACACCTAATACAAATATTAATGATAAGTTCCTTATAATAGGCTGGGGCAAAAATTCAGGATACACAAATCGGGTGAGGTGGATTTGGAATTGATATTGACGGAGGAGAGAATGAGAGGAAGCAAAAACGTGCAGTTGGCCTTCTCTTTCATAGAGAAAGACAAAGGGGAAGGCCTTACTGCTAGAACTCATGAACTGGAGAACGAGGATTGATCAAGTTATTCAATTATCAATAGATCTAAAAGCAGAATCTATATGGGCATTCAATTACTTTAAAAATTATGAACAGTAAAGCAAAAGATATAAAGGAAATTATACTGTGATGAATCACAACAAACAAAATAACCTAAGAACATTTTTAAACAGAAATTACTATGACAATAAATGAAAATGGAATAAACACAGATATTTTTTAAAAGCTTAAATTAACACATAAAATATAACTCCACAAACACTTAAGTAAAATAAAATGATTCAGAAAGACTATGAGTAAGAGGACCAGCAAAACTTGTTCAAAAAAATTGTTCCAGGAAAAACAAATAAGCAGAAAGCAGAACCACAATCACATCAGATGAAGTAGAACTCTTTCAAAAATCCAAACAACATAGAAATCTGTTGCCCTTTAAATCATCCCAATGCATAATGAAAGAAAATTTTCAATTAATGTTACAAATTATGCAGAATTAAATATTTAAAAAGTAGACAAGCACAAAATGGAAGACTACAAACCCAATTATGAATATACATGCAAAATAACAAAATATTAGCAAATAAACTAAATAGAACATTAAAAGAAAAATTGTGAGAATAAGCAAGGGTTATTCAAAATTTGGTAGGCTGTTAATATAAAAGGAAAAAAGTTTCAATAAATATCTAAAAAACAATTTTTTATTTTTTCTGAGACTGAGTCTTGCCCTGTCACCCAGGCTGGAGTGCAGTGGCATGATCTTGGCTCACTGCAACCTCTGCCTCCTGGGTTCAAGCCATTCTCCTGCCTCAGCCTCTCGAGTAGCTGTGATTACAGGCACGTGCCACCACACCTGGCTAATTTCTGTATTTTTAGTAGAGATGGGGTTTCACCATGTTGGTCTAGCTGTTCTCGAACTCCTAACCTCAAGTGATCCACCCACCTCAGCTTCCCAAAGTGCTGGGATTACAGGCATGAGCCCCACACAGGGCTCTAAAATACAATTTTTAAAAGTAATATATCTATCCCCGATGGCAATGTTTCATAAAACAAGAATAGAAGGATAGTTCCACAACAAAAACATTTGCACGTGTACGTCAAATGAGTGTTGGCATCATTTTCAAAGGGAAGACACACATGAGATGCCCCCTCAATCTGAGAAAAGACTAAGGAGATTGGTGCTACCACTGCTTTTGTTCTCTCTTCTGGAGGTGCTACCGATGTCACTAGACAAGAGAATGAAATTAGAGATACAACTATTAGGAAAATAAGTATAATGATTAATATTTAAACATTTTATTATTTTCCACCTAGGGGAAAAAAAAAACAAGAAAATGAATTGAAAACCTGTTAGAAATCATAATAGATTCAGTAAGGCAGGCGGCCTAAAAATAAATATGCTGAAGTCACCCTCCAAGATGGCCGAATAGGAACAGCTCCAGTCTACAGCTCCCAGCGTGAGCAACGCAGAAGACAAGTGATTTCTGCATTTCCAACTAAGGTACCGGGTTCATCTCACTGGGGCTTGTTGGACAGTGGGTGCAGCCCCCGGAGTGTGAGCCAAAGCAGGGCAGGGCATCGGCTCACCTGGGAAGCACAAGGGGTCCAAGGGATCAGGGAATTCCCTTTCCTAGCCAAGGGAAGCCGTGACAGATGGTACCTGGAAAATCGGGACATTCCCACCCTAATATTGTGCTTTTCCAATGGTCTTAGCAAATGGCACACCAGGAGATTATATCCCATGCCTGGCTCAGAGGGTGCCATGCCCAAGGAGACTCGCTCCCTGCTAGTACAGCAGTCTGAGATCGAACTGCAAGGTGGCAGCAAGGCTGGGGGAGGGGCGTCTGCCATTGCTGAGGCTTCAGTAAGTAAACAAAGTGGCTGGGAAGCTCAAACTGGGTGGAGCCCACCACAGCTCAAGGAGGCCTGCCTGCCTCTGTAGACTCCACCTCTGGGGGCAGGGCATGGCTGAACAAAAGGTAGCAGAAACTTCTGCAGACTTAAAAGTCCCTGTCTGACAGCTTTGAAGAGAGTAGTGGTTCTCCTAGCACGAAGTTTGAGATCTGAGAACAGACAAACTGCCTCCTCAAGTGGGTCCCTGACCCCCAAGTAGCCTAACTGGGAGACACCTCCCAGTAGGGGCTGACTGACACCTCATACAGCCCGGTGCCCCTCTGAGACAAAGCTTCCAGAGGAAGGATCAGGCAGCAACATTTACTGTTCTGCAATATTTGCTGTTCTGCAGCCTCCGCCGGTGATACCCAGGCAAACAGGGTCTGGAATGGACCACCAGCAAACTCCAACAGACCTGCAGCTGAGGGCCCTGACTGTTAGAAGGAAAACTAACAAAGAGAAAAGACATCCACACCAAAATCCCATCTGTACATCACCATCATCAAAGACCAAAGGTAGATAAGACCACAAAGATGGGGAGAAACTAGAGCAGAAAGGCTGAAAATTCTAAAAATCAGAGTGCCTCTTCTCCTCCAAAGGAACGCAGCTCCTCACCAGCAACAGAACAAAGCTGGACAGAGCATGACTTTGACAAGTTGACAGAAGTAGGCTTCAGACGATCAGTAATAACAAACTTCTCCGAGCTAAAGAAGGATGTTCAAACCCATCACAGAGAAGCTAAAAACCTTGAAAAGAGATTAGATGAATAGCTAACTAGAATAAACAGCATAGAGAAGACCTTAAATGACCTGATGGAGCTGAAAACCATGGCATGAGAACTACATAATGTATGCACAAGCTTCAGTAGCCGATTCAGTCAAGTGGAAGAAAGAGTGTCAGTGATTGAAGATTAAATGAATGAAATGAAGCGAGAAGGAAAGTTTAGAGATAAAAGAGTAAAAAGAAACTAACAAAGCCTCCAAGAAATATGGGACTATGTGAAAAGACCAAATCTACATCTGATTGGTATACCTGAAAGTGACAGGGAGAATGGAACCAAGTTGGAAAACACTCTGCAGGATATTATCCAGGAGAACTTCCCCAACCTAGCAAGGCAGGCCAACATTCAAATTCAGGAAATACAGAGAATGCCACAAAGATAGTCCTCGAGAAGAGCAACTCCAAGACACATAATTGTCAGATTCACCAAAGTTGAAATGAAGGAAAAAATGTTAAGGGCAGCCAGAGAGAAAGGTCAGGTTACCCACAAAGGGAAGCCCATCAGACTAACAGCAAATCTCTCGGCAGAAACTCTACAAGCCAGAAAAGAGTGGGGGCCAATATTCATCATTCTTAAAGGAAAGAATTTGCAAACCAGAATTTCATATCCAGCCAAACTAAGCTTCATAAGTGAAGGAGAAATAAAATCCTTTACAGACAAGCAAATGCTGAGAGATTTTGTCACCACCAGGCCTGCCTTACAAGAGCTCCTGAAGGAAGCACTAAACATGGAAAGGAACAACCGGTACCAGCCACTGCAAAAATATGCCAAATTGTAAAGACCATTGATGCCAGGAAGAAACTGCATCAACTAACAAGCAAAATAACCAGCTAACATCATAATGACAGGATCAAATTCACACATAACAATATTAACCTTAAATGTAAATGAGCTAAATGCTCCAATTAAAAGACACAGACTGGCAAATTGGATAAAGAGTCAAGATCCATCAGTGTGCTGTATTCAGAAGACCTATCTCACGTGCAGAGACACACATAGGCTCAAAATAAAGGGATGGAGGAAGATCTACCAAGCAAACAGAAAACAAAAAAGGCAGGGGTTGCAGTCCTAGTCTCTGATAAAACAGACTTTAAACCAACAAAGATCAAAAGAGACAAAGAAGGCCATTACATAATGGTAAAAGGATCAATTCAACAAGAAGAGCTAACTATCCTAAATATATATGCATCCAACACAGGAGCACCTAGATTCATAAAGCAAGTCCTTAGAGACCTACAAAGAGACTTAGACTCCCACACAATAATAATGGGAGACTTTAACACCCCACTGTCAACATTAGACAGATCAACGAGACAGAAAGTTAACAAGGATATCCAGAACTTGAACTCAGCTCTGCACCAAGCGGACCTAACAGACATCTACAGAATTCTCCACCCCAAATCAACAGAATATACATTCTTCTCAGCACCACATCACACTTATTCCAAAATTGACCACATAGTTGGAAGTAAAGCACTACTCAGCAAATGTAAAAGAACAGAAATTATAACAAACTGTCTCTCAGACCACAGTGCAATCAAATTAGAACTCAGGATTAAAAAACTCACTCAAAACCACTCGTCTACATGGAAACTGAACAACCTGCTCCTGAGTGACTGCAGGGTACATAACGAAATGAAAGCAGAAATAAAGATGTTCTTTGAAACCAATGAGAACAAAGACACAACATACCAGAATCTCTAGGACACATTTAAAGCAGTGTGCAGAGGGAAATTTATAGCACTAAATGCCCACAAGAGAAAGCAGGAAAGATCTATAATTGACACCCTAATATCACAATTAAAAGAACTAGAGAATCAAGAGCAAACACATTCAAAAGCTAGCAGAAAAAACTAAGGTCAGAGCAGAACTGAAGGAGATAGAGATACAAAAAACCCTTCAAAAAATAATGAATCCAGGAGCTGGTTTTTTGAAAAGATTAACAAAATAGATAGACCGCTAGCAAGACTAATAAAGGAGAAAAGAGAGAAGAATCAAATAGACTCAAAAAAAAGTGATAAAGGGGATATCACCACCGATCCCACAGAAAAACAAACTACCATCAGAGAATACTATAAACACCTCTACACAAATTAACTAGAAAATCTAGAAGAAATTGATAAATTCCTAGACAAATACACCCTCCCAAAACTAAACCAGGAAGAAGTTGAATCCCTGAATAGCCCAATAACAGGCTCTGAAATTGAGGCAATAATTAATAGCTTACCAACCAAAAAAAAGTCCAGGACCAGACAGATTCACAGCCGAATTCTACCAGAGGTATAAGGAGGAGCTGGTACCATTCCTTCTGAAACTATTCCAATCAATAGAAAAAGAGGGAATCCTCCCTAACTCATTTTATGAGGCCAGCATCATCCTGATACCAAAGCCTGGCAGAGACACAACAAAAAAAAGAGAATTTTAGACCAATATCCCTGATGAACATCGATGCAAAAATCCTCAATAAAATACTGGCAAACCGAATCCAGCAGCACATCAAAAGCTTATCCACCACGATCAAGTTGGCTTCATCCCTGGGAAGCAAGGCTGGTTCAACATGCAAATCAATAAACGTAATCCAGCATATAAACAGAACCAAAGACAAAAACCACATGATTATCTCAAAAGATGCAGAAAAGGCCTTTGACAAAATTCAACAGCCCTTCATGCTAAAAACTCAATAAACTAGGTATTGATGGGACGTATCTCAAAATAATAAGAGCTATTTATGACAAACCCACAGCCAATAGCACACTGAATGGGCAAAAACTGGAAGCATTCCCTTTGAAAACTGGCACAAGACAGGGATGCCCTCTCTCACCACTCCTATTCAACATAGTGTTGGAAGTTCTGGCCAGGGCAATCAGGCAGGAGAAAGAAATAAAGGGTATTCAATTAGGAAAAGAGGAAGTCAGATTGTCCCTGTTTGCAGATGACATGACTGTATATTTAGAAAACCCCATCATCTCAGCCCAAAATCTCCTCAAGCTGATAAGCAACTTCAGCAAAGTCTCAGGATACAAAATCAATGTGCAAAAATCTAAACGTTCCTATAAACCGATAACAGACAAACAGAGAGCCAAATAATGAGTGAACTCCCATTCACAATTGCTTCAAAGAGAATAAAATACCCAGGAATCCAAATTACAAGGGATGTGAAGGACCTCTTCAAGGAGAACTACAAACCACTGCTCAATGAAATAAAAGAGGACACAAACAAATGGAAGAACATTCCATGCTCATGGATAGGAAGAATCAATAACGTGAAAATGGCCATACTGCCCAAGGTAAATTATAGATTCAATGCCATCCCCATCAAGCTACCAATGACTTTCTTCACAGAATTGGAAAAAACTACTTTAAAGTTCATATGGAAGCAAAAAAGAGCCCACATTGCCAAGTCAATCCTAAGCCAAAAGAACAAAGCTGGAGGCATCACACTACCTGACTTCAAACTATACTACAAGGCTAACCAAAACAGCATGGTACTGGTACCAAAACAGAGATATAGACCAATGGACGGAACAGAGCCCTCAGAAATAATACCACACATCTACAACCATCTGATCTTTGACAAACCTGACAAAAACAAGAAATGGGGAAAGGATTCCCTATTTAATAAATGGTGCTGGGAAAACTGGCTAGCCATATGTAGAAAGCTGAAACTGGATCCCTTCCTTACACCTTGTACAAAAATTAATTCAAGATGGATTAAAGACTTAAATGTTAGACCTAAAACCATAAAAACCCTAGAAGGAAACATAGGCAATACCATTCAGGACATAGGCATGGGCAAGGACTTCATGTCTAAAACACCAAAAGCAATGGCAACAAAAGCCAAAATTGACAAATGGGATCTAATTAAGCTGAAGAGCTTCTGCACAGCAAAAGAAATGACCATCAGAGTGAACAGGCAACCTACAGAATGGAAGAAAATTTTCACAATCTACCCATCTGACAAAGGGCTAATATCCAGAATCTACAAAGAACCTAAACAAATTTACAAGAAAAAAACAACCCCATCAAAAAGTGGGCGAAGGATATGAACAGACACTTCTCAAAAGAAGACATTTATGCAGCCAACAGACACATGAAAAAATGCTCATCATCACTGGTCATCAGAGACATGCAAATCAAAACCACAATGAGATACCATCTCACACCAGTTAGAATGGCGATCATTAAAAAGTCAGGAAACAACAGGTGCTAGAGAGGCTGTGGAGAAATAGGAACACTTTTACACCGTTGGTGGGACTGTAAACTAGTTCAACCATTGTGGAAGACAGTGTGGTGATTCCTCAAGGATCTAGAACTAGAAATACCATTTGACCTAGCCATCCCATTACTGGGTATATACCCAAAGGATTATAAATCATGCTGCTATAAAGACATTTGCACACGTATGTTTATTGCGGCACTATTCACAATAGCAAAGACTTGGAACCAACCCAAATGTCCAACAATGATAGACTGGATTAAGAAAATGTGGCACATATACACCATGGAATACTATGCAGCCATAAAAGAGGATGAGTTCATGTCCTTTGCAGGGACATGGATGAAGCTGGAAACCATCATTCTGACCAAACTATCGCAAGGACAGAAAACCAAACACCACATGTTCTCACTCATAGGTGGGAATAGAACCATGAGAACACTTGGACACAGGTTGGGGAACATCACACACCAGGGCCTGTCGTGAGGTAGAGGTAGGGGGAAGGGATAGCATTAGGAGATATACCTAATGTAAATGATGAGTTAATGGGTGCAGCACACCAACATGGCACATGTATACATATGTAACAAACCTGCACGTTGTGCACATGTACCTGAGAACTTAAAGTATAATAAAAATAATAATAATAATACTAAAATAAATAAATAAATAAATATGCTAAAATCTATAGTTTTCTTAGGTTTTCAACAATGACCAACTAGAAAATATGACCGATTTTTAAAATTTCATTCATGCCAGCAATAAAACTCAAAAGATACCTAAGAATAAAGTTTATAATGTGCATGATGTCTATGAAAAAGGAACAACAATTTAACTCTCCTGAAGCATTTAACAGAAAAAAAGAGAGAGAGAGAGAAATAGTGTGTTTTTAGATAAGAACATTCAATTTGGTTAAATACTTTTAGAAGATAATTTGGCAGTGTTATCAAAATGGCAAATGAACATTCCTTTTTATGTCCCACTTGAAAGGACCCTACAGAAATCCTACCACAAAGTACAGAACTATTATACACAGAATGACTCAAGAATTTTGGACTGAGCAATTGAATAAACAGTCATGCTGTTTCCAAAGTTAGCAAAGTTTATCAAATTGGCAAATTATCAAATAAATGCCTTAAAAAGTGCTTACCCTTTGAGATGGCAATTCCATTCCTAGGGATTTATTCTTAGGAAATATTCATGGTCATGCTCAGAGTGAATTTCTGGGAAATTCATTGCAGTGGTATTTATAATAATGAAAAAATACAAACAATTTCAGTGTTTAACAATGGAATATTGTGTGGCCCTAGACATTTATGCAGAAAAATATTCAATGATATGGAAAGAGAAACATGATTATACTGTAACATGAAAAAATCATGTTAGAGGACAGTATGTACTATTACATATAATGTGATTGAAATTTTGTTGAAAAAAACTATATGAATACACATAGGCTTAGGAAATAGACTAGAAAGATACAGATCCATTGTTGACAGTGGTTGTCTCTGGGTTACACATTTCTGTGTGATTTTAAATTTTCTGTCTATATTTTCTAGATTTTCTCCAATAATCATGTTTTACTTTTGTATACTAAAAACTGCTTTAAACTTTTTTTTATTTTTTCTTCTGTGCAAGGTTCCAGAGGAATGTGATCTGCCATCCTGACCATGCTAAGAGTGATTTTGGAAAAGTGTCTTTTCTTCTAGGGGCCTTATGGTTCATGTCATCTGTAAGCCAGTCTTGAGGCCAGGAGTCCGAGACCAGCCTGGCAAACACAGAGAAATCCCATCTCTACGAAAAATACAAAAATTAGCCAGGCATGGTAGTCTGCGATGACTAAGGTCCTTTGGCAACTTATGCTCTTTGGTTCACTTTAAACCAATCAACATTAGCCCTGAGGGACCTCTACTTACTGCTGGTTAATTCACTCCTTCACCATAGCAGATGTTGGCAGGGTCCCACCCACAACCCCTGGCCAGTACCCTTTCCTTGCTGCCCCAATGCTAATTGCCCTCATCTGCATGGCTAGGGCTTTCTTGGGGAGCAGGGCTGGAGGCAGAGATTTGACCTCTCAACCAGGAGCAACCTTTAAGCAAAAACCACCCCTAGCTGGAATGTAGATCACTCCGGTCCCCTCCCATCTTGGGTGGCACCCACGATAGCCCAGTGGGATTGACCTGCATTCAGCTGCCCACCATCGTAATGGGCTTGGCTCCTTTCCCTTCCTGCCTCACCCTCCTAGTCCCCTACCTGGCTGTCCTGGGATCACCTTTCAAATAAACTACGTGCTCTGGGATCCTTGTCTTGGGGTCTGCTTTTGAGCAACCAAAAGTAAGATAACCTGTATTCCTTATCTCCGCTCCCCTCAAATCTCCAACTCCCACCCCCTCCCATTCTCAGCTGTTGACCTTGCTTTTCATTTTGTAAAAGAGAAACAATCAGAAGAGAGCTTCCCATGCCCCCACCTCTAATCTGTCGATCTTCTCTCCTGTTACTGACCAATGTCTAAGGGGGTGCCCTAGGGGGCAGGTCTGAAAGGGGCATCAGAGTTATTTCTGTCCTGGAGTTAGGCAATTGAAAAAGGAGAGGCCACTGGGTCAGAGAAACAGCACAGGCAAAGCTTTCTGGTACCCTTGGCCCTGAGCAGGCCTGTGCACCGGTGATGAGAGGCAGAAGTGACAAGGAAGCCAGGCTTCCCCGACCACCTGCAGCCTGGCCCAGCCTCTTCTGTTGGCTGCCTGGGAGGGGAAGTCCTTTGTTGGGCAGGGTGCTGATACTAGCCCCAGTCCCTCACCCTGCCACCCCCTTATCAACACTGCAGGAGATACCTGAATCTGGTCTTTCAGTTACAACCACAATTGTATTAATAATAATAAATAAAATTATTATCAAATAATTAGCTTTTCTTCAGCACAAACTATGAGTTTGGCATATTAGTCTGCTCAGGCTGCCATAAGAGAATACCACAGACTGGGTGGCTTAAACAATAGAAATTTATTTCTGTCCTGGAGGCTGAAAGTCCAAGATCAGGAGTCAGCAGGGCTGGCGTCTGGTGAGGCCTCACTTCCTGGCTTGCAGATGGCCACCTTCTTGATGTGTCCTCACATGGCCTTTCCTCTGTGCACACAAGAAAGAGAGGGAAAGGTCATGGGGGGAAGAGCTATCTCAGTTGTCTCTTCTCTTCTTACAAGGACATCAATCCCATCTGATTAGCCCCGCCCCCACTTCCCTTATGACCTCGTTTAACCCTATGTATTAGTCTGTTCTCACTCTGCTAATAAAGACATACCCGAGGCTGGGTCATTTACAAAGAGAAGAGGTTTAATTGACTCAGTTCCAAATGGCTGGGGCCTCACAATCATGGCAGAAGGCTAATGAGGAGCAAAGTCATGTCTCACAAGGTGCCTGCAAGAGAGCCTGTGCAGGGGAATGCCCATTTATAAAACCATCAGATCTCATGAGACTTATTTGCTACCATGACAACAGTATGGGGAAAACTGCCCCCATGATTCAATTATCTCCCCCTGGCCCCACCCTTGACATGTGCAGATTATTACGATTCAAGGTGAGATTTTGGTGGGGACACAGCCAAACCATATCACCCTAATTACCTCCTTAAAGGCCCTATCTCCAAATACAGTCAAATTGAGAGGGCCTTAACATATGAATCTGGGGTGGGGTTGGAGGAGACACAGTTTTGTCTATAATTACATGGTTCTTTGTGTTTCACATGTATTAACTTTTTTTCGTATTCATGACAATGTCATAGGGTAGGCATTATTATTAACATAATTTTTTAAATGAGGAAATGTGGCACCAAAAAGCTTAGTATATTGCTGAAAATCACACAGCTAGTCAGGGTGGTGGGAGGATTTGAATCCAGGTACTCTGGCTTCAGAGCCTGTGCTCTTACCCACCCCTCCATTCCAGGCCAGGCAGCCCTGAGCTCAGATGGTAGAGCCGAGGCAGCAGTCACAGACCCCATGGTAAACTGGCCATGGAATCATAACCACAGGCTTGTTCCTCTCAGTTAACCTTCACAGCAGTTTGAGGAGTTGAGTGTTCATTGTGCCTATTTTATACATGAAGAAACTGAGGCTCTGAGAGTTAAGTAAGATGGCACAGGACTCTGACCAGGCCACACGTCACCCTGACTCTCTGCCCAGTTAAAATTAAGTGAATAAGGGATGGAATGAATGGATGAAAGTAGGACATTCCCTGCCCACTCAGTCTGATGTGGGAGTGGCAGAGGCTGTGTGTGGATGGGCCATGAGCTATGAAAACCTCCTTGATTTAAGACGAGAGACCAAGCCGGACGCAGTGGCTCACGCCTGTAATCCCAGCACTTTGGGAGGCCGAGGCGGGAGGATCACCTGAGGTCAGGAGTTCGAGACCAGCCTGACCAACATGGCAAACCCCTGTTTCTACTACAAATACAAAAATTAGCCAGGCTTGGTGGCACATGCCCGTAATCCCAGCTACTCGGGAGGCTGAGGCAGGAGAATCGCTTGAACCTGGGAGGCAGAGGTTGCAGTGAGCTGATATTGCACCATTGCACTCCAGCTTGGGCAACAAGAGCAAAACTCTGTCTCAAAAATAAATAAATAAATAAATAAATAAATAAATAAATAAATAAATAAGACAAGAGACTGAGTCAGGGTTTGAGGCTCTGAGACACTGAGGAGAGGCTCAGGGCAGAGGTGACTACGTGGGGCTGGGGACACAGGTTCTCTAACAGTTGAGGGTCAATCAGAGAAGGAGCTGCTTCTTCAGTGTTGACTCAGTCACCTCCAATACAGAGCAGGATCCTGGGTCACACAGGATGAGCTTTGGAATCATGGGGATCAGGGTTTCCTGCCTCTGTGTATGAATTTGGCCAAATCAATTACCCTCTCTAAATTTCAAGTTCCTCCTCTGTAAAATGGAGATGACAGTTGCCAGCCCTAAGGCTGCTATGAGGACAAAGTCAAGGGGCAGATGTGCAGTCACCTGGCAGGTGGCCTGTGTCCTCCCCATTGGTGGCTACTGTTGTCCAGTGGCCAGGCCAGGATGGCGAGGCCCAAGTGGGTTCAGAATGGGAGCCAGGCAGTGCTGGAACTGTGCCCCTTGGCAGGTGGGATAAGCCACGGGCAAGTCCAGAGCAACTTTCTCCCCCAATCAGGGTCTCAGTTTCTCCATGTATAACACATGGCCCCAAATCTCTTCCAAAGCTGACCTTTAGGAACTCAGTATTCACTGACACATCCGGCAAAGGAAAAGTCATGAGCCTCCCTGACCATAGGACCACCAAGAGGAGCCACAGAGAGAGGACATGGTCCGCCCAGTGTCCATCCACCACAGGTCAAGACCACACTGAACCACGATCATCTGCTTCCCAGATCCGGCTCTCAACACCAGGGCCCCAAGTGAAGAAAAGCATGCTGGGTTTAGAATCAGCACACAGCGGGCCAGTCCTGGATCTGCCACCTACATCCGTGGACTTTGGACAAGTCACCTCTTCCATTTCCTTATCTGTCAAATGGGAAGAATAACCCTTATCTCTTTTAGAAGAAAGTGTAGAAAATGTTGTTGGAGTAGAGAAGGATTTCTTAAACAATTCACAAAAAGCATAAACCACAGAGAAAAATTTGACTGCATTAAAACTTAAAATTTCTATGACCAAAAAGCACCAAAACCAAAATTAAGAGAGAGGCCACAGGCTTGGAGAAAATATTTACGATACATATAACTGATAAGGGATTAATATCTATAATACATAAAGAATTTTTACAATCCAATTTAAAAAGCAAACGGAAAAAGAGACAAAAACATCCACAAGCATTCACAGAAGAAACTCTAAAGCCCAATAAATTTATAAATACACGCTCAGCTTCACTGTTGACCAAGGAAATGCAAATTAAAGCAACCAAAAGACTATTTCATAAACATCAGAGTGGGGGAAAAAAATCTAACCAAATGTTGCAGAGGAGATGGGAAAGACAGGAACTTTTAGGAAGAGGGTGTTGATACTCTTACCTGGGAGAGCAATTTGGCAATATCTAGCAAAGCTGGAGAGGTTCATGCCCTGGGGCCTTCTGAGCCAACAGTTCCACTTTCAGATAAATATCCCAAAAGAGTAATTCCTATACATGGGCTCAGGATTTGCACTGCAGCACTGATGTTATTGGGAAGAGAAAGAGAACAGCCTAAATGCCTATCAGTAGGGGATTGGGTTAGTAAATTTTAAAACCTTCTTACACTAGAATACTAATTTAAGGCAAATGAACTAGATCTACTTGTAAAAAAGGTGAATGAATCTTTAAAGCACATGTCAAGTTACAGTAAGTTACAAAAGGACACATACACCATTATTGTACATAAATGTCAAAAGCCCACCTAACAAAGCTGTATATTTTTTGTGATCATGCACAGGGCAGTTAAGTTTTTAAACATGAGTAAGACATGTCCCTTTAAAACATGGGTAGTGACAGTAGTTATCTATGAGCATTGGGATAAGGAAGGCTCTGACTGTACTGATAATGTTTCATTTCTTTAAAAGAGTTTTTATTTAATTTTCTTTCTTTCTCAGAGTGGACATGAAGGGAGGGAGAGAGAGAGAAAGAAATGAGGACAAATCACAGCAAATGTAGCAACACAGTAACATCTGCTAATCCTTGGTGGTAGATTTGTAAGCATTATTTCATTATATTAATCTCTGAACATTTCTGGATGGTTATAATATTTCTGAATTTTAAATAAAAATTGCTGGGGTGATAGAAATGTTCTATGTTTTTATTGTGGTGATAGTTCTATGAATGTGGACATCTGTCAAAGCCCATTGAATTGGACACTTGAAATGGGTGCGCTTTATTTTATTTTATTTTAGAGTCAGAGGCCTACTCTGTTGCCCAGGTTGGAGTGCAGTGGCACGCTCTTGGCTCACTGCAGCCTCCGCCTCCCAGGTTCAAGTGATTCTCCTGCCACAGTCACCCGAGTAGCTGGGATTACAGGCATGTGCCACCACACCCAGCTAATTATTATTATTATTATTATTATTATTATTATTATTATTATTTTGTGTGTGCATTTTTAGTGGAGACGGGGTTTCACCATGTTGGCGCTGGTCTCGAACTCCTGACCTCAGGTGATCCACGCACCTCACCTTCCCAAAGTGCTGGGAATACAGGCATGAGCCACCATGCCCGGCCTGGTGCATTTGATCATTCATCAATTATACCCCAATAAAGTTGATTCTAAAAGAGGAAACAATTAAATGTGGCTCGTCACTGCTCAGCATCTCCAGTGGCACCTAGTTCCAGATGGAAGTAGACAGAGGGAGGGAGAGACGTCATAGGCTCTGCTTCAGTCTTGAGGGTCTGTCCCCCAAACTGAGGCCTTCAGGCTACCCAAGACCTCATGGCAAACAGGACACCCTTTGCTTTGGGGTCAAGAGTGGGCTGAGCTCTCCTCGCAGGGTTTGCTGAGTCTAATTTTAGAGCTTTGGAGGGTGGAGGAAGAGCTGGCTCTGCTTCTGCAATGAGTTCATCATGTTCCTTGGCACCTCAAAGTTCTCTCCATTTAATTTTTCAGAAGTACTAACAAATCAGGAAAGAAGTGTGCCCTGAAATTGCTATTTGGATGAACGTGACATTTGTAGGCCAGCGACAGAAGCTGGAGGAGCTGTTGTGTTTGCAACTCATAACCTCATCTCACAGCCCGACTCCCAAACAATGCACACACTTGTGGGGAGAGTAATTGCCTGGATGGAAAAATACAGCCAAACAGGCTCTCAATGAGGCAAGGAAGGAAAGCGGAAGGGAGACAGGAGGGAGGACAGGCACGCTGGCTAACATATACCAAATGCTTACTACGTGCCAGGCCCACTGTCATTTCTTCCTCAACATACATATTACCACCCCCGTTTTAGAGATGAGGAAACAAGCTCAGAAAGGGAATGTGTTATTTTGCCAAGAGCACAAAACTAACAAGTAGCAAGGATGGATCTGAACCAATCTGGTTGGTGTCAAATTCCTTGCCTATAGCAAGGAGAAGGAGCTCAGTAAACGTTTCTTCCTTTTTATCTTTCTGTACCTCCTTTTCTTCCTTCCTGAGGAAACTAAGGCCCAGAGAGGTTAAAGGATGTGCTGAAAGTTATCAAGCTGTCTTGGGGACAGAACCAGGACTGGCCAGGGTAACTAATTGGATGGCGAAGCTGAGGAAGATGGGAGAATCCAAAATGAGTCACGGGTTCCTGCCATGCACAGAGAGGAGAAGGCTTCGCAGGAAAGAGGCTGTCGCTGGGGAAGTGAAGGGAGGGTGTTAGATTGGAGGTAATCTTTGGAGTAACCAATAAAGATGTCCTGAGACGGCCGGGCGCGGTGGCTTACGCCTGTAATCCTAGCACTTTGGGAGGCAGAGGCGGGCAGATCATGAGGTCAGGAGATCGAGACCATCCTGGCTAACACAGTGAAACCCCGTCTCTACTAAAAATACAAAAAATTGGCCAGGCGCCTGTAGTCCCAGCTACTCTGGAGGCTGAGGCAGGAGAATGATGTGAACCCGGGAGGTGGAGCTTGCAGCGAGCCGAGATTGTGCCACTGCACTCTAGGCCTGGGCGACAGAGCGAGACTCCGTCTCAAAAAAAAAAAAAAGAAAGATGTCCTGAGACAACCAGGTTTCTGGCTCTAAATTTGTGGAGAGAAAAGTAGGCTACAAAGATGGGGAGACTTTCTTCTCAGAGCCTAGGAGGACCCCTCAATGCAAAAAGGAGTAAGGACTTCAGACCTCCTGACAGCCATGGGGTAAAGAGGGAATCACAGAAAACAGTATACAAACTAAAGAAGCATACTTGGCAGGCACAGTGGCTCACACCTATGATCCCAAAGTTTTGGGAGGCTTAGGCAGGAGGACCCCTTGAAGCCAGGAGTTTGAGACCAGCCTGGGCAATATAGCAAGACTCTGCATCTCCAAAAAATTTACAAATTAGCCAGGTGTAGTGGCACGCACCTGTAATCCTAGGTACTCGGGGGCTAAGCAGGAGGGCTGCTTGAACCCAAGAGTTCAAGGCTGCAGTGAGCTATGATTGTGCCACTGTACTCCAGCAACAGAGCAAGAGGAAGGAAAGAAGGAAGGAAGGAAGGAAGGAAGGAAGGAAGGAAGGAAGGAAGGAAGGAAGGAAGGAAGGAAGAGTCATGTGGAGACAGTCATGGAAAGGGCCGAGGGTCATTTTCACCTGCCCATGTCTTCAAGACATCAGTGAGTCACGTTGATATTCAAAATAGTGATCCTTAACAGCAAGAAAAAGTTAATGTTCAGTGCCTTACTGTAAATAAGGCAAGATGTCTAATTCCACTTTATATTGATTTCCATTCAATATCAAACCAAAATGGTGCTTAAGGTAGTAAGTTTTAGTTTCTAAGAACGTTCACCTGGAGAAATCTCCTTCAGGGAGAGACTGTATGGGACGAAATATCTCAGAACAATTTTTTCATTTGTTAACAATAGAACACTTTTTACAAATGTAACCTTACCCAGAGGTGGACTATATAAAGCACAAGCCTAGTCTTTCTGTTTCCACCTCCACAGTTCCTAGTGTTCCTTGGAACACAGTTTGAAAACCACTGAGCTGGCCGGACATGGTGGCTCACGCCTGTAATCCCAGCACTTTGGGAGGCCGAGGCGGGTGGATCACCTGAGGTCAGGAGATCAAGACCAGCCTGGCCAACTTGGTGAAACCCCGTCTCTACTAAAAATACAAAAATTAGCCAGGCGTGGTGGCAGGCACCTGTAGTCCCAGCTACGCAGGAGGCTGAGGCAGGAGAATCGCTTGAACTCAGGAGGTGGAGGTTCCAGTGAGCCAAGATCACGCCATTGCACTCCAGCCTGGGTGGCAGAGCAAGACTCTGTCTCAAAAAAAAAAAGAAAAGAAAACCACTGAACTTACCTAACAAGGCTATTTACAGATGGGCAAACTGAGACCCAAAGAAAGGAAGGAACTTTCCCAAGACTGCCCAGCAATATAGCAAAGCCCATGCTGAAGCTATGGTCTGGAGTCAGTTCCCAGACTTGGATTTCATGAAGTCTGAAACCTTAAAGGTAGGAAGAGTATATGACCTTATATTTTCATTCCCAGCAGAGAGAGATGAAGACCAGAGATGTTAAGTAACTTGTTCTGGT
Source organism: Homo sapiens (assembly GCF_000001405.40). Classification (NCBI taxonomy): domain Eukaryota; kingdom Metazoa; phylum Chordata; class Mammalia; order Primates; family Hominidae; genus Homo; species Homo sapiens. Next base: position 43,861,635 of record NC_000020.11, on the reverse strand, counting down.
CACACAGCCAAGACAAGGATCACAGTGTTTTTTCCTCTGCATAACAAGAAAGTGGTCCATCCCACAGTGGAACGGAAAAAGGAGGCAGGCTGAAAATCCCAACCCAATGGTGAGCCAGTGCTTTTGTTATATTTCTCCTATTTCCAACAGAGACGAACACCACATTTATATATAGTTGAATTTATAATAACACCTGCTTTAAATGAGGGTGAGTTTTTGGCTTAAGAGTGAGCTAGTAAAAAATAATAATAAAAATTTAAAACCCTGGGTAGTTGTTCCAATTAAGTTCAATTAAACATGCCCTTAGGTAGAGTAGATACAGTAAGTGATGCCTTGTAGCATCCAATTTCTCTGACAAACGCACTCGCCAGCATAGAGCCAGGAGGTTATTATTTCGTTTTTTGAAAAGAAGTGCAGTGTAGTGGAAAAGACACAAAATTTAGAGTTGAACAAATCTAATCCACATCAACTCACTGCTATGGATGAGTGAAAGCCACTAGAAAATGGGCATAATAATTCCTATCTCAATAGGCTGCCAGAGGATTAAATGAGGTAATGTAAGGAAACGGTGATATGAAAATGTGCCGCAAAGAGTAATTACAGCTACTTTTGAAATATGGAATTGAATAACTAAATTATTTTGTGAGGTTTGCTCTAAAATTATCTGAAACATCCGAGGAAAGATGGTAAAGTAAATGCAGGCTCACTCAATGTCTCTCTCCCCAAATTGAATAGAATGACAACCACAAATAGACATACACTTTTAAATGACCAAGAATAGCAGTTCTGAAGCTAGCAACGGGGACGGCTATGCTTTGAAGGTATGTGTCCCTCCAGAATTCATGCAATGGGACTTAACCCCCAAAGTGATGGTATTAAGAGGTTGGGCCTTCGAGGGGTGATTAAGTCATGAGGGCTCCGCCATCATGAATGAAATTAGTACCCTTAGGAAAGGGCTCAAGGCAGCCAGGCGCGGTGGCTCACACCTGTAATCCCAGCACTTTGGGAGGCTGAGGCGGGGCAGATCACGAGGTCAGGAGATCGAAACCATCCTGGCTAACAGGGTGAAACCCCGTCTCTACTAAAAATACAAAAAATTAGCCAGGCGTGGTGGTGGGCGCCTGTAGTCCCAGCTACTCGGGAGGCTGGGGCAGGAGAATGGCGTGAACTCAGGAGGCAGAGCTTGCAGTGAGCCGAGATCGCACTACTGCACTCCGGCCTGGGCGACAGAGCGAGACTCTGTCTCAAAAAAAAAAAAAAAAAAGATTTCATCTCAGAAGAAGACATTTTAGAAACATTAAAAAAAAAATTAGACCACAGATGTATCATAGTCTCAAAAAAGCCAAAGATGAGATGAAAATTTAGCAGGATAAGATTGGAAGAATTGCAGAGCCAAGTTAATAAGTTGTGAACCAGAATAATTGGATTATGTTCTTATTAAATAGATAAGAAACAGCCAGGACAGAACTGACAACAGCAGGAATATAAAGAGGGAGAATTCAAGATAGGATAATAGAAAAATCACCCAAAATGCAAAGGAAAAAGGTCAAAGAGTCAGAAACAATTTAGAGCAGATGATTGTTATGTATGACACACAATGGAAGTAAACATAACGATAAGTAGCATCCTTAAAGGAGAGAACAGAAAAAATGTACCATGGAAATGATCCATCATATAATAAAGAAAAAATACTGAATGTGAAGATTGAAAAGTATATGGCTTTCAAAAAAACATTAGTAGAGAAAGATGAAAATCTAGATATATTGTGATAAAGATCTTCAACTTAAGGCATTTAAGAAGGATAATTATATAAGTGCCTCGCCAGTAATACCAAGTTACCAATTAAAGGGAGAATATCAGACTGCCCCCATTGATTTCTCCATATTAATATTTGATATCAGAAGACCAGCATAGCATCTGCAGAGGTTTGAGGGCATAAAAGTATGACTTAAAAACTTTATACCTAATAAACGGATGTGAGGTTTTTTATTTTTGTCATTGTTTTTAGCTTTTTTTCCTTCTAAAAAATTCATTGTATGTATTTAAGGTATAATAAAATGTTTTGATGTACATATACACAATGGAATAACTGCTACAGTCAAGCAAATTGTTAACATATCCATCATCTCACATAATCTTCCTTGTGTGCATAGAAGTACCTAAATTCAGGGACTGTAGGATTCATCAACATTTCTTTTAAAAAATGCTTTTCAATAATAAAACCCAGACCGGGCAAGGTGGCTCACACCTGTAATCCCAGCACTTTGGGAGGATGAGGCAGGTGGATCACCTGAGGTTGGGAGTTCAAGACCAGCCTGACCAACATGGAGAAACCCCGTCTCTACTAAAAATACAAAATCAGCCAGGCATGGAGGTGCATGTCTATAATCCCAGCTACTCGGGAGGCTGAGGCAGGAAAATTGCTTGAACCCAGGAGGCAGAGATTGCGGTTAGCCAAGATCACGCCATTGCACTCCACCCTGGGCAACAAGAGCAAAACTCCATCTCAAAAAAAAAAGAAAAAGAAAAAGAAAATAATAAAACCCAGAAAACCAAAAGATAATTCAAAATAAAGAAGTCAGGAATAGGAAAGCTATTGAAGGAAGGGTAAAGAAGAGGTTAAGAAGTGAATCTTGGGCCCAGCACAGTGGTTCATATCTGTAATCTCAGCACTCGGGGAGGCTGAGGTGGGAGGATCACTTGAGCCCAGGAGTTCAAGACCAGCCTAGGCAATATAGAGAAACTCAGTTTCCACAAAAAATTTAAAAATTAGCTGGGTGTGGTGGCGCATGCCTGTACCATCAGCTACTCAGGAGGCTGAGATGGGAGGACCACTTAAGCCACAGAAGTGGAGGCTGCAGTGAGCCATGACTGCAAGAATGCACTCCAGCCTGGGCGACAGAGTGAGACCCTATCTCGGGGGGAAAAAAAAGTGAATCTTGGATCCTTTTAAATATAAAATCAAGCCTCAAAAACTGTGAAATTTAATTTTAAGTCAAAATTATAACTCCTCAAAGAAAATCTATATTATGTAAAAATAAACAATTAAAATGGAATACCTACAATGGCCTGTGATAAAAATCTCAGATCATAACAAAGTTGAAATAAGGAGGAAGTATGAATCCACAGATCTTGTAATTTTTTATGGTAGAGACTCACTATACACTATTATACATTGTTTTGTATCTTGAGCTAAGAAATCAAGGAAGAGAGATAAATATATCTCTTTTTAGAAAGTAAAAACATGTGATAAACTATATCAGTAACTGGATAGTTAAGATGGGGGCAGGAGGGAGTGAGAGAAAAGGAAAGGATTGGGAAGGAATTTTAAAGAAATGATTTTTGGGAACCTGCCGGGCAAATATGAACTAAAAGAAATTAGGATTCATGACACTAATATCAACAAAGTTGAAATGAAACCAAAAAAATTATCAAATGAGACAAAGCATTACCCATGCTGATAAAGGATGTAAAACACAATGAGAATGATTGTCAATGACATCATTCCAGATAATGTAACATCAAAAGACATGAAGCAAAAACTCTTAGATAAATACAATGTGAAATCAGGAGAAACACAAGAATAGAAAACTTTAACTCCCTCCTCTCAGAAATAATTAAAGCTATAAATAATTTAAATAATATAATTAATGACATTGATCAAATATGTGTATATATAATATGTTAAACTCTGTCCACAGAAAACAGAGAATATTCCTTTTCTTCACATGCCAGTGGAATATTTGACATGTGCTAGGCTACAAAGGAAACCTAAAAAAATCTAAAAGATATAGTACATATCTTTTAGATTTGTATAGTAGATATAGTACAGTTCACAAGCTCTGAACTTCATGCAATAGAAGCATAAATTAATAGTAAAGGCAAACCAAAAAATAAAAATTCAGACATTTTCTCCCCACCAACAACTCCTGGCTGAAAGGACAAATAAACTGAAACAGTTAAAGCTGTATTCAGAAGAAAATTAATAGGCTTCAACAGTTACTTCCAAACAAACATTCACCAATATGTTCTCAGGTTTCAACAGTCTTTGACCAGAAAGTAATTTTAAGATCCAAATTACTATGACTCTTAGCCTTCCCAACCATAATCCATCCTTCTGCTAGGTTCCCCATAAAAACAATTCTGGGAACCCCTGAGGAATGTTTGATTCTGTTCCACAAGTTCCTTCTGATCATCATCATCTTCTCTCCCCTTCTCCCTTTCCCTCTCCCTCTCTCTCCTCTCCTTCCTCCCTGCTTCAGCCTTCCCTTCCTCCCTCCTCCCTCTCTCACACTTTTCTCTCCTTCCCTTCACCTCTCTTTCCCTTTTTTCCTCCCCCTCCTTCCCTTCCTCCCTTTTTCCCCCTTTCCTCCCTTCCTTTCTTTCTCTTTCTCTTTTTCCCTTTCTCTCCCTCCCTCCATCTTTCTTTCTTCTTCTTCCTCTTACTCCTCTTCCCTCCCTTCCTCCTCTGCCTTCCCTGCTGGTTAGCAACCACAAGAGAGCTTTATGTAATGATGGAATTGTCCTATGCCTTGATATGTGCTGATTATATATATATATCTGTCAAAACTCATAGAACTGTACACTCTCCAAATAAAGTCAATTTTACTGTATGGTAAAATACAATTTTAAAAATATAATTAAGGAATAAAAATAGTGTTCCAATGCATTTAGAAAGAAGAATTTTTTTGAATTTTAAATAAAGCAGGCATAAAAGTAGCACTAAAAGCTGAAAACAACAAGAAAAAAGCAAATTGATCCCAAACATTAAATAAAATATTAATGAATCACTTACAACAGTACATCATATAACTACCATAATATGTCCAAGCAGGGGTTTGCACCAAGACTACAAGGATGGTTCAATATTAGGAAATCTATAGATATGATTTACCATATCAATGGGTTAAAATAGAAAAATGACAAAGTCATCTCCTTCATGCCCTCCCAAAAGGTATTAGCTAAAATGAAATATCAATTTATAATGAAGTTAAAAATAATTTTGTAACTTTTGTAAGCTAAATATCTGGGTATTTAGCTATCTATAGATAACTACTGTATGGAGACATATTTATGTCTCCAATAACTAACATCTTACTCAAAACTTCAGCCATAGGAGCATTTCTTCTGATAAAACAGAATCAGGGCATCCACAAGTAAATAAGAAAATAATATAAGAGGGGCCAGGCATAGTGGCTCATACCTGTAATCCCAGCACTTTAGGAAGCCGAGGCAGGATGATCTCTTGAAGCCAGGAGTTCAAGATCAGCCTGGCCAACATAGCGACACCTCATCTCTACAGAAAAAATAAAATAAGATATAACTTTTGGAAAGAAGGCAGCAAAATATTTATATATTATATAATCACCTTCCCAAAAATCTAAGAGAGTCAACTGATAAACCATTAGAAATAAAATAATAATTCAATATAATATGATAATACAGGAATAACAATATAATAAGTTAGAAAATATATATACAATAGAATAGCTCACTAAAATGGCTTATTACAAAAATTTTAAATAATAGCTAATATTTGTTAAGGACTTACTATGTAACATGAACATTTCCATGAAATAGGTATTATTTTTATCCTTATGGTAAAAATGAGGACATAGGCTCAGAGAGGTGACGTCACCAGGCTGCATTCACACAGCTTTGAATATCAGAGCCAGGATGAAAACCCAGGTGGTCCTATTCCAAAGCCCATGTGTTTAACCACCAGAGACTACTTCCTCCCTCTATACTCTGACATATATAAGTAACAGCTAGTTAGAAAATATGATGGAATAAAAGATTCATTTCCCAATAGCAAAAAAAAAAAAAAAAAAAAACCCAGAAAATTCTTAGGGATGAACATAATAGGAAACGTGCAGAGCCTGTAATGCAGAGAAATGTAAAGCACGGCTTAGAAACTTAACATATAAGAAAAGACTGCATGAATACTGATAGGTACCTTGTATGTAGATCTAACACCATAAAAATATATATTCTCCTCAAAATAGTCTAAAATTTAATGCAATCCAAATTAAAATATCAAAAACACTTTTTCGGATTTTAACAAAAAATAATTCTAAATTCTGCCCCCAAAAATAAATGTATAATGCTGTAAAAATCCTTTAAAAAGAACATTAAAGGGGGATTTTCCTTACCAGATATTTAAAAATTACTGTAGTATTATAAAACTACAGTAATCAATAACATATTGTGTTGCCTAAAGAAACAGACAAATGAGGGAAACAGAATGGATAATCCAAATTACACCCAAGTGTATACCAAAGTTTAATTTGTAATAAAGGCAGAGTTCAAATTAGTCAGAAGTTTATGGATTATACAATAAAATATATAGGGGCTGGGCGCAGTGGCTCACGCCTGTAATCCCAAAATTTTGGGAGGCTGAGGTGGGTGAATCACTTGAGGTCAGGAGTTCAAGACCAGTGGGGCCAACGTGGTAAAACTCCATCTTTACTAAAAATACAAAAATTAGCTGGGCATGGTGGTGGGTGCTTGTAATCCCAGCTACTCACGAGGCTGAGGCAGGAGAATCACTTGAACCCTGGAGGTGGAGGTTGCAGTGAGGCGAGATTCCGCCACTACACTCCAGCTTGGGTGACAAAGTGAGACTTCATCCGAAAAAAAAAAAGATGTTGAGATAAATGGCTACACATTTGGGAGGAAAAAAAAATTCCAAACTTCCTTCAAATACCAAAATATATTCCAGAGAGATGAGCGAGGTATATATTTTCTGAATGTTTAAAATGGTAGGAAAAATATATCTATATAAAACTTGGGGAATATAAAACCCTAAATAAGAAGTCTTATTTTATTACATAAAAATGTTAAATGGTAACATATACCATAAGCAAAATCAAAAGATAATTGGTTGCAAGGAACCAAGATCCAACATCTCTACAGTACAAAGAACTCTCATATCAAGAAGAGAATAGCTCAACATAGTAGAAAAATGGGCAAAATAAATGAACAAGCCATTCAAATAAGAAACAACAAGAAAAGATACTCAACCTTGTTGATGATTAAGGAGTTCAAATGAGGCCGGGCATGGTGGCTCACATCTGTAATCCCAGCACTTCAGGAGGCCGAGGCAAGCAGATCACCTGAGGTCAGGAGTCTGATGCCAGCCCAGCCAACGTGATGAAACCCTATCTCTACCAAAAATACAAAAATTAGCCAGGTGTGGTGGCACATGGCTGTAATCGCAGCTACTTAGGAGGCTAAGGCATGAGGATCGCTTGAACCCGGGAGGCGGAGGTTGCAGTGAGCTGAGACTGCGCCCCTGCACTCTAGCCTGGGTGACAGAGTGAGACTCTGTCTCAGAAAAAGAAAAAAAGTTAAAATGACAACATTGATATTTTTGTTGAAACTGTAAGATTGGCCAAATTGAGTGATTGGAAATAATGCAGGAAGTGGGCTGGTGAAGGCACTAGTCAGTGGCAAGGACACAGGGCTGGAGGTGGGGGGTCATGCCAAAGTGTGAGGCCCATGGGCCTCATGGCCGAGGAGGCTGGCTGGGGCGGTGGTGTCGGGGGGGGCTTTGTGGAGGTGTGTGGGCTGACAGTCACAGCAGCCGCAGATGCAGGACGGTGAGAGGATGTTGCGATGGTGGAAGATAGGTTATATGAAACAAATAAGCAAAGCAATTGAATAAATTAGTACATATATTGGGGATAATGAGAGCCAAGATTCTCATTGCCTAAGATATTTACAAATGTAAAAGGAGAAGGCTAGAAATAACCTTGAGGTATTGGATTGGATTTGGAGGTTTTGGTATAAACTCATGATTCGTGTGTGTGTGCGTGTGTGTGTGTATGTACATATATATATAGAGAGAGAGACACACATGCAAATAATTTTTAGTTGAATAAGCAGGAGTATGTGTGTACACACATGTGCATGCACGCACACACACATATACCTACATCCCAGGTGTAATGAGTACACTGAGTGCCCAGATCTTGGTTGTAAATATCACCCTTCACTGAAATGAATCAGGGCTACTCCAAGAAATGACTAATGCCAAGGCTGAGGCAGAAAATGCATGATGACGAGATGAACCTAGAATATCTCATTATGCCAGAAAGTAAGGAAATGGTGAATGAAAGATGAAGTCATAGCAAAAGGACATGGCAGCCACTGTGTTCTTGAAGGGGTCCCTGCCATCTGGGAAAAGACTTGGTTTTTTCAACAGAGTCTGGCTCTGTCACCCAGGTTGGAGTGCAGTGGTGTGATCTTGGCTCACTGCAGCCTCCACCTCCTGAGCTTAAATGATCCTCCCCACGTCGGCCCCCAAAGTAGCTAGGACTACAGGGGCACACCACCACGCCCGGCTGACTTTTGCATTTTTTTTTAGAAACAGCATTTCGTCCTGTTGCCCAGGCTGGTCTCGAACTCCTGAGCTCAAAGGATCTGCCTGCCTCGGCCTCCCAAAGTGCTGGAATTACAGGTATAAGCCACTGTGCCTGGATTTTTATTTTATTTTTTGAGACAGGGTCTTATTCCGTTGCCCAGGCTGGAGACAAGATTCTGATCGTCAAACTAGGTAATGATAGAAATGAATTATAAAATAGAAATCCATGAGCTCCTGCTGATATAAATACACCCGTACATACAAAAAGGAAAAGGAAAAGACTTTTTTTACAATAGAATATCAACTCATAGGTATAGAAGGAATGATGAGAATACAAAAATTACCATTTGGCCAATATCACAAAGGTGACTGATCCAGAAGTCATCCATGAAGGGGGTTTAACAAGGAACAGAAAATATTGGCATCATCTCAGAAACTTCCCCACAACATACCAATCAATTACAAAAGGGAAATGGTGAGTTTATGGTGGGGAAACCTAAGGCCGGGCACAGTAGCTCACACCTGTAATCCCAGCACTCTAGGAGGCCGAGGCGAGCAGAACACTTGAGGTCAGGAGTTCGAGATCAGCTTGGCCAACATGGTGAAACACCATCTACTAAAAATACAAAAAACTAGCTGGGCCTGGTGGCGGGCGCCTGTAATCCCACCTACTTGGGAGGCTGAGGCAGGAGAATCGCTTGAACCCGGGAGATGGAGATCGCAGTAAGCTGAGATTGCGCCATTGCACTCCAGCCTGGGCAACAAGAGCTAAACTCCGTCTCAAAAATAAATAAAATAAAATAAAATAAAAATACGCTGGGGAAACCTGGCAGGCACCAAGATGACCTGGTGGTCGAGATTAACACCTCCAGAGGTGGTCACCGTCTTGTGCCTCCTGAGATGATACACTGAAATAATGCAGCAGCATCCTGCGGCCTCCTTGCCCAGGAACATGGGCTGAGTGTGGACACAAGGAAACTTCAGATGGATCTGAGTTGAGTATCACCCTAGAGAATGGAGCCCTTTAAAACCATTGAGGAGGCCGGGCGCGGTGGCTCACGCCTGTAATCCCAGCACTTCGGGAGGCCGAGGCGGGTGGATCATGAGGTCAGGAGATCGAGACCATCCTGGCTAACAAGGTGAAACCCCGTCTCTACTAAAAATACAAAAAATTAGCCGGGCGCGGTGGCGGGCGCCTGTAGTCCCAGCTACTCGGGAGGCTGAGGCAGGAGAATGGCGTGAACCCGGGAAGCGGAGCTTGCAGTGAGCCGAGATTGCGCCACTGCAGTCCGCAGTCCGGCCTGGGCAACAGAGCGAGACTCCGTCTCAAAAAAAAAAAAAAAAAAAAAAAAACCATTGAGGATTCAAAAGACAGGGCAAAATGAGAAACTGTTCCAGCTTGTAGGAAACTGAAAATGCACAAGAACTAAATGCAATACATGTTCTTGGAGAAGGTTCTGGACCAGAGGGGAAAAGACAAATTGTTGGGACGCTTGAATGGGGTCCATGGATTGGGTGGTGGTGTTTGTACTGATGTTGATTTCTTGATTTGGAGGGTTGCATTGGGGTTAGGTAGAGAATGAACTTGGTCTGGTGAAATACACACGACTGTGTTTAAAGATGATGGAATACTATGTGTGCAGCTTGCCCTCCAAAGATTCAGAAAGAGAATAATGGAAGGAGAGAGAGACAGAGAGACAGAGAGAGAGAGAGCACACGCACAAGCCAGAATGTGATAAAATGTTAAGAATTTGATGATCTTGGTGAGGGCTATATGGTAGTACTATGTATTGTTCTAGCAATTTTTCCACAAGCTTGAAATTGTTCAAAGTATATTATCTTTTGAAATATTCAAAAGAATAAAAATCCAATTAGAAATGTTACTAGAAAGAATTATAGAAGCACCTTTGGCATATTTGAAATAGGCCTCATTTTTGTTGAATAAAGTGCATTCACATCCACTAAATAAATAAACACTCAGTGTTGGTGAGGGAACAGATAAAAAAGATTCTGTGGTGATAGGTTTGTAATTTGGTACAATCTAAATAGGCCTTTCTTTGAGTCTAAAAAATGCATAAAGAAGCATACAAAGATATATATGTTTTAAGGATGTTTGGGGCAGAACAGGTTTGAAAAATTGGAAACAACCCATGTACCTGTGAGTGGTCATTGAAAAATTCAGTCACGTCCCTACAACTTAGCTCTCAGGAGCCCTGCAACAATGAAGTATTGTTTAATGAACATACAAAGGTGTTCACAATTTATTTTTTGAAAAACAAATTTATGTATTTATTAATTTGGTCACTAGCTCAGCAAATATTTGTTGAATCCTATTATGTATGAATTGTTGGGTAAGGCGCATTGATTTAAAAAGATTTATAAAGTACTGTATTTCCTTTTCTGAAACTCCAATTTCTAATTGAGGAGACAGACATATCAACAAATAATATTTATGATATCTTCAGTGAAAAGTACAAGTTGAGACCAGGCGCAGTGGCTCCCGCCTGTAATCCCAGCACTTTGGGAGGCCGAGGCGGGTGGATCGCCTGAGGTCAGGAGTTTGAGACCAGCCTGGCCAACATGGTGACACCCCGTCTCTACCAAAAGTACACATATTAGCCAGGTGTGATGGCAGGTGCCTGTAGTCCCAGCTACTTGGGAGGCTGAGGCAGGAGAATCGCTTGAACCCAGGAGGTAGAGGCTGCAGTGAGCCGAGCACTCGAGCCTGGGTGACAGAGCAAGACTCCATCTCAAAAAAAAAAAAAAAAAAAAAAAAAAAAAAAGTGCAAGTTGTAGAACAATTTTCACAGAATGCCATTTGGAAAAAGAAATTATATGAACGGTAATGTGTGTGAGTACAGGCATGGAGACGAAAAGCACAGTGGATCGAATACATTATTAGCGGTTCTCTCTGGGAATGAGTTAAAATGGGGAAAATTTTACTTTCTGTAGTATTTTGAAATTTTTACAATGAGCATGTATTGCTTGTATAATCTGGGGTGATACAAGCAATAAAAATATCTATGACTAGGGAGAAATAACGTCATGTTGCCTGAACACAAAACAAGGAAAAGATGGGTCTTTGTCTCTAACACGGAGATGCAGCTCTGCCCTGGGAGCGATGGGCCTAAATTATTATTAATTGCAGTTGTAGGCCTCAGCACTTTGCCATGTCTGCAATTTTAGAAAGTAAACAAACATCTTGTTCTCAAGATAATCCTGAACTGTTTATATTTGGTCTTCCTGAGAAAGGACGTTTTGTGACTCACCAGGGCCGCAGGGAGGAAGGGCAGGCCCTTCCCAGATCTCAGGTTTGCCTGCTGCGGGAGGCCTGCCCTGGGGATCAGCTCCTGTTGCGCCCCTAGTTTTAGCCATGGAAGGGCCTCTGGTCATGAGCACTTCACCCTGGGGTCCGAGCCCCGTCCTGTTCACCCCTAACCCCATGAATGACAGGGGATCCTCACGGAGGGAGTTGGTAATCTTGGGAGGTGGAAAAAATATTACATCTGTCTCTTCAGCACCACTGCCCTGAAAGTTAGCATTTCCTTCCCTTGCGAATGTCAACAACAAACCACAGTTGTATTAGTGGTGTTCTTGGCTTTGTCACCAAAAGAAATATAGATATTTTCATATCGCATTACAGTCATTGCTACTATCTCCATAGATCGTTTACACCCAGTACCACTTCAAAGTTAAGATGCTAATTAGACCTGTCCCTAGCGCTTGTTATTTAGTGCATTAATGAAGAAGTACATTTATTACTATATCAAAAGTGTTTTTAATATTTTGATAACCATGTTTCAACATAATTGGAATCCTTTGTAATCTAATATATTTTTATTTTGTGCATTTAAAAGATGTGCTCAGAGAAGAGGCCCATGGCTCAGAAAGGTCAGGAGTGTTTGATCATGAGGATTGCAAAGGGTTGAGAGTCCCAGGAGGCCTAAGGGATGGCTCCCAAACCCCGCGAATGGCCAGCCTTTCACAACTCCATACTGCTGGAAAAACCCAAGTTTTGGCCAGGCACAGTGGCTCACACCTGTAATCCCAGCACTTTGGGAGGCTGAGGCAGGCGAGTCACCTGAGGTCAGGAGCTCGAGACCAGCCTGGCCAACATGGTGAAACGCTGTCTGTACTAAAAATACAAAAATTAGCCAGGCATGGTGGCGCACACCTGTAATCCCAGCTACTCAGGAGGCTGAGGCAGGAGCATCGCTTGAACCCGGGAGGAGGAGGTTGCAGTAAGCCGAGATCATACCATTGCACTCCAACCTGGGAGACAGAGTGAGACTCCATCTCAAAAAAAAAGAGAAAGAAAACCCAAGTTTTCACTTTCTCCAAAGAAATGCTGGAGCTGGGCATGGTGGCTCATGCCTGTAATCCCAGCACTTTGGGAGGCCGAGGTGAGTGGATCACTTGAGGTCAGGAGTTCAAGACCAGCCTGGCCAACATGGTGAAACCACATCTTTATTAAAAATACAAAAAAATTAGCCGGGCATTGTGGTGTGTGCCTGTAATCCCAGCTACTCAGGAGGCTGAGACAGGAGAATTGCTTGAACCTGGGACATGGAGGTTGCAGTGAGCTGAGATTGCACCATTGCCCTCCAGCCTGGGCAACAGAGCAAGACTCTGTCTTAAAAAACAGAAAAGAAAAGAAAAAATGCTGGCAATACTGCACCAGCCTCCCCTCCTGGGACCCTGCTCCCAGCATGAGTAGAGGCTGCTCCTTCAGCCAGGACATCATCTCTAGTGCCCAGGCCCTAGCATGCCCCATCATTGCACAGTACCCCAGGCCTGGCATCCACAAAGTCTCAGAACCGTGTACCGGCCAGATCTACTTGTCTCCTGGGTCCTCTGTAGCCATTTCTTTTTGTAACCCTTAATCTAAGTCCACCCACCCATTTTCCAGGTGCCATAGCTGTGGCCTGAGAGGTGGGGAGCCAGGATTGCCAAGCTAAGTTAGTGGCACCCCCAGAATCACCCCGACTCCAGGCCCCTTCTGCTTATTGGCCAGGCTGTTCTCCCTGGAGGACCCCATCCTGCCTCCCTTACATTCCACAGGAGTCCTCGGAGAAGGGACACAGCTAAAGGTCCTGTGATCTTGGACACTCGTTGCACTGCCCTGAGCCTTACTTTCTTCATCTGTAAAATGGGTATGATTTTGCCAGGTCTGGGACAAAGTGCAAAATGTAAGGAGGTGCTCACTAGCCTGACCCTGGATGTTCCCTCTTGCCCAGGAATATAAGAAGGCCCACAAGAAAAGAAGAATAGGAAAGAAGTCCACATAGGGGTGGGAGGGAGTGACATCCACTCCGCTGCACTGTCTTTGATACATCTCACCCCCAGCATCCTTTCTGCAAAGCAGAACTCACGCCAGGCACGGTGCCTCATGCCTCTAATCCCAGCACTTTGGGAGGCTGAGGTGGGTAGATCGCTCAAGCCCAGGAGTTTGAGACCAGCCTGGGCAACATAGTGAGATCCTGTCTCTTAAAAAAAAAAAAAGGCAGGCCGGGCGCGGTGGCTCATGCCTGTAATCCCAGCACTGTGGGAGGCCAAGGCAGGTGGATCACAAGGTCAGGAGATCGAGACCATCCTGGCTAACACGGTGAAACCCTGTCTCTACTAAAAAAAAAATGCAAAAAATTAGCCAGGCTTGGTGGTGGGCGCCTGCAGTCCCAGCTACACAGGAGGCTGAGGCAGGAGAATGGCGTGAACCTGGGAGGCGGAGCTTGCAGTGAGCCGAGATTGTGCCACTGCACTCCAGCCTGGGCAACAGAGCGAGACTCTGCCTCAAAAAAAAAAAAAAAGGCAGAACACGCCCCCATTCCTCTTAAGCTCCCTTGTGCCTCCCTACTCATCCACTTCCCTGCCTGGACTGACAACCACGTGCATCTGGATCCATTCACCCGCACGGAGGACGAGTGTGACTTGCTACCATAATAGCAAAAAATAACTCGGCAGCAGCATCAATTACAATCTTAAATGTCCTTGCCCTTTGATCTAGCAATCCTACTACTTGTGTAGGAATCTACCTACACAAAGTAAATGTTTAGTGTGTAAAGATATTGATAATAGCCCCAGCCTCCAAACGTGCAAGGAGAAGATCGGAACTGCATGGGGATCCATCCCTGGGAGGGAAGCTGGATACAGTGTGACCTGGCCATCCTGTTGAATTCTATGAAGCCCTCACTCACAATGGGGTGGACCTGTACATTTCCACATGGAGAGTGCTCTAAGATAAGCTGGTGAGTGAAGGAAGCAAGACGCAGGCCGATACTCAAGTGTGATGCCATGACCTGCTAAAACTAAAGTAGCATGTGTAGGTTGCAAGAGAGGACTATTAACACGCCCATCCCCAGCTCCCCGCTCTCATCTCTCACAGAAAGGGCTGCTTTCCCCACCACGACCTCCCTGGAGAGCCCACACCTGCTCGTGGGCTTCTTAGAGGCTGGGAATGGGTTGTGGGGGACTCCCAGGTGAGAGAGCTGGTCTGCAGAAAGCAGCTGCTGCTCTGTGACAGGGCGTGCGTCCCTCCCCACAGCGTTGTTTGTGTGTATATATGTGTATGTTTATATAGACAGATCATGGTGAGACTAAGATCAGACACACCAGGAAAGGCGCACAGTAAACTGGTCTCCATAGTTACTCTGGGGTGGGATGAGGTGGCCCTAAAGTGATGGGAGAAATGACACAGATCTTTCAATAATGACATGGAAAGATGTCCACAGATGACTGGGACTGGGGAGGGAGAACAGTTGCGAGATAATAGGATTCGTGGACTACCACTTTCAAAATGACATAGCTTTGTGTCTCCTTATATAGACACACCATGCTACACATCAAGCTTTTCCTGCTAGTTACTTCCTGGAAATGGGATCAGGAAACGGTGAGGGGCCACTCTGTTTACCTGCCCCTAGACCCCATGGAAAGGGTTGGTGGGAAAATCACAGCATGAAGCATAGCGCAGGGCTCAGCACTTAAGGCGTCCTCATCTACAGAGAATGTAAGAGTTTGGCGGAACTAGCTGAATGGGTCTTTTGTTGAATAAATATTGTGGCTCACAGGTAGGCCATGCCAATAATCAAATCCCCGAAAAAGTTTTATGCAATAAAAATACATTAGCATTATACCTAGACTTGACTCATTTTTACAATGGATGATTCAGAAGTTTCTATATTTTTAAGAAACACTTAACTCTCTTGGCCTCAGAGATATCATGTGCTCCTGGCTTTCTTTTCTCCTATATCACTGACCTCTCCTTCTGAGTCTCTTTTTTTTTTTTTTTTTTTTTTGAGACAGAGTCTCACTCTGTCACCCAGGCTGGAGTGCAGTGGCATGATCTCAACTCACTGCAACCTCCGCCTCCTGGGCTCAAGCAATCCTCCCACCTCAGCTTCCTGAGTAGCTGGGACCACAGGCATGTGCCACCACACCTGGTTAGTTTTTTGTTTTGTTTTGTTTTGTTTTGTTTTTTGTCTCTTTTGCTCATTCATTCATACACCCACTCATTCATTCGGCGTATATCTATTGAGTTCTTATTACATGTCAGACATATTCCTTGGTGGTGGAGATACAAGTGTAAACAAAACAGACTACATTCCCTGCCCCTGTGGAATTTAATTCTAATTGGAGGCACAAGACAACAAACAAATTAGTTAAATACATATATAGTGAGTGATAAGCACCACGGAGAAAAACAAGGTAGGGGAAGAGAATCAGGAATGTGGGGCTGAAAAGGGAGTTGCACTTTTAAAATGGTCATCAGAAAAGCTCTTTGGGTAAAGACCTAAATTCGATGAGGAAACAAACCATGCCTATTTCTGGGATAGGGAAGGGTGTTCCAGGCAGAGGGAACAGCAAGTACAATGGCTCAGAAGCTTAAGAGAACATGTAGCAAAGGAAAATTGCATGGAGGTTATGGAGCATAAGTGGTGGGAGCCAGTGGTGAGAAATGAGTGTGGAGACTGTTAGGGCTTTATCAGGAAAAGCACTGGGCTTCAGGCTAATGAATGTGGGCTCCATGCAGAGGGTATTAGGAATCGAAGTTACCCCATCAGGTTCTGTGTGGGGAGGGCAGGTGCTGGGGCAGCCTGGAGCAGGAGCCTGGTGATGAGGCTGTGACAATTGTTGGATGAGGGACAGAGGATGACTAAGGAGGGTGGGAAGTAGGGGACCTGATGCCAGAAGGGGCGTGTTTGTTTCCTGTAGCTGCTATGACACATTACCATAAACATGATGGCTTAAAGCCACAGAAATTTATTCTCTCGCAGCTCTGGAGGCCAGAAGTCTGAAGTCATTATCACTAGGCTGAAATTAAAGAGTCAAGGGCACTGTGCTCCCTCTGGAGGCTCCAGGCCAGAATCCATTCCTTGCCTCCTCCAGCTTCTGGTGGCTGTGCCACTTTTTAACTTATAGCAGCATGACTCCAATTTCTACCTCGGTGTCACATTGCCATCTGTCTGTCTGTGTCAAATCTCCCTCTGCCTCTCTCTTATAAGGATTGTATGTAGGGCCCATAAATTAGCAGATAATTTTCCTATCTCAAAATCCTTATCACAGCCACAAAGACCATTTTGCCACATAAGCTAATATCAATATTTAGGGGCTGCAGGGATTAGTGCCTGGCACCTCATGGGGGCTGCTATTCAGCCTGCCACATGGATAAAAGGTATAGATTGCTCAGACACAGGATCTCCTGCCAGGCCTCACCCACATGGCCCCTGATGACCTCCACATCGCTAAGTCTCCTGGGCGATGCTCAGTCCTCATCTTACCTGACCCGGCACAGCTCAGCTCTCCTAGTTCTCCTCCAACCCTGCAACTACTCCTTCTCATTGCCTCTGTTCATCCCTCCTCTTCTCCCCAAGGCCCTGGGGGCCAGCCCTTGGTGACCATATCTACCCACATGCCAGCCACTCTAGCCTAGACCTCTGTCCCCATCTGGAAGCCCATAAACCTGACTCTCTCAACAGCTCCACTGGGATGTCTAGGAGGGCTTTCCACATCACAGCTCCAAAGCGGGACTCCTGATCTTTCCCCAAACCTGCCCCACCTGCAGACTCCCCCTTCTCAATTGTCAACCTGTCCAACCCATCAGGAGGCCTTGGCAGCTCGGTCTTCACAACACACTCAAATCTGACCCCTTCTCCCCGGTCCCAGCCACCCTCTCCTCTCTTACCTGAATTTGGCTGCAGCCACCTCACTGGCCTCCCTGCCTCCCCTCTCCAAGTGAGCCTTTTTGAAGGTAAATCAGATGGCATCATTTCACCCAGGGTCAAAGCCAGGCCTTGCATTGTTCTACAAGGCCCCGCATGATCTGCCCGCTCCCTGTCTTCTCTCTGACCTCATCTCCTGCTAAGATCTCTCTCCTCTTCCTACTCCTTCCTCTTCACCCACACTCTGCTATTCCTTGAGCTTGCAAGCGCCATTTCTTCCTCAGGACCTTTGCACTGGCTGTTCCCCTTCTTTGGAATGCTCTTCCCTTCAATACCCCCATGACTCATTCTCTTGATCCTTTAAAATCTTGCTCAAGGGTCAGCTTCTCAATAAGGCACACTCCGACTACCCCAATAAATATTGCAACCTCCTCCAAGATTCCCAGTTCCTCACCCTGCTCCACATCCTCCAAGGCAGTCCCCGGGGCACATCATTTGCTTATTCATGTTTCCTCTTGAGTCAGCCCCTGAGAGATGGAACGTAGGAATGTTTGTTGATTTTGTCCACTGGTTCCTCCTTTGAACGTAGATCAGTGCCTGGCACATCACAGATGCTCAGTGTATGTTTGTTGCATGGATCACTGCGTATGAGGTTGAGGGAGCAGCAGGAGATCAGAATGGCTTTGGGAGTCTAATTCCATGTGGACAGTCTCCTGTCTCCATGAGGCGGACAGGGCAGGGGCAGGTCAGGGGAGCTCAGGTTTGAGTGTGGAGGGTATGAGGCACCCAGGACCTACAGAGATACCTCCCAGTGCAGCTGGCTCTCTGGAACAAGAGCTCAGAGAGACATCTGGCTGCACGAAAGAGCCTGGCCTAAATGAGCCTGGCTTTGACCCTGGGTGAAACTATAACAGAAAGTGCACCTTCTAGCCCTACCCCAGAGTCAAGCTCACCTGGGTGTGAATCCCAGCTCCTCCCATTACTGACTGTGAGACTCTGGGCAGGTTCCCTCCCCTGCTGCACTTCAGTTTCCTCATCTATAAAATGGGGACAGCCACTGTACAGCATCTCACACCGTGTTGTTGAAAGGGTTAAATGAGATGATACTCAAAGCATTGAGTATGTGGCATATGCCCTTGTCTGCTTTCCAAGGGCCAGGTGGCAGGGCAGGTAGCAAGTCCCCAGGAAGCTGGCCTGGGACTCTGATTCACCCGCAAGCCCTGGGCCCCTCAGACATTTGAGGCTCCATCTTCAACCCCTCTCTCGAAAGGTCCAATCCCCCAGCTCTGCCTCGTGCTGTAGGCATTGCCATAGTTAAAGCAGGCTCTCAGCCACATCTGAGCCTGAGTTAATTGGCCTCTGACCCATTTTTCTAGCGGACTCATTACCTCTTATTTAGCCTTGAAGACTCTGGTGGCTGATTGGCAGAGAAGCTTTCACAGCTGGGAAGAGATATGGGATCTGGGTCAGCTGCCCACTGTCCGTGAACTCTGGCCTCAGTAGCTAATGGCAGAACCAAGGCAGGCAGAATGAATTTCCTGACCCCAGGACCAGGCCCACCAGGGAGATAGAGTCACCATGTTCCCCTTGTCCCAGCCTTGCCTGGCTTCCACGTGGTTGCATTCCAGCCACCCCATGTGGGGGCTGTAAGAAAAGGGGGAGGACTCAAGTGTTCCCTCCCTGCAGGGAACCCTGATGCTTCCAAATGATGCACCCCCAGGAGAGAATGATAGACGAGTAGGCTTTGCAGGCCACCCCCAGCCTGATTAATGCATGGGCAGCACCTCTTCTGGAAGGCCAGGTATGGAGCTTTGCCGGGGCCACTCTGCAGACAGCAGGGGTAGATGGGGGCCTTGGATACCTTACACAGCAGGGTGTTGTGGGATAAAGCGGCCAGGCTGCATTCTTCAGGGCCAGTCACTGCCCCACTCAGGGCCTCAGTTTCCCCATCTGTTGAATGAGGGTTCTGAGTAGATAATCCCTAATTGTGCTATCCAGTGTCATAGCACAAGCTACATGTGGTGATTGTGCCCTTGAAATGTGACTCGTCTTGTAAGTGTAAAATACACATGGATTTTTAAGACCGCACAAAAAATCCCACCAAGAATATCAAAATAAGTTTGAATAAGTTTCAAACAAATTTTGTTTTGATTACATGTTGAAATGATATTTTAGACATATTGGGTTAAATGAAATGTCGTATTAAAATTAATTTCAGTGTTTCTTTGTACTTTTAATGTGTACTTTTACTTTGTACTTTTAATGTGTCTACAAGATACCTTAAAATGATATATATGGTTTGCATTGTATTTTCATTGATAGCAAGTGGGGCTCTAGAGACCTTCTGAGTTTGAATTTTTCAAGGGATGTGTGGAGGTGGGTACCATAAATGTGTGTGTAAGTGTGTGCATGTATGCGTGTGTTGAGGGAAGAAATTGGCAGGAGGAATGTGTGAGCACAAGTATGTACACGTATGTTTCATGCACGTAAATGTACCTATGTCAGGGCCAGGCACGGTGGCTCACGCCTGTAATCCCAGCACTTTGGGAGGCCGAGGCAGGCAGATCACTCGAGGTCACGAGTACAAGACCAGCCTGGCCAGCGTGGTGATACCCTGTCTTTACAAACAAACAAACAAACAAAAAAATAGCTGGAAGTGGTGGCACACACATGTAGTCCCAGCTACTCGGGAGGCTGAGGCAGGAGAATCCCTTGAACATGGGAAGCAGAGGTTGGAGTGAGCCAAGATTGCATCACTGCACTCCAGCCTGGGCCACAGGGTGGGACTCCATCTCAAAAAAAAAAAAAAAAAAAAAGTTTCTGTTAGGGCATGCTGCAGAAGGGAGGAGGTAGGAAGAGGAAACGTCTCTCGGACCCAGGCTTGCCCACGGCCCTTCATTCACATAAAGTGTCATCCTGTAAATCTCATAGAAACCTGTAGGTTAAGGGCCCTTGTCCCTATCGTATAGATGAGGAAACAAGATCCAGGGACTTGGGCGTGAGTGATATTTACCTTCCATTCCACCAATGCCGTGGTAGGAAGGAAGCAGATCCCAGGTGATGAGTCTGGGGGAAAAAGACACGTTGTGGGGGCTGCGCTGACCGCTCTTTCATGCATTCTCTCACTTAATAATCCCCACCACAGGCTGGGAGCACAAATAAGGAAGCTGAGGCTCAGAGAAGTAATCTCACCCCCCACACCATCATTCTCAGGCACCACTACCCACCCAGTGGCTACACAAACCAAAAGAGAGGGGCGTTGTCCTTGTCCCCTTTCTCTTCCTCACCCTTCACAACCACCACATGCATCACCAACTCCTGCGGGCGCGCATCTTAGACTCCTCTCTGCAATCATCTCTCCATCCCTCCCAGCCCCACCCCACCAAAAGCCCTCATCCACCATCCTCAGCCCTCCCCAAAACCACTAGAGGGAGCTTTGCAAATCAACAGGGAGACCTTGCCTCCCCACTGCTTACAAACCCCTTGTTGGCATTTATTGCTTCCAGCATAAAGACTAACAGCCCTAAAAAAAAGCCCCCAGGCCCTACCTCCTCAGGCCCCCAGCTGATCTCTCCAGCCTCAGGTCTCCTCCCACTCCTCCTTGATCACTCTGCTCCAGCCCCACTAGCCCTGTTCGGCTCCCCAAATGTACCACGGTCTGTTCCCACCATACGACTTTCGTACATGCTGTTCCTTCTGCCTGGAATGCTTATGCCTCCATTGTTGCCTTGCTACTGCTACAGCTCAGCTCCAAGTCATTTCTTCTGGGAAGCCTTCCTTGACTAATTATGAGAATAACAGTGATAATGATTTTTAAAAATAGGTAACATTTTTTAGCTCTTACCATTTGCTCAGAACACTCTAAGCACTTTTTACGTTCATTCATTTAAACCTTACAACGAACCTATGAGGCATATACCTTAATTGTCTCCATGTTGCAAATGAAGAAACTGAAGCACAGAAAGGGTAAGCAGCTTGCCCATGGTCACACAGCAGTTCAGCTCCAGAGCACTCCCTCTCTGAGCACCCCTCATCATCATCACCGTGGCTAACCTTTGTTGGCCACCGACTATATTCCAGTGTTATAAGCATCTTATGAATCTTATCACTGTTGTAATTTTACATTTGTTTGTAGGATGTTGACTGTTTGACAGTTCCAGTTGCTCACATTCTTACTCATACCTGTTTCATTTATACCCACAACAGAATATTAGCTAAGAACAGGAAGCCAGGGACAGTGAAGTTGAAATACAAGTGAATGGGCACCGCTGAAATGATAATTCACTGGATGTGCCTCGTGCTACCTTTCATTGGTGCCATCTGATCAGAATTCTTATAAAACACATCCATATGTTTCCAGCACCACAAAAACCAATTACAAAGAGAGAAAATACAGAGATGGGCACAACCAATTTAACTTTTCATTTATTGGAGGGGAAAAAAGCTATTCACGCCACAATGGGTTTCCTGAGTGGGTCTTACCAACATCAGCTTGGAGCCTTCTCTCCTATTTATAGTCAATTTGAAACAAAACCTCCAAATTCACCAATAATCCCATGGCTTTTATTTTAGGCACAAAACACACAAATCCCTCTCATCCGGCTATGAAAGCAGTTTTTCAATTACGTACAGAATGAAACATCAATCTACACTTTCATATGCATTTATTCCCCAAAATTAATCATGAGATGTCCTTCAAAGATATATTTGTCAACAAATTGTACCGTTTATTACATAATTAATTCAAAAGAAATTAATTCACAAGAAATTGTGTGTATCTCTTTTTCAAGAGACAAGATTATAAAAATGTCTTTTTCTGCATTAAACATGAACTTTGTAATACAGTCTTTAACAGTATGCTATCCAAATAATTAACTACTTTTTAACATATACCATATGAAAGAAATGAAAGAAATTACAGATCTTCTAAGAGGGTTGGAGAGATTATTTTTACCATGAATGGGGAATGCTTGTTTTGCCACAACCAGGACCCCCTCGAGGCTCAGTTAGGGGAAAGGGCTCTCCAGAGGGGATGTGACTGGCCACTCTAGGCAGCTGATCACTCAGGGAAGAACTGGGGCCACAGGCCAGGCCTCCTGCCTCCCAGCCTAGATGATGAGGCTTCACCCCTAATCCTAAAACACCCACACCCCATCCTCTCACCTAGATGGTCTCTCCCACGCAAACCCACCCTCCACTCTCACTGGCATCTCTCACACCCTGCTGGCCACGTCTTTGGTCTGTGGTTTCCTCACCTCCTCCAGGAAGGCCTCTCTGATCACTCTTGCTACCCCCGACCCCACCCCGCCCCACCTCACCACCACCACCACCATCAAAGCTGCCTGTCCTCAGCTGCTGCTGATTGTCATTATGTAACTGTGCTCGGGCCTCTCATCTTCTTCCCCCACCTGACTGCAGCCTCCTCCCAAGCCCCGCTCCATCTCAAGCCTCTCTGAGCCCTCCTTGTCCAGTCCAGGGGAGGGGTTCACTGTAAATCGAGGCTGTGTCTGCCCTGAGCACCTGCAGGGCTGGGTTCTCTCCTGAGCTGGACTCGCTTACTTCTTGAGGGACAAGATCCCTGGTCCAGCCAGGCCACAAAGGTGGGCAGAGGCCTTGTGTAGCGCTGCACCTGCCGGAGAGAACTCAGGCACATCACTTCACTTTGGAGGCCTCAGTGTTCCCACCTATTGAATGGGAGAAAAGTCCCTGCCCTGGCCCAGAGGGAGTCTCCAAATACCCAGAAGTCAGCCTGTGTGAGGTGCACTCCCTGCGCTAGATATATCTGGGTCTGCCCTTGGCTCAGGCCTCATCCCTCCCTCCTCAGACCAAGCAGCCAGCACCTCTTACCTGGGCTCCCTGCAGCCACCCACAGCCCCTACCTGCCCCCACTTGCAGTCCACACTGGAGCCACAAGGCGCTTACACATCCTAAGTCAGCCCGTGTCACTCCTCGCCCCCACCCCTCCATGGCCCCCCATTTCCTAACCCGGGGCTAAAGCACCCTCATGTTCCAACACTACTTCTCAGCTGGCCAGGACCACCTCGCCCCGCCCTCCCCACATACCTGCTCCCCCTTCTTGGGGCAGGAGTGGCAGGAATGGGAGTCCTCTTTCTGGTCCACAGTCCACAGTCCACAATCCTATGGCACTTTTCCCCCACTCTGAGCCTCAGCACACTGTTCCCCATCTTCCACATCTGCTTCCTCCCCAGCCTTCAGTTCTCAACCTAAAACGTCAGCCCCGCACAGAGGCCTTCCCTAACTGCCCTCTCTACAGTGCCCCCCAACACCCTGGACCTTCATTGCATGGATGACAATGGGTAATTAATGAATGACAGTCAACCCTTCGACAACACATGTTTCAACTGTGCGGGACCACTTATACGCAGATTTTTTGTGATAAAATTACACCAAGTGTGTCTGCCTCTCTTACCTCCCCTTCCACCTCCTCCACCTCTTTCGCCTCTGCCACCCCTGAGAGAGCAAAACCAACCCCTCCTCTTCCTCCCCAGCCTAAACATGAAGACAACGAGGATGAAGACCTTTGTGATGATCCACTTCCACTTAATGAATAATAAATAGACTTTCTCTTCCTTATGATTTTCGTAATAACATTCTCTTTTCTGCAGCTTTATTATAAGAACACAGTATATAATGCATAAAACATATAAAATATCTGTGAATCAAGTGTTTATGTAATCAGTAAGGCTTTGGCCAACAGTGAAGCGGTTAGTTAAGTTTTAAAGTTATGCAAGAATTTTCCACTGCACGGGGTAAGGGGTCGGCACCCCAACCCCCGCATTGTTCAAGGGTTCACAGTAATGAACTTGCTGCTGCTTTATTGTCTGTGTCACCACCGAGGTCCCTGCTGTTTCCCCAGTGCCTGAGACAGTGCCTGGCACATAGCAGGTGCTCAGTAAATATTTGTTGAACGAACGAATGAATGAATGAACAGCTAGGGGTGGTTGTGTGTGGTACCCCCATGAAGGCTTTGATGGGTGTGAGGAGTGGTTATTTAGAAATAGCACAAAACAAGCTATTTGCCTGGAGGCAGGTTCTTTGCAGCGTGGCCTCTGTCTAACCCCAGGCCCCAGCTCTGCTGACCCTTCCTCATTACCCTCCTAGTGCGTCCCAGGAACACTCACTCCACTCCTCTCAGCCACGCTGACCAAGTGTGGTCAAGCCATGAGCAAAGCGTGTTTTGAAACCAGCATAGGCCAGGTGCAGTGGCTCATGCCTGTAATCCCAGCACTTTGGGATGCTGAGGCAGGAGGATTGCTTAAGGTCAAGGGTTTGAGACTACCCTGGGCAACACAGCAAGACTCTGTCTCTACAAAAAAATAAAAATAAAAAAATTAGGCAGGTGTGGTGGCATGCACCTGTAGTCCCAGCTACTTGGGAGGCTGAAGTGAGAGGATCGCTAGAGCCCAGATGGTCAAGACTGCAGTGAGCCATGGTTGGACCACACTGAACTCCAGCCTGGGTTACAGAGCAAGACGCTATCTCTAAACAGAACAGAACAAAACAAAACAAAACAAAAAACAGCGTAGAACAATCACCACGCTGACCTCAATTTGTGAGAATGTGATGAGTTCTGTAACACAGATTTGCCACCTCCTTCAATGCCACCAGGCTGAAGAATGCCACCTTGGGTGGTCTGAGCCTCCATTGCCTCTATTTGTAAAATGGGGATAATTCCACGTACCTCCCAGTGTCACAAGACTGAGACGTGAGAACATATGAGAAGCAACTTGCACATTGCCTGGTGCGTGGCAGCCCTCGGGGCCACGTTAGTCTCTCTCCAGTCCCATCCCCTTCTCAAATCAGGGAAATTCTAGAATGCAGACTGTGTCTCTTGGTATTCGGAACCAATTACCAAGTTTCTGCGGGTGTCTGGCTACCTCTCGGGGACATCAAGAGTCTTAATTAATTATGATCTGAAAAGGTTTGATGTTCCAGGAATAAAAAGGCATGAGGAAGCCCAGACTATTTTCAGGAACATTAATTATTTAATGGACATTACTCATAGAAAATTGGGACTGGAAAATGTAAGTTTAAGATGGGAGCAATATGATTACTTTTAACCCTAAATTCCATTCACTCTCACCCATCATCAAGAACAGGCTGTTGGTCTGGCAGACAAAAGAGAAGGTTCTAGTCTGAGCTGTGCCATGGATTTGCTGGGTGACCTTAAGTAGGTCACTGTCCCTCTCTGGCCTCAGCTGCTGCTTCTCTTTTTTTTTTTTTAATATAATAATTTTCTTTCTTTTTGTGAGACAGAGTCTCATTCCATCACCCAGGCTGGAGTGCAGTGGCACGATCTCAGCTCACTACAACCTCCACCTCCCTAGTTCAAGTGATGCTTGTGCCTCAGCCTCCCAAGTAGCTGGGATTATGAGCACGTGCCACCACGTCCAGCTAATTTTTTTGTACTTTTAGTAGAGATGAGACTTCACCATGTTGGCCAAGCTGGTCTCGAACTCCTGACCTCAAGTGATCTGCCCGCCTAGGCCTTCCAAAGTGCTGGGATTGCAGGCATGAGCCACTGTGCGTGGCTGGCCTGTTTCATTATCTGTTAGGGTCTGTCTGAGATGGTTTCCCAGGAGCCTAAGCTCGGACAAGAGTGCTTCAGAAATGTCCCATCCTGGGCCCCACTTCCGAAGTTCCCATTCAGTGGGTCTGGGGTGGGCCCCAGAATCTACATTTTAACAAAGCTCACGAACCTGCCTCTAGAGATCTTTGGGCCACACTTCAAAGAGAATTGGCTGTGACCCTGGAACATCCACGGAGGACCCTTCCGAGGAGATTTGCACATGAAAGATGTCCATTTTTATTAGCTGCTTATGTGCTGAAAGGACATATTAAACTAAATTTAAATGAATTCACCCAGTCCTTGATTTTCCTCTTCATCAAAGTTCATGTGGTTAATTCTGGGGTCAAAACATAAAATGTCCTCCTGTAATTAGCTGCTAATCAGTTCACTACAGTGATTCCCCAGAGACGTCATAATTCCTGTCCACAGGAACTGGAAATGAAACACGCACATAGCTCAGCTCTCTGCTGATAATCTACATATAAGGATGTCCTGAACACACAGAGAATTTACACCTGAAAATATGTGAGCTGGAAGTCATCCATCCACCCACACATAAATTCATTTATTCATTCATTCACCCGTCTACTTATCCATCCACTCATCCATCCATTCATCCATCCATCATTCATCTATCTGTCTATCAGTTCATCTCTCCATCCATCCATCCATCCATCCAAGAAATGCTTACTGAGGACCTGCTATATCCCAGGTATTGGAGGCACAGCTGGTAAACAAGACAACAAAACAAACAGAGATAATTTGGTCTCTACCTTCCTGCATCTGCAGTCTTTTGAGGGCATTCGACATCAAACAAGTAAAACAAACTAAATAATTACAAATTGTGGAAAATCCTGTGAAGGAATTCAATAGGTCTCTGAAATAGAGAATAGTGGGGTGGGAGAGGAAGAAACCTACCTTGCGTGATCAAAGGAGACTTCCTTGAGGAGGTGATATTAAAGCTGAGACCTAAAGGATGAGAAGGCACTACCTGGAACGCCTTCCACACAGAAGGAACAGTAAAAGCAGAGACTCTAGGCATGAGCTGCATGGAAACCTGAGATGCTTCCTAGTCCGACACGCCTCCCAAGTGCCCTAGTTAAATGATCTTCTAGCTTCTGCTCACACTCTTTACGTGACAAGGAACTCACTGCTTCTAGTAACTGCCTCCCATTACTGAGGATTTTGATAGGTCAAAGTTCATTCTCATAAGAACTCTGTAATGTTCACTATCTGGTCCAGGTTATGACCTTAAGGCCCTCCAAGTTCCTTGAAGTGAGTCCATAAGACACCCTTGGGCAGCTGAAAACAACACTGATGCCCCAAGTAAGCTGCCTCTTTGCCTGATGCACCTCCCCAGCTCTTCAGCCAAGGCCCACAGGCCATCCTAGCTGCTTTTGATATCATCTGTTCAATGACCCCATGTTCTCCTTATCATGCGAGTGTAGAACTGATGAGATCTGATCCAGATTGCAACAAGTGGGACTCTCACCTCCTTTATTCTGATTATTAAACCTCTATTAATGCAGCCCCAGTCACCCCAATCTTTTCTTCCTTCTTCATTGATCAAGCAGTCATCAGTACCCAGAGAAATATTTGGCTCTTGTTTATTTTTTAACTCTTCAAGCTCCACTTATACCTGTCCATGCATAGCTCAGCTGACCCTATGAACAATGCTTGCCCAGAAGATTTGAGGCCTGAATTTCCCCTGCTCCTGAGGCAGCGTGCCCTTGTAGAAATCCAGGAATGGCAGGCATCATATCCATGTTTCTCTGCAGAGTACCCCTAGGACCTGGAACAGTGCCTGGCACATAGCAGGTCCTCAGTGCCAGGTGAATGGCTGGAGATGAGCAATTGAAGTAACAGCCAATCCGGGCTCTGATCCCGACTGCCTCTTACCAGCTGGGGAGTTTCTCAGCATCTCTGAGCTTCAGTTTCTTCACCTGGAAGTGGGTCTCATAATTATATTCCTAAAAGCTGGGTGTGGAGAGAGCCGATGACAAAGCCTGGCACATAAGGGGGCTGGAGAAAGACCGTCCTGGACCTGGGCCTGGCCTTCTGTGCACAGCTCACAACCTCAGGTCCCTTGTTGGTGCCAAGCAGGGATCTCTGGCTCCTGGGGCTCAGCGGGTTCCGTGGTGAGAACAGTAGCTAACATCTACTGAGCACTCACCATGTGCCAAGGTGCTTGGATTTACTCATTGCATTCTCACAACCAGCCCAATGAGACGGGCACAGCCTATATCCCCATTTTACAAATGATGAAACTGAGGCACAAAGAGATGAAGTTCGATGGCCATTGAGTGGCAGAGCTGGATTTCAACTCTAGTTTCCGGCTCCAAGCTCTGCTCAGCCTCTTGATAACTGTGCCCTGGGGCCTCATCTGGGGTCTTCTTCCCTAAGGGGCTGAGTAAAGGTGCAGAGTAAAAGCCTCTGGCCCACAGGGCTTACTGGAGCTGACTGTGCCACCATCCCACCAGCCCAGAGCACAGGCAGGGGGACAAAGGTGGGCCTCGTGGGGGGATCTGGAAAAGATGTTTTTCATGACCTGATGGCATCCTGTGCCTGGAATATTTTTGTTCATTCATTAAATGCTTTCTGTGCACCCAACTCTGTTACATGACGCCACAGGTATGCTCTTGCTTATGCTCATAGCAGTCACGTGAAGGAACCATCTCTTGCTCCCATTTTATAGTTAAGAAATCTGAGGCTCCAAGAGCCAAAGGATTCCATGCTTGCTGGATCTTTCCATCCTTTGTACTCAGATCATTCTGCCTCAGTTCGACACAGGGCACTTGGAAGGGAGGAGGTGTGGGGAGGGGGTGTGCAGGAGGAGGGAGAGAGAATAGGATGAAAGTCAGACAATGCGGGTAAGAGAAGCAGGAGGCAGCAGGGGCAGGCATGACATTAGCCAGGTGTCGGCTATTCAGGCATCGGCCCCGTGAAACTCCAAGCAGATTAGTTAGCCTCCCTGAACCTCAAGTCCTCCACGTGCAAAGCAGAGATTATACTAACAACTCTTCATTATCAAACGAGGAAACGGAGCAGAGATCCAGGCAGCAAATGGGAACTCAGTAATTTTCAGGCTGGTTTTGGGTGGGGTGAGGGGGACAATGAGAAGACAGGGGAAGCGTTTACCATGGTCCAGGTGACCACAAAAGTATAGGCAAAGGCTGGGCAGCTTCAGGGGTGGTAGTAGAGAGTGGAGGTGGTGCCTTGAGGTTGTAGAGCATCTGGGGGTTGCAGGGGTGAAGAGGATGGATGTTGGCATGTGACCTGAAATTGTAAAAGGAATTGACATTTGGATTGTGAGGGATTGTGAAGCAAGAGGGTGGGATTTGATGGCAGTTGTAGGAGAGTCTATGAATGCATTGGGGAGACAGTGGGAACCTGTCAGGATGGCTACAAGGGTGTGGGTGACAGCAAAATGTGAGGGGAGGTGACAGGACAGAAATGTGGCAATGAGAGGAGTCGGTGAGGTGATGCTGGGAAATGCAAGGTAAAGAGGGCCGGCAGAGAAGACCATGAAGATGGCGGACGGACTGAGCAAGCTGGTGTCTCTATGGGGATTGCCCTGTGTCCTGCAGAGGCTCCCGACCTCCTAACCATCTCCACCTGGCAGTGGGAGAGGGCGCGGAAGGGGGGTTTTCTCTCTGAGAATCACAGCCCTGTGTGTGGCCAAAGCATCTTTACGAACATTCAAGCCCAGCCCCTGTGTATTAAACATGTCTCCAGTGAGGTCCAGAATAGGGAAGGGACTTGCCCAAAGCCACACAGTTGGTGGGTGCTGGAAGCAGGATCCACCCAGGTCTGACTTGCAGGCCCACACACATCCCCACCGGCTGCTGCCGCCTCTGTGTTGTCTGTGCTTAGCTTCGAAGCTGAGGTTCACGACGATCCCCAGGGACAACTCTGCTGTCATCCTAAGCCCTCCATGACAGTTATCAATAGCCACCAGCAACCCCTCCTCCCAACTTGTTTTTCTATTGATGCCATGCTGAGGTCACCGACTAATAGGAAAAAACTTTGCTGTTTTCCCTTAAAAATATTCACCAAATGATTTTTTTTTTTTTTTGAGATGGGGTCTTGCTGTCACCCAGGCTGGAGTGCAATGATGCGATCATAGTTTACTGCAGCCTCAACTTCCCAAGCTCAAGCAATCCTCCCACCTCAGCCTTCCAAGTAGCTGAGACTACAGGCATGTGCCCCCACACCCAGCTAATTTTTTTAATTTTTTGGAGAGATGGGGTTCCACTACGTTGGCCAGGCTGGTCTCAAACTTCTGGGCTCAGACAATCCTCCCACCTCAGCCTCCCAAATAGCTGGGACTACAGGGATGAGCCGCTGTGCTCAGCCCACAGAATTTTTTTATTAGTATCATTATCACTATCTCTCACAGTTTGGGGACTGATTGGGTTCAGCTGGGCGGTTCTCCGCTCTCTCCTGCAGTTGTGCTCAGACAGGAGCTGGGGCTTGGAATCATTTAAAGGTTCACTCATGCATTTCTGATAACTGAGGCTGGTTGTCATCCAAAACGCCTACACATGGCCTCTCCTGGTCACCTGGGCTTCCTCACAGCATGGTGGCTGGGCTCCTAGAGCAAGTGTGCCTAGAGAGGGAGAGCCAGGCAAGGCTATATTGCCTATCATGACCTCCCTTTGGAAGACACATCGCGTCATTGTGCCATACTCTGTTGGTCAAAGCAGTTGCAAAGGTCTGTTCAACTTCAAGGGTTGGGGACATAGACTTCACCTCCTGATGGGGTGTATCAAGGTCACCTTGTAAGAAGAGCATATGGGATGGGAGCTATTGTTGCAGCCTCCTTTGGAAAGTACAATCCACTAGAGTTGGGAAAGAAAAGATCACTAGTAGCAGCAAAGCTTTACCTAAGAGTTTCTTATGTGTCAGGCACGGGGCTGTGATCTCTTGCCAGCTCCTCACAACAACGCTTAGGGGTGGACACTTGATTGCCCCCATCTTACACATGAGAAACTCAGAGTTTGGAGAGTTTAAGTGGCCCACCCAAGTTCACACAGCCAGTGAATGGCAAAGCTGACTCCCGGCAGACTGCAGAATCCACTCTTCCCAGTCATGCTGCTGGGCTGACTTAACGTCAGAATTGAAGCCAGACCCGCACTGGGCATGGAAGGAGGGAGGAAACTGACATTCACAGAGCACCTGGACATTGGGCATTTTGCAAGTGTTAACTCATCAGTCTCCATGAGCTCCCCCTGTTACCCACCTAAGGATCAGAGGAGAGGAGTGACTTGTCTAGGGGCACCCAACCTGTGAGTTTTAAACCAGGTCTGTTTGAGGCCAAACCTTGCTTGTGCAACACCCAGGGCCATCTCTGAGAATAAAGGCCAGAAGCTTGGGGGCAGAAATGAGGACAGATGGTGCCAGAGAGGGGCTTGGGAGCAGGTGGTCTTGGGGCAGAGTAGACAGAAGCCTCAGGTAGTCACTGGTTCAACCCCATCTTGCCTAATCCCCAAGACAAACAATGAAGTAGTCCCAGCTGCCAACAGGGCAGCCTCTCGTGTCATGTCCTTCCTACATATGAGGAAACTGAGGCACCAGAGGGAACTTGCCCAAGATCACAGTTTGGAAAAGCTTTAGCTACTGAGGCGTGGGGGTCATTGCCTTGGTGGTAGACTAGACTAGGTGGGTGTAATGTCAGGAATGGGGTAAAAAGTGCAGTCAGAGAATATAATGAGGAGGTGCCAGGGGGCGGAGCCAGGGCAGACATCAGGAAAAAGGGTTGGAGGTCATTATGGGGGCCTTGAATGCCAAGCTAAGAAGCATGGCCTTTATCTTGTAGGCAGGGGAGTGGCAATGGGCAGAAGCAACAGTCCTGGAGTTACTTTTCAGGGTGAAAGTGGTTCCAAGGCCAGGCACAGGCACAATGCAGAATCCAGACACAGAGCAGTCACGTTAGCCACATCACACGCCACCCAGGACACAGAGGGAGCAGGCACCAGAGCAGGCCCCCAGCACCCTGTGCAGTGTGCTATTCCTCCCCGTCCCATGCCACCATGTGGTCCCCACCTCCAGGGTGAAGATGCCTCTCTGTAGCCAAGATACAGTGTCCTAGGAGGGACTGAATTCACTAATTCAGCCAGAATACGTGGCATCACTTTCCCACATCAGGAATGGATGTCTCCAGAAGCTTGGTGATATGGTTTGGCTGTGTCCCCACCCAAATCTCATCTGGAATTGTAACTCCCACAATTCCCAGGTGTCATAGGAGGAACCTGGTGGGAGGTGATTGAATTATGGGGGTGGGCTTTTCCTGCACTGTTCTCGTGATAGTGAATGAGTCTCATGAGATCTGATGGTTTTAAAAACAGGAGTTTCCCTACACAAGCTCTCTCTTTGCCTGCCACCATCCATGTAAGATGTGACTTTCTCCTCCTTGCCTTCCACCATGATTGTGAGGCCTCCCCAACCATGTGGAACTGTAAGTCCATTAAACCTCTTTTTCTTCCCAGTCTCAGGTATGTCTTTATCAGCAGCGTGAAAATGGACTAATACACTTGGCTTCCTTCTGCAAAGCTACCTCACTGTCTGACCTGACGTGGCATGTGGCCTGTCTCTGAACCCAGCTTTCAGGCCCCAGACTTAGAAATTACCTCCATCTTCACCTCCACCTGAGGACATCACATTAGGGGATAAAAGTTGAATCACATCTGTTATTCCAGGAATTCCTCACAACAACCATCAAGTAGGTGTTGTTGCATTCCCATTTAACAGAGAGACAAACTGAGGCAGAGAGAGACACATGGCTCACCCCAGCTGCCTTGGCCAACAGAGCCAGGGCAGCCTCTCTCCTGCAGGATGTGGAGGAAATCCTCTGAGGACTTGGGCAGTGGTGGTTGCCCTATTGTGGACCATAGGCAGGGATGACTTGTTCTCCCATGGGTACCTGATGACTGTCTTTCCTCCTTCTCCAGCCTCCTTCCCTTTTCCTCCCTCTTCTCCACCCCCTTGGCTACTCTATCAACTGCTTTCTCATTCTGTCTGCTTTCCTTCTCTTCTCACTACACCTGGAATCCCCCACTGGGGCTTTCAGCAGAACCCTCATCCCTCACTCCTGCTCCAAACTCCACTGGGGCTCCTCATTGCCTGATGGACAGAGTCCCAGCTCTTCAGCTCCTGGCCTGTCATGAGCGGCCATCCCGTACCCTTTTGGCTTTGGCTGTCCTCTGTTTCAGCTGCAGCTGCCTAGTCAGGCCACTCTCCTCCAGGCTCTATGCCTGAGCTCATGATGTGCCTTTGGCTAGACGGCTACCCCTCCCTTGTCCACCTGGAAAACTCTTCCCTGTCCTTCAAGAGCTACCTCGGATGTCCCCTCTGCTTCTATAAGGCCTCCTGCAGGGTATCACCTATGTCAGGGGTCCCCAGGAACACTTCCATGATTCTCTGGAGGACTCACAGGACTCAATGCAGAGTCATAGTAATGGCTGTGATTCATGACAGCAAAAAGATATGAAACAATCAGCCAAGGGAAAAGGCACATGGGACAAAGTCCAGAGAAAACCAGGTGCGATCTTCACAGAGTCCTCTCCCAGTGGAGTCACACAGTATGCACTTCATTCTCCCAGGGACAGGTGTTGACATGTGTGAGGTGTTGCCTACCAGGAAAGCTCATTAGAGAGTCAATACTCACGGCTTCTACTGGGACAGGTCATATAAGCACACTCTGCCTAACATGTACTGAAATTCCAGACTCCCAGAAGGAAAGTAGGGGCTCAGCACATGCCTACAAACAGTTTAGGCACAGTGAGCCACTATTATCAGCTACGGGAATGGCAGAATCCTCCCAAAACCCAAGTACCCAGACACCAGCCAAGGGCCAACCTTGCAAGTAGACCTTTCTGAGGATGCAGCCTCAGGCCAGCTGTGTTGACTCTCCTCCCTGCTATGCCTGATCCATGCCACACTGTTAGAAATGCACTGATCACACCATCTGGGCTCACATTATCACTACTGCAGCAGTAGCCCTAACAGGTTAGGCTTACTCCTGGGCCGGCCAGCTCACCAGACTGAGCTCACCTTTTTTAAGAATGTCCACTAGCACAGGTGCTTAATGAGTGCATTGAATAAATTAACTTAAAAATGTCCACAAAAAAAACTCAAAATAGAATTACTCTATGATATGGTTTGGCTATGTCCCCATCCAAATCTCATCTTGAATTATAGCTCCCACAATTCCCACGTGTTACGGGAGGGACCCAGAGGGAGGTAACTGAATCATGGGGGTGGGTCTTTCCTGTGCTGTTCTCATGATAGTGAATAAGTCTCAAGAGATCTGATGGTTATATAAAGAGGAGTTCCCCTGCACAAGTTCTCTCTGTTTGTCTGACACCCGCTGTGTAAGACGTGACTTGCTCCTCCTTGCCTTCTGCCATGATTATGAGGCCTACTCAGCCATGTGGAACTGTGAGTCCGTTAAACCTCTTTCCTTTATAAATTATCCAGTCTCAGGTATGTCTTTACTAGCAGCATGGGAACAGACTAATACACTCTATGATCCAGCAATCCTACTTCTGGGTATGTACCCAAAGAATGGAAAGCAGGGTCTCCAAGAGATACCTGTATACCCGTGTTCACAGCAGCATTATTCCAAATAGCCAAAAGGTAGAAGCAATGCAAGTGTCCATTAACAGATGAATGGATAAACAAAATGTGGTCTAGACATACAATGCAGTATTACTCAGCCTTTAAAAGGAGGGAAATTCTAATGCATGCTACAAAATGGATGAACCTTGAGGACATTATGCTAAGTTAAATAAGCCAGTCACACACACACAAGATATTGTATAATTCCATATGAGGCACCTCAAGTAGTCAAACTCCTAGAGATGGAAATTAGAATGGTGGTTGCCCGGGCTCAGGGGAGAGAGGAAAGGGAATCATTATTTAATGGGTACAAGAGTTTCAGAACTGCAAGATTAAAACGGTTCTGGAGACTGGTTGTACAATGCAAATGTACTTAACTCTACTGAACTATACATTTTTAAAAGGTTAAGATGCTACATTTTATGTTATGTTTATTTTACCACAATTTTCTTTTCAAATGAAGCACGACTCTCCCTGGAGGCAGGTGTCTGTTCTGTTTGACCTAGAGTTCCAACAATCATGTGAAAATGCACTAAACTACAGTCCAAGAGCCGAACATGCCTTTTATTCACAATCAGCAGAGAAGAGGGTTCATTAGATATCTAATGATTGATTTTTAAATTCTTCTTGAAAGACCTGATGTGTATATTCAGAATCAGTTTGCCCTGCTATCCACTAAAAATGACTTATGACAGGAATTCATCCATAATTGCTATCAATGGAGTCGGCTTGTAAGAATATGCCAAGCATTTAATTGACTTTTAAAAGAATAGCTACAGCAAGCTAATTAAATATTACGTTAGGATATGTGTTAATTGATATTTAATGAGGATGTCAATTGATGTCTAACTAGCCAATATGTCTCTTAAAATATGTCAATTAGGTACCCAAAGATCCTTTTCAAAGGGAATAGGAGTTAAACACATTTTGGATGTAATTTGTTAATTTTTCATAATAACAAATCACAACCCTCCCTGCTGACTTTCTCTGGATCGTAGAGCCATTTGTGAGCCACCTTGCCTGGTCTGGAAACAGGAAACACTGCCTGTTCCACATGAACACTCCCCGCAAATTTGCACATGTGGTAGCATAGAGAGAGAACTGCGCGTGCCCGAGGACTTTCCAGACCTCCCCTTTCCTTCCACCAATCATCCGCTAATCCCAGAATCTACCCCCTCAACCTTTTTTAATGAAATGACTGAAAGCCAGCACAGGGAGACAGATTTGAGCCGGACTCCTGTCTCCTTGTTAGTCGACTTAAAAAGCTTTTTGTTTCTCAAAAACCCAGTGTCATAGTATTGGCTTCTAGTGCATTGGGCAGCAAGCTCCTTTGGCTTGGTAACAAACACAATAGCCTAAGTGCCTCCATGAAAGTGATCTGGAATTCACTCCTGTAGCCAGGTCTGCTCCACCACCTATCACTCCCCAGGATGGAGGGAGAGTGCAGGGGGAGAGCAGGAAGTTTGAGGCAATGGCCTCAGTGAGCATGACCCTAATAACTCTAGGGCTACAGCATTTTAAGGTCCCACTGACACCACTGCAGGATAATCAAGTAAGACAGCTTCTAGAACAGCCTTTGTGCAGACCATGGATCACTGTAAGATGCTACCTGTCCTCACAAATAATTAGACAGCTCATGGTGTCATGAGAAAGGGCTAATCAGGTTTTCATGAGATCTCAGAGGAATGGGACAGAGTCAGAACAGCCATGTGGTCACGAGCATGGGTTTCAGAATCAGACAGGGCAAAGTTCAAGTTCTAGATCTTGCTAGCTAAATGCCCTTGAGCACCTTTCTCAACCTCTCAGAGGAAGCCGGAAAATAGACATTAAGTCAGTTTGTCCCACCCTCTCTGCTGGCAGAGGTCAGAGATAAAACAGAAGGGTGGCTTCAGCTTGCCCAATATCAAGTGAAGATCCCAATCAGCAAAGAGCTCAGCACTTAGGATCAATCAGCAAAGAGCCTGGCTCCTCTCGCTTCCAAGTAGAAGGGAAAACCATCAGCAGCTCCAGCCGCTGTTCTAGGAAATGGTTATTCAGTTACCAATAACAACAGTTGCTATGGAGACAGGCGGTCCAGCCCGCCAGCCTGGAATTGCTCTTAGGCCAGGGCCAGATTAGCCACCTCCACACCCTTTCCAAACCAAGTGGCAGCCTGAGCCCCAGTTCTCCTTCAATTACCTGATCAAGGTGTTTTTCCACTTGATTTTTCCTTCTTCTTCCTATAAGAAGGTCCCTCTATTTGAAAGTTAGTTGAGATACAGGGCAAAGGCATTGAAAGTCTTGTGGACTGTGCAATCCCTAAGTCTTTGTAAAGTCTGAGGACAGCTTATGTTGGGGTGGGGTGGTAAACGAAACAGCTGTGTTTTTGCTCAGGGCTGTAGCAGCACCAGTGAATCCAGAACCTCTTGAGAGGTCTGTGTTGGGGGTCAGGCTCCATGCAGAGGCCAGGGGCAGACTGGGATGTTTTCGGATGCACGGCTGGAGATAGCGCACCAGGAAGGATGGTGAGGGCCACACTTAGAGAGCACTCGGTTTCCCCAAGCCCTTCAATACTGCTCCTCTAGAATAGGTGGCTAAATTAGAAAATACATCAGAATGTTAGTGGTGAAAGGAACCAGAGATAAGTGCTCTTCACAGCGAAGAAACTGAAACCCTTCAAGGGGATGGGACTTAACCACAGTGACCCCAATCTCATACCCAGGAATCTCAACTCCCAGTGTGAGTTTTTCCCACCACAGCGTGAATCCAGGTTGTTCCTGCAATGTTATGCAATGTGAGTGGAGCTTTCTAACAATAAGAGCACCATCTATGGTCTGGCTGTCTGCTGAGGTAGGTAGTGAGTTCCCCGTCACTGGAGGTATACAAGCAGAGGTCAGATGACCTTTGGGCAGAGTGTTTTAGAGAGGGTTTCAGTCTTGGGAGGCAGTCAGGACTGGATGACCTCAGATCCTGCATTGTGTGGACTCCATTAATTCGACAGTGAATAGAGGTGTCTCCACTCATGATCCAGATCCAGTCCAAACAAATGATCCAGAATTGCTTCAAACAGCAGCATCCAGTTCAGCTATCTGTCCAGGAGCCTGCGCGAGGCCTGGCTAGAGGGCTACTCAAAAACCTACCAAAAGAGCACCCACATGTGAGAGATGGAGGCAGGGAGGAAAACAAGAGCTTTTCCTAAAGTCCCAGTGGGAAAAAGACACAGACAGAAGGCCAACCCAATAGTGCTCATGGTCTTATGTCAAGTGTAGAAAACAGTATAATATTGACCGGGCATGGTGGCTCATACCTGTAAGCTCAGCACTTTGGGAGGCCAAGGCAGGTGGATCACTTGAGGTCAGGAGTTCGACACCAGCCTGGCCAACATAGTGAAACCCCATCTCTACTAAAAATACAAAAATTAGCTAGGCATGGTGGCAGGCACCTATAATCCCAGCTATTCAGGAGGCTGTAGCAGGAGAATCACTTGAACCAAGGAGGTGGAGGTTGCAGTGAGCCAAGATTGTGCCACTGTACTCCAGCCTGGGCATGAGAACAAGACTCTGTCTCAAAGAAAAACAACAACAAGAACAAAAAGAAAACGGTATAATAAATATCTGACCTGGGCTCCAGCCTGTGTGCCCTCAGCTTCTCCAGTGTGAACCTGAGAAAATCTCCCAATGTTCCCAAAGCCTGGTTTCCTCGTGTGAACAACCAGATACTCATAGCTGCTAATAAAGTGGATTTCTTATGACAGTTAGGAAAAGGATACAGGACCGCGCCTAATGCAATGCTGATAGTAACTGATGGTTATAGGTTTGCTCCAAACTAATGAAGAGGGGAGGCAAGAGGGAGAAGAGATGAAACGAGATTGACCCTGAGTTGATAATTAAAGCTGAAGTCCACAAAATCAAAACTATTTTCCTGGCCGGGTGTGGTGGCTCACACCTGTAATCCCAGAACTTTGGGAGGCCGAGGCAGGTGGATCACTTGAGGTCAAGAGTTTGAGACAAACCTGGCCAACATGGTGAAACCCCGTCTCTACAAAAAATACAAAAATTAGCCAGGCACGATGCCTGTAGTCCCAGCTACTTAGGAGGCTGAGGCATGAGAATCACTTGAACCCGGGAGGTGGAGGTTACAGTGAGCTGAGATTGCGCCACTGCACTCCAGCCTGGGTGACAGAGTGAGACTCCATCTCAAAAAAATTTTTTAAAAAAACCTATTTTCCTAATAATACTAGCATGTCATTTGCGTTTCTCCCTTTCCTTCTCCCATGAGGGTACTGTGGAGTTTTCTAGAGGCCACACAGCATGTGATGTCACAAAGATTAAATGAAAAAGCAGATATGAGAATCCAGCTGCCCATTAAGCCAGGCATTCAAGATTTACAAAATGTAATACAATGTCTTTTTCTCACTAATTTTTTTGTTTGGGAAATATTGGGGTTTTTAAATTAAGAATGTATTTAACATTTATTGGGATTGCTATTAAGAAAAACAGAAAACGTGTGTTGGAGTGCATGTGAAGAAATTGGTACACATGCACACTGTTGGTGAGAATGTAAAATGCTCCAGTCACGATGGAAAACAGTGGGACGATTCCTCAAAAACAGAAACATCAGAATTACCGTGTGATTCAGCAATTCCGCTTCTGGGTAAACACACAAAAGAACTGAAAGCGGGGTCTCAAACGTATCTTTGTACACCAATGTTTGCATTCACAACAGCCGAAAGGTGGAAACAGCCACAGCCTCTTGTCAATGGAGGATCACTCGGTGGTGTACACATACAAGGAATATTCAGTTTCAAAAAGGAAGGCAATTCAGACATGGGCTACAGTATGTGGATGAATCTTGAGGACATTATGATAAGTGAAATAAGTCATTCACAAAAGAACAAACATGACATCATTCCACTTATATGAAATACCCAGAGTAGTGAAAATCATAGAGACAGAAAGTAGAACAGTATTCATAAGAGGCTGGGGGAAGGCGGATGGAGAGTTGCTAATGGGTACAGAGTTTCAGTGTGAGATGATGAAAAGTTTCCGGAAATGGATAACAGTGATGGTTGCACAATGGGAGTGTACTCAATGCCATTGAACTGTACATTTAAAAATGGTTAAAATGGGGTGAGGCACAGTGGTGCATACCTGTAATCCCAGCACTTTGGGAGGCCAAGGTGGATGGGTTGTTGCCCACTCCAGCTTGGGCAACAGAGCAAGGCTGTGTCTCAAAAAAAAAAAAAAAAAAAAAGAAGAAGGTTAAAATGGTAAACTTTCTGTTATATATATTTTACTACAATAAAAATGAAATAAAAGCAAATCTAATGGAGAACGTATAATTGTCATCTGAAAGCTTATAGTAGACATAAAGTGTCAAAAACAAAAAAGTTACTGGTGTTAACATGTAATAGGATTATTGTTTTTTTAAATGAGTTAATAAATATGTTTAAGTGTCTGAGTTTTAACGTCTAATACGGTTAATATCAATAGATGCACCTCAAATAAACAAAAGCCCCTTGAGGTCCTCAATAATTTTTTGAAATTATAAAACATTCCTAAGACCAAAAAGTTTGAGAATGGCTACATGATATCGATCTCTCTCTACTTCTGTAAATGTTTTTAATTTTCCATATGAGAAAAGCTTTTAAGTTTTTAAAATAATACTAATTGACTATTCTCTTTCCTTCTACCTGTCTGGGCAAATTGATTCACCTTGATGGAATTCAGCAGCCTCATCTGTCAAAGGAGCAGAAAATTCCAAAGCATGATCCTATGAATCAAACCTGACACCCACAGACACAGGAGCTCCCTCCTCCCCAACCGCCAAACCCTCAAGCTTCCACAGAGATCTGAGCCTCTCTGGGTTGAGGAAGAGAGGGACTGTTCTCCCGTATTAATCAGATCCCATTAATTTTTCAA
Organism: Homo sapiens; assembly: GCF_000001405.40. Taxonomy (NCBI): domain Eukaryota; kingdom Metazoa; phylum Chordata; class Mammalia; order Primates; family Hominidae; genus Homo; species Homo sapiens. The sequence continues at coordinate 43,821,006 of NC_000020.11, read as the reverse complement.
AGTAGACAACAGCCCACTTACTCATCTGCTGTGGAGCCTCATCCATAATTGATCCTGAACTGCACTTACCCTAACAGACCGCGCAGATGCCGGCTGCACGTAGAGCTCTGGGAGGGTTGTCTACTGATGAGCCTACTCCAAGTAGTGAAGGCACTCACAGCCATGGCACGTGGTAACTTCAATGGGCCTGACACTTTTCCTTCCATCAAAAACAACAAGGAAGAGGAAAGGAATGACTCCCCAGATGCTCTGAGTGGTTGTTCTGAGGTCATTTCTATGTACAAGTCAGCTTGAGGGGAATTAAAAACAATTGGCATAAGCCAAACTCATACCTGTGTCTTGATCCTTTTGGGCTCCTAGAGCAAAATACCATAAATTGGGTGGCTTATAATTGAAATTTATTTCTCATCGTTCTGAAGGCTGGAAGTCCAAGATGAAGGCACCAGCAGATTTGGTGTCTGGTGAGGGCCCACTTTCTTTTTTTTTTTTTTTTTTCATCTTCACATTTATTTGCATTTTTTTTTTTTTATACTTTAAGTTTTAGGGTACATGTGCACATTGTGCAGGTTAGTTACATATGTATACATGTGCCATGCTGGTGCGCTGCACCCACTAACTCGTCATCTAGCCTTAGGTATATCTCCCAATGCTATCCCTCCCCCCTCCCCCCACCCCACCACAGTCCCCAGAGTGTGGTATTCCCCTTCATGTGTCCAGGTGATCTCATTGTTCAATTCCCACCTATGAGTGAGAATATACGGTGTTTGGTTTTTTGTTCTTGCGATAGTTTACTGAGAATGATGATTTCCAATTTCATCCATATCCCTACAAAGGATATGAACTCATCATTTTTTATGGCTGCATAGTATTCCATGGTGTATATGTGCCACATTTTCTTAATCCAGTCTATCATTGTTGGACATTTGGGTTGGTTCCAAGTCTTTGCTATTGTGAATAATGCCACAATAAACATACGTGTGCATGTGTCTTTATAGCAGCATGATTTATAGTCCTTTGGGTATATACCCAGTAATGGGATGGCTGGGTCAAATGGTATTTCTAGTTCTAGATCCCTGAGGAATCGCCACACTGACTTCCACAATGGTTGAACTAGTTTACAGTCCCACCAACAGTGTAAAAGTGTTCCTATTTCTCCACAACCTCTCCAGGACCTGTTGTTTCCTGACTTTTTAATGATGGCCATTCTAACTGGTGTGAGATGATATCTCATAGTGGTTTTGATTTGTATTTCTCTGATGACCAGTGATGATGAGCATTTTTTCATGTGTTTTTTGGCTGCATAAATGTCTTCTTTTGAGAAGTGTCTGTTCATGTCCTTCGCCCACTTTTTGATGGGGTTGTTTTTTTTTTTTTCTTGTAAATTTGTTTGAGTTCATTGTAGATTCTGGATATTAGCCCTTTGTCAGATGAGTAGGTTGTGAAAATTTTCTCCCATGTTGTAGGTTGCCTGTTCACTCTGATGGTAGTTTCTTTTGCTGTGCAGAAGCTCTTTAGTTTAATTAGATCCCATTTGTCAATTTTGGCTTTTGTTGCCATTGCTTTTGGTGTTTTGGACATGAAGTCCTTGCCCACGCCTATGTCCTGAATGGTAATGCCTAGGTTTTCTTCTAGGGTTTTTATGGTTTTAGGTCTAACGTTTACATCTTTAATCCATCTTGAATTGTTTTTTGTATAAGGTGTAAGGAAGGGATCCAGTTTCAGCTTTCTACATATGGCTAGCCAGTTTTCCCAGCACCATTTATTAAATAGGGAATCCTTTCCCCATTGCTTGTTTTTCTCAGGTTTGTCAAAGATCAGATAGTTGTAGGTATGCGGCGTTATTTCTGGGGGCTCTGTTCTGTTCCATTGATCTATATCTCTGTTGTGGTACCAGTACCATGCTGTTTTGGTTACTGTAGCCTTGTAGTATAGTTTGAAGTCAGGTAGTGTGATGCCTCCAGCTTTGTTCTTTTGGCTCAGGATTGACTTGGCGATGTGGGCTCTTTTTTGGTTCCATATGAACTTTAAAGTAGTTTTTTCCAATTCTGTGAAGAAAGTCATTGGTAGCTTGATGGGGATGGCATTGAATCTGTAAATTACCTTGGGCAGTATGGCCATTTTCACGATATTGATTCTTCCTACCCATGAGCATGGAATGTTCTTCCATTTGTTTGTATCCTCTTTTATTTCATTGAGCAGTGGTTTGTAGTTCTCCTTGAAGAGGTCCTTCACATCCCTTGTAAGTTGGATTCCTAGGTATTTTATTCTCTTTGAAGCAATTGTGAATGGGAGTTCACTCATGATTTGGCTCTCTGTTTATCTGTTGTTGGTGTATAAGAATGCTTGTGATTTTTGTACATTGATTTTGTATCCTGAGACTTTGCTGAAGTTGCTTATCAGCTTAAGGAGATTTTGGGCTGAGACGATGGGGTTTTCTAGATAAACAATCATGTCGTCTGCAAACAGGGACAATTTGACTTCCTCTTTTCCTAATTGAATACCCTTTATTTCCTTCTCCTGCCCGATTGCCCTGGCCAGAACTTCCAACACTATGTTGAATAGGAGCGGTGAGAGAGGGCATCCTTGTCTTGTGCCAGTTTTCAAAGGGAATGCTTCCAGTTTTTGCCCATTCAGTGTGATATTGGCTGTGGGTTTGTCATAGATAGCTCTTATTATTTTGAAATACGTCCCATCAATACCTAATTTATTGAGAGTTTTTAGCATGAAGGGTTGTTGAATTTTGTCAAAGGCTTTTTCTGCATCTATTGAGATAATCATGTGGTTTTTGTCTTTGGCTCTGTTTATATGCTGGATTACATTTATTGATTTGTGTATATTGAACCAGCCTTGCATCCCAGGGATGAAGCCCACTTGATCATGGTGGATAAGCTTTTTGATGTGCTGCTGGATTCGGTTTGCCAGTATTTTATTGAGGATTTTTGCATCAATGTTCATCAAGGATATTGGTCTAAAATTCTCTTTTTTGGTTGTGTCTCTGCCTGGCTTTGGTATCAGAATGATGCTGGCCTCATAAAATGAGTTAGGGAGGATTCCCTCTTTTTCTATTGATTGGAATAGTTTCAGAAGGAATGGTACCAGTTCCTCCTTGTACCTCTGGTAGAATTCGGCTGTGAATCCATCTGGTCCTGGACTCTTTTTGGTTGGTAAACTATTGATTATTGCCACAATTTCAGCTCCTGTTATTGGTCTATTCAGAGATTCAACTTCTTCCTGGTTTAGTGTTGGGAGAGTGTATGTGTCGAGGAATGTATCCATTTCTTCTAGATTTTCTAGTTTATTTGCGTAGAGGTGTTTGTAGTATTCTCTGATGGTAGTTTGTATTTCTGTGGGATCAGTGGTGATATCCCCTTTATCATTTTTTATTGTGTCTATTTGATTCTTCTCTCTTTTTTTCTTTATTAGTCTTGCTAGTGGTCTATCAATTTTGTTGATCCTTTCAAAAAACCAGCTCCTGGATTCATTGATTTTTTGAAGGGTTTTTTGTATCTCTATTTCCTTCAGTTCTGCTCTGATTTTAGTTATTTCTTGCCTTCTGCTAGCTTTTGAATGTGTTTGCTCTTGCTTTTCTAGTTCTTTTAATTGTGATGTTAGGGTGTCAATTTTGGATCTTTCCTGCTTTCTTCTGTGGGCATTCAGTGCTATAAATTTCCCTCTACACACTGCTTTGAATGCGTCCCAGAGATTCTGGTATGTTGTGTCTTTGTTCTCGTTGGTTTCAAAGAACATCTTTATTTCTGCCTTCATTTCGTTATGTACCCAGTAGTCATTCAGGAGCAGGTTGTTCAGTTTCCATGTAGTTGAGCGGCTTTGAGTGAGATTCTTAATCCTGAGTTCTAGTTTGATTGCACTGTGGTCTGAGAGATAGTTTGTTATAATTTCTGTTCTCTTACATTTGCTGAGGAGAGCTTTACTTCCAACTATGTGGTCAATTTTGGAATAGGTGTGGTGTGGTGCTGAAAAAAATGTATATTCTGTTGATTTGGGGTGGAGAGTTCTGTAGATGTCTATTAGGTCCGCTTGGTGCAGAGCTGAGTTCAATTCCTGGGTATCCTTGTTGACTTTCTGTCTCATTGATCTGTCTAATGTTGACAGTGGGGTGTTAAAGTCTCCCATTATTAATGTTTGGGAGTCTAAGTCTCTTTGTAGGTCACTCAGGACTTGCTTTATGAATCTGGGTGCTCCTGTATTGGGTGCATATATATTTAGGATAGTTAGCTCCTCTTGTTGAATTGATCCCTTTACCATTATGTAATGGCCTTCTTTGTCTCTTTTGATCTTTGTTGGTTTAAAGTCTGTTTTATCAGAGACTAGGATTGCAACCCCTGCCTTTTTTAGTTTTCCATTTGCTTGGTAGATCTTCCTCCATCCTTTTATTTTGAGCCTATGTGTGTCTCTGCATGTGAGATGGGTTTCCTGAATACAGCACACTGATGGGTCTTGACTCTTTATCCAACTTGCCAGTCTGTGTCTTTTAATTGGAGCATTTAGTCCATTTACATTTAAAGTTAATATTGTTATGTGTGAATTTGATCCTGTCATTATGATGTTAGCTGGTGATTTTGCTCGTTAATTGATGCAGTTTCTTCCTAGTCTCGATGGTCTTTACATTTTGGCATGATTTTGCAGCGGCTGGTACCGGTTGTTCCTTTCCATGTTTAGTGCTTCCTTCAGGAGCTCTTTTAGGGCAGGCTTGGTGGTGACAAAATCTCTCAGCATTTGCTTGTCTGTAAAGTATTTTATTTATCCTTAACTTATGAAGCTTAGTTTGGCTGGATATGAAATTCTGGGTTGAAAATTCTTTTCTTTAAGAATGTTGAATATTGGCCCCCACTCTCTTCTGGCTTGTAGGGTTTCTGCCTAGAGATCCGCTGTTAGTCTGATGGGCTTCCCTTTGAGGGTAACCCGACCTTTCTCTCTGGCTGCCCTTAACATTTTTTCCTTCATTTCAACTTTGGTGAATCTGACAATTATGTGTCTTGGAGTTGCTCTTCTCGAGGAGTATCTTTGTGGCGTTCTCTGTATTTCCTGAATCTGAACGTTGGCCTGCCTTGCTAGATTGGGGAAGTTCTCCTGGATAATATCCTGCAGAGTGTTTTCCAACTTGGTTCCATTCTCCGCATCACTTTCAGGTACACCAATCAGACGTAGATTTGGTCTTTTCACATAGTCCCATATTTCTTGGAGGCTTTGCTCATTTCTTTTTATTCTTTTTTCTCTAAACTTCCCTTCTCGCTTCATTTCATTCATTTCATCTTCCATTGCTGATACCCTTTCTTCCAGTTGATCGCATCGGCTCCTGAGGCTTCTGCATTCTTCACGTAGTTCTCGAGCCTTGGTTTTCAGCTCCATCAGCTCCTTTAAGCACTTCTCAGTATTGGTTATTCTAGTTATATATTCTTCTAAATTTTTTTCAAAGTTTTCAACTTCTTTGCCTTTGGTTTGAATGTCCTCCCGTAGCTCAGAGTAATTTGATCGTCTGAAGCCTTCTTCTCTCAGCTCGTCAAAATCATTCTCCATCCAGCTTTGTTCCGTTGCTGGTGAGGAACTGCGTTCCTTTGGAGGAGGAGAGGCGCTCTGCGTTTTAGAGTTTCCAGTTTTTCTGTTCTGTTTTTTCCCCATCTTTGTGGTTTTATCTACTTTTGGTCTTTGATGATGGTGATGTACAGATGGGTTTTCGGTGTGGATGTCCTTTCTGTTTGTTAGTTTTCCTTCTAACAGACAGGACCCTCAGCTGCAGGTCTGTTGGAATACCCTGCAGTGTGAGGTGTCAGTGTGCCCCTGCTGGGGGGTGCCTCCGAGTTAGGCTGCTCGGGGGTCAGGGGTCAGGGACCCACTTGAGGAGGCAGTCTGCCCGTTCTCAGATCTCCAGCTGCGTGCTGGGAGAACCACTGCTCTCTTCAAAGCTGTCAGACAGGGACATTTAAGTCTGCAGAGGTTACTGCTGTCTTTTTGTTTGTCTGTGCCCTGCCCCCAGAGGTGGAGCCTACAGAGGCAGGCAGGCCCCCTTGAGCTGTGGTGGGCTCCACCCAGTTCGAGCTTCCCGGCTGCTTCGTTTACCTAAGCAAGCCTGGGCAATGGCGGGCGCCCCTCCCCCAGCCTCGTTGTCGCCTTGCAGTTTGATCTCAGACTGCTGTGCTAGCAATCAGCGAGACTCCGTGGGCGTAGTACCCTCCGAGCCAGGTGTGGGATATAGTCCCGTGGTGCGCCATTTTTTAAGCCGGTCTGAAAAGCGCAATATTCGGGTGGGAGTGACCCGATTTTCCAGGTGCGTCCGTCACCCCTTTCTTTGACTCGGAAAGGGAACTCCCTGACCCCTTGCGCTTCCCAGGTGAGGCAATGCCTCGCCCTGCTTCGGCTCGCGCACGGTGCGTGCACCCACTGGCCTGCGCCCACTGTCTGGCACTCCCTAGTGAGATAAACCCGGTACCTCAGATGGAAATGCAGAAAACACCCGTCTTCTGCGTCGCTCACGCTGGGAGCTGTAGACCGGAGCTGTTCCTATTCGGCCATCTTGGCTCCTCCCCGAGGGCCCACTTTCTACTTTATAGATGACACCTTCTTGCTGTGTCTTCACGCGGTGGAAGGGGTGAGAGGTTTCTCTCAGGGCTTTTTTGTAAGAGCACTAATTCCATTGATGAGGACTCTGCCTCCATGAACAAATCACCTTCCAAAGGCCCTACTTTTTAATACCTTGGGGCTGAGGATTTTAACATACAAATTTGCGGGGAACATAAACATTGAGACCATAGCAGGCTGCCAGGTCAACCACCCAGGTCCATGAAGACCTCAGCAAGTTCAGCGCCAACACCCCTATAATCACTTTGAACCTCATGCCCTCTACCTGAGGCCACATACTTCTCACTCCATCCCCCACTCCAAAATAAACGGCAGCTGGATTGAATATTTTAATGTTTAGAAAAAGAATTGGACCAGGCATGGTGGCTCACACCTGTCATCCCAGCACTTTGGGAGGCTGAGGCAGGAAGATCGCTTGAGACCAGGAGTTCAAGACCAACCTGGACAACATAGCCAGACGTCATCTCTACTAAAAATAAATAAATAAATACAAACTGGCCAGACATGGTGGCTCACGCCCGTAATCCCAGCATTTTGGGAGGCCGAGGCGGGCAGATCATGAGGTCAGGAGATCGAGACCATCCTGGCTAACAGGGTGAAACCCCATCTCTACTAAAAATACAAAAAAATTAGCCGAGCATGGTGGCAGGCACCTGTAGTCCCAGCTACTCGGGAGTCTGAGGCAGGAGAATGGTGTGAACCCAGGAGGCGGGGCTTGCAGTGAGCCGAGATTGCGCCACTGCACTCTAGCCTGGGCAACAGAGCGAGACTCCGTCTCAAAAAAAAATAAAAAAATAAAAAAATTATTAGTGGAGCACGTTGACACTCACCTGTAGTCCCAGCTACTTTGGGAGGCTGAGGCAGGAGGATTGCTTAAGCCAGGGAGATTGAGGCCGCAGACAGCCATGATTGTACCACTGCACTCCTGTGCAATAGAGCAAGACCCTGTTATAAAAATAAATACATCAATAAATAAATTAGTTAAAACCCTTAAAGACAACCTAAAATGAACATTTATCTGATGAATAAAGACTTTGTAGTGAAAAAGAGAAAAGCAGCCCCTGGCATTGGGAAGCTTACCTGGCACCCATGGTTGGGCCCTGGTGTTTTCTTGTTGGACATAAACAATCTTGCAGAACACCAACATCAGACAGGGCCATTATGTAACTGCACTGGAGCAAGACAAAAGCTAGACCACTCTGTACTCATATCTGAAGCGTGTTACACCTGTAATCCCAGCACTTTGGGAGGCCGAGGTGGGTGGATCACCTGAGGTCAGGAGTTTGAGACCAGCCTGGCCAACATGGTGAAACCCCGTCTCTACTAAAAATGCAAAAATTAGCCAGGTGTGGTGGCGCACACCTGTTATCCCAGCTACTTGGGAGGCTGAGGCAGGAGAATTGCTTGGACCCAGGGGGTGGAGGTTGCAGTGAGCCAAGATCACGCCATTGCACTCCAGCCTGGGCAACAAGAGCAAAACTCTGTCTCAAAAATAAATAAATAAATAAATAAATAAATAAATAAATAAATATAAATTATTATCTCACAGCTCAGGAGACTAGAAGTCTGAGATCAAGGTGACTTCAGGTCCACGTTTCATCTGAGAGTAGTAGGAAAGAATGTGTCCCAAGCTCCTCTCAAGATTCTTGTACTTTCTTGGCTTATAGAAGCATAACTCTAATCTTCACATGGTGTGCTCCCTATGTGTATGTTTCTATGTCCAAACTTCACCATTTTTATAAGGATACCAGTCATTGGGTTAGGGGCCCACTCTACTGACCCCATCTCAACTAATTACATCAGCAACAACTCCATTTCCAAATAAGGTCACATTCTGAAGTACTGGGGGAATAGGACTTCAACATATGAATTTGAGGAACATGATTATATCTATAACCCATTAACTAATGCAAATATAAGGACATTGTCCAAACCACAAAAATGAACAAACACCCTCTGTATTAGTTACCTAAGGCTGCTATACCAAATTACCTCAATCTTCATGGCTTGAAACAACAGAAATATGTTTTCTCACAGCTCTGAAAGTCAGAGTTTGAAATCAGTATCACTGGGTCAAAATTAATGTGTCTGCAGGTCTGCACTCCCTCCCCAGAGGCTCTTGGAAAGAATCCATTCCTCACCTCTTCCAGTTTATGGTGGCTGTCAGCATTCCTTGGCTTCTGACCACAACTTTCCAGTCTCCACCAATCAACGTTTTAAAATCTCCATTGTCTCTATCTTCATATTGCCTTCTCCTGAGAGAGAGAGAGAGAGAGAGTTTTCTTCTGTCTCTCTCTTATAAAGACACTTATGATCATATTTAGGACCCACCCTGATAATCTCCCCAATCTCAAGACCCTTAATTTAATCTGCAAAGACAACTTTTCCATCTAAGGCAGCATTCACAGGTTTCAGGGATTAGGACCTGATATCTTTGGCAGCCATTATTCAGCCTACTATACCCAATATGCTAGCTAATGAGGGTGGCTGCTGCTTCCTTACCAATTTCAGCTTTAATCGCACTTCATTCTTCCCACTTTCTAAACAAGATTTATTAAAATATCCAATCACAGAATTTCCTCCACTTCCAGAAAGCTTCCACTTCAGAGAAAAGCCTTGCTTCTTTGAAACCTCCTCAAAATCACTTGACACAAATCCTGTAATGGATCCTTCGTGATACCTCTCATGAGGTGCCTCACAGTTCCCCCGGGTGTGTGGTCTCTCTTGTTGCAAGGTCAATAAACTCAACTTTGTTCAAATATAGGATATGCATGGTGGTATTTGGCTGGAGAATATTAACAGTGGCATTAAAAACCACGGGATGGACTGGGCACTAGTGGCTCATGTCTGTAATCCCAACACTTTGGGAGGCTGAGGTGGGCAGATCAGGAGTTTGAGGTCAGGAGTTTGAGATCAGCCTGGCCAACATAGTGAGACCTTGTCTCTACTAAAAATGCAAAAATTAGCCAGGCATGGTGGTGTGTGCCTGTGATCCCAGCTACTCAGGAGACTGAGGCAGGAGAGTCACTTGAACCCAGAAGGCAGAGGTTGCAGTGAACAAAGATTACCTCACTGCACTCCAGCCTGGGAAACAGAGCAAGACTCTGTCTCCAAAAAAAAAAACAAAACAAAACAAAAAGATGTCACAAAGAAGACAATGCTTGTCTACAAAGAAGTGACATTATCAAAAAATGGCAAAGTGAGAACTTCCAAAAATTCTTTCTTCCATAAAAGCAATGAGAACACTGGCAGAATTTGTCAGAACCAACTATTTCAGAACTCTAGAAACAAATCAAAGCTTACAGCAATCTGAGGAGCATTTATTGAAGGAAAACAATGAATCTTCATAAGAACCTTGAGCTTTGTGACATTTTAACTTGACCTCAACCCATTCCTGCTCTTCAGCCCACAGTAACCTTGAAACCTAACAGCCTATAATCACAGGAATAACCAATAGCCTACCAGCCCCTGGAGAAGTTAGAAGGGGGCTGGAGCTCCTTTAAACCTCCATTCTCAGAGAATTGTCATTATTTGACCTGTCTGGAAGCCCCCTGCAAAATCCCACTCACAAGCCATGTCTTTATTTGACCTGACTCAGAGTTCATCCATTGTGAACATTCTTTTTTCCCCCTTTGGGGGCTTTTGTCAAAAACAATATGCAGAATTATTTAACATTGTACATGCCTGAAGGGAAGATAACAGTTTGGGAAAACAACAAGCTAACCAAAAAGCTTAAAAGGAAAACCTAGAGAAAGAAATTCCATAGTGGGTTTTGAAAAGAAGGCCATACATATGTGTAGGGCTGTGTACATGATCAAGAAAGACATGAGAAGGGCCTAAGCACTCACCTCTGGCTGACCTTCAGCCTCTCTGCAAGCAGACAGTGAAGACTAAACCAGAGTTACAAATTGCTTGGCCGAGTATTGAAAGTGTGCCCCAGCATGCAAACAGAGCCCCTTAACAAAGACTGGGAGACTTACTGGTTCTGGACATTTAAGGAAATTTCTGCCTGATCGATAACTGATCACTAAGCTAACCTGAGCAGAGGCTTCAGTGGTCACACACAATAAAAAATACAGACTTTAAGAATTAGTCCAGGAAAGTCACCAAATAAACAAATAATGACAACAATAACCAACAGCAAAAACAACAAACCCTAGGAAGAAGCAAGAATCTGATTTCCAGAGTTGTCACATGTTATTTAGAATGTCCTGTTTTCAAACAACAACAACAACAACAACAAACTTTCAAGACATGCATAGAAACAAGAAAGTATGGCCCATATACAGGAAAGAAGTGGTCAACAGAAACTGTGCCTGAGGAAGCACAGACATTGCACTTAATAGACAAAGCCTTTAAATTAGCTCTTTTAAATATATTCAAAAAACAAAAGAAATCATGTCTAAAGAACTAAAGGAAAGTATAAGAATAATGTCTCACCAAATAGAAAATATCGATAAAATGGAAATTCTGGAATTGAAAAGTATAAGAAGTGGAATGACAACTTCACTAGAGAATTTTAACAGCAGATTTGAGCAGGAAAGATAAAAAATAAGGCAGCCTTTAAGATTAATCCATTGAGGTTTTCCAGTCTGAGAAAAATTTTTCAAAAGAATTAAGAAAAATGAACAGAGCCTTAGGGACGTGTAAGACACCATTAAGTGTACCAACACACACACCATGGGAGTCTCAGAAGTAGAGAAGAGAAGGCGATAAGAATATTTGAAGAAATAATGGGCAAAAACTTCCAAAATGTTACAAAAAAAATTCATCTACACATCCAAGAAGCTCAGTGAACTCCAAGTAGGATAAACTCAAATAGCCATGCCTAGACACACCATAATTAAATGGTGAAAACCCAAAGACAAAGAGAGAACCTTGAGAGCATCCAGAGAAAAGTGATTCATCACATACAAAGGATCCTCAATAAGATTAATTTAGATGACTTCTTGTCAGAAAGTATGGATGCCAAAGTCAATGGAATGACATATTCAGAACACTGAAAGACAATGACTGTCAACTAAAAATTCTATATCCAGCAAAACTATCATTCGAAACTGAAGGAAAAATAAGAACTTCCTATATTTAAAAAAAAAGAGACAGAATTTGTTGCTAACAGGCCTGTCACGTAAGAAATACTAAAGGGAGTCCTTCAGGCTAATATAAAAGAACACTACACAACAATTTGAATAAATATGAAGAAGTAAAGAATATCAGTAAAGGTGAACTACACAGGTAAATTAAAAGGCAGTGTATAGGCATTTTTTGTTTGTAACTTTTTCTTCTATTTGTTTTAAAAGACAATTTCATAAAGCAATAATTACAAAACTGTATTGAGGGCAGGTGTGATGGCTCATACCTGTGATCCCAGCACTTTGGGAGGCTGAGGCATGGGCATTGCTTGATGTCAGGAGTTTGAGACCAGCCCGGGCAACATAGTGAGACCCTGCCTCTACCAAAAAATTTTTTAATTAACCACGCACGGTGGCACACATTTGTAGTCCTAGCTATTCAGGAGGCTGAGGCAGGAGTATCACTTGAGTCTAGGAGTTCAAAGCTGCAGTGAGCTATGATCTTGCCACTGCACTCCAGCCTCAGTGACAGAATGAGACTCTATCTTTTTTTTTTTTTTTTTTTTGAGATGGAGTCTCACTCTGTCACCCGGGCTGGAGTGAGATCGTGTGATTTTGGCTCACTGCAACCTCCATCTCCCAGGTTCAAGCGACTCTCCTGCCTCAGCCTCCCGAGTAGCTGGGATTACAGGTGCACACCACCATGCCAGGCTAATTTTTTGTATTTTTAGTAGAGACAAGGTTTCGCCAGGTTGGCCAGGTGGGTCTTGAACTCCTGATCTCAGGTGATCCACCTGCGTCGGCCTCCCAGAGTGCTGAGATTACAGGCATGAGCCACCATGCCTGGCCAATTCTATCTCTTAATAAAAAAACTGTATTGATAGGCATACAGCATATAAAGATGTAATCAGTATGACAAAAACAGCACAAGGTAGGAGGGAGGTAATAGAGTTATTTTTTTAAAGTTTTTGTATGCTATTGAAATTGAGAAGGGATTAATCTGAACTTCATTGTTATAAGTTGTTAATTACAATTCCCAGGGTAATCACTAAGAAATTTACTTCAAAAAACACATAGTAAAGGGGAAAAAAAGGGTTTTTTAATGGTACACAAGAAAATACCTAGCTAATACAAAAGAAGACAATATGGATGCATAGAGGAATACAAAAGATCCAACATATATAGAAAACAAATAGTAAATGACAAATGTAAATTCTACTTTATTAGTAATTACAGTAAATATAAATGAATTAAACACTCCAATCAAAGGGCAGATACTGACAGAATGGATTTTAAAACATTTTTCATCTATGTGCTATTTATAGAGACACACTTTAGATTCAAAAACACCAATGAGTTGAAAGTAAAAAGATGGAAACAAATGTGCCATGAAAACAGTAACTAAAAGAAAGCTGTAGTAGCTATACTAAGATCAGATAAAACAGATGGTAAGACAAAGATATTTTACTAGAAATGAAAAAGGAAATTTTATAATAATAAAAGGATCAATCTACACAATAATTATAGGCTGTATCCTTTATCCAAAATGCTTGGGACCAGAAGTATTTCAGATTTTGGAATATTTGCACATACATAATGAGATATTTTGGGGATGAGACACAAGTCTAAACAAGAAATTCATTTATGTTTCATATGCACTTTGTACACATAGTCTGAAGGTAATTTTATACAATGTTTTAAATAATTTTATGCATGAAACAAAGTTTGTATACAGGTACGTTGAACCATCACAAAGCACGTGAGGTCAGGACTAGAATTTGTCCCTTGTGGAGTCATGTTGGCACTCAGAAAGATTTGGATTTTGAGATGCTTCAGATGTCAGATTTTCTGATTAAGGAGATCAACCTGTATAAACATACATGAACCTAACAACAGAGCTCCAAAATACATGAAACAAAACCCAACAAAATTGAAGGAGGAAATAGACAAAAGGTCAATAGTTAGACACTTCAATAACCCATTATGATAATGGATGGAATAACTAGACAGAAGATCAACCAGAAAATAGTAGATTTGAACAATCCTATAAACAACTAGACCTAACATCTATGAAACATTCCACCTAACAACAGCAGAGAATTTGTTCTTGTTAGGTGCACATAAAACATTCTCAAGGATAGACCATATATTAGGCCATAAAACAAGGTTTAATAAATGTAAAATGATAGAAATTATATAAAGTATATTCTCCAACCACAATGAAATAAAATTAGAAATCACTACCAGAAGAAAATTTGAAAAATTCACAAACGTGGATATTAACACACTCCTGAGTGACCAATGCTCAAAGTGATAGATATTCTAAATACTCTGACTTGATCATTACAGATCCTATGCATGCAACAAAATATCACATGTACTCCATAAATGCATATAAGTACTATGTATCAATAAAAAACCAAAAGGAAGAAATTACAAGTATATTAGAAAATCCTTTGAGATGAATGAAAATGAAAACACAACATACCATACATGGGATGCAGCTAAAGCAGTGCTTAGAAATTTACAGCTGGAAATGTCAATATTAACAAACTAAGAAAGATTTCAAATCAATATCCTAAACCTCCACCTTAAGAAACCAGAAAAATAAGAGCAAACTTAACCCAAACAAGAAAAAGAAAGAAATAATAAAGACTAGAGCAGAAATAAATGAAACAGAAAATAAAAAATAATAGAGAAAACTCAATAAAAGCAAAAGTTGGTTCTTTGTAAAGATCAACAAAACTGGCAAATCTTTACCTATACTGACAAGAGAAAATAAAGAGAGAAGACTCAAATTACTAAATCAGGAAAGAGGTAACATTACTGCCAATCTTACAGAAATAGAAAGGTTTATAAGCTGGGCACAGTGACTCACACCTGAAATCCCAGCACTTTGGGAGGCCAAGGAGGGAGGATTGGTTGAGTCCAGGAGTTCAAGACCAGCCTGGACAACATGGAGAAATCCCATCTCTACAAAAAAAAAATACAAAAATTTGCCCGGTGTGGTGGCCCACCCATGTAATCCCAGCTACTATGGAGACTGAGGTGGGAGGATTGCTTGAGGCTGGGAAGTCAAAGCTGCAGTAAGCCATGTTTGCACCACTGCACTCCAGCCTGGGCAATGGAGCAAGACCGTGGCTCAAAAAAAAAAAAAAAAAAAAAAAAAAGGTTTACAATGGAATATTATGAACAATTGTATACCAACAAACTAGATAACCTAGAGAAAAATTGAGAAATTTCTAGGAAGAAAAAAACTACCAAAACCAATTCAAAAAGAAATAGAAAATCTCAATGAAACTATAACAAATAAAGCAATTAAATTAATAATCAAATCACTTCCCACAAACCAAAGCCCAGGACCAAATGGCTTAACTGGGGAGTTCTACCCAACATTTAAAGTAAAATTAATACCGACTTTCCACAAACTCTTCCAAAATAAAGAATAGGAAGGGGCACCTTCTAACTCATTCTTTGAGATCAATATTACCCTGATACTAAAACTAGACAAAGACATCAGACAATAAAGAAAACTATAGATCAATATCCCTTATGAATAAGCATAAAAATCCTCAACAAAATACTAGCAAACCAAATCTAGCAACTTATAAGAAGAATTATACACCATGACCTAGTGAAATGTATCCCAGGAATACAAGATTGGTTCAACATATGAATATTAATCAACATAATACACCATATTAATAGAATAAAGGACAAAAAACACACGATCATCTCAAAGGACCCAGAAAAAGCAACTGAGAAAATCCAACTACCTTTTATGATTTAAAAAAAAAACTCAAAAAAAAAATAGAAAGAAGGAAACATCCTCAATCTGGTAAAGGCCATCTACAAACAAACAAATCCACAGCTAACATCATAGTTAATGGTGTAAGACTGCAAATTTTATGCCTAAGATCAGGAAAAAGACAAGGATGTCTCCACTCATAACTTCTGTCCAACATTGTGCTGGAAGGTCTAGCCATGACAATCAGACAAGAAAAAATAATAAAAGGCATCCATTTTTCCAAAGTAGAAGTAAAATTGCCTGTATTCACAGGAGACAGGATCTTGTATGTACAAAATCCTAAGGAATCCACAAAATAATTGAACAAGTTCATCAAGGTTGCAGGATACAAAATCAACATAGAAAAATCAATTTTGTTTCTATATACTAGAAATGCACAACCAGAAAATGAAACCTAAAAAACAATTTCATTTCAAATAGCAACAAAATAAAATACTTAGGCTTTTACACTGAAATTACAAAACATCCTTGAAAAGATTTAAAGAACACCTAAACAAATGGGAAAACGTCCACGTTTATGGATTGCAAGATTTAATTTGCTAAGATGGCAAAATTCTTTGATTGCTCTACAGATTCAAAGCAATCTCAATCTAATCCGAGCAGACTTTTCTGCAAAAAGTGTCAAACTGATCCTAAGATTAACATATAAATACAAGAGACCTTTAATAAGCAGAGTAACCTTGAAAAAGAAGAACACAGTACGAAGACTGAAACGTCCCAATTTTAAAACATATTACAAAGCTACAGTAATCAAAACAGTGTGAGACTTTCATAAAGATAGACATATAGACCAAAAGAATAGAATTGAGAGATCAGAAATAAACCCTTACATTTATGATCAATTAATTTTTGACAAAAGTGTCAAAACAATTTCAGAGGGGGTAAAATTGTCTTTTTAACAAATGGTGCTAGGATAATTAGCCAAAAAAATTTCTTTACAAAAAGAATTAATCGAACCCCTACCTCACTCTATATATAAAAATTAACTCACAGTGGATGCAAGATCTAAATGCAAGAGCTAAAATTATAAAATTCTTAGAAGAAAGTTAGGTAGAAATCTTTGTGACCTAGGATTAGACAAGAATCTCTTAGATATGACACCAAAAGCACTAGCAACAAAAGAAAAAAATAGATAAATTAGACTTCATCAAAATTTAGGACTTTTGGCCAGGCACAGTGGCTCACACCTGTAATCCCAGTGCTTTGGGAGGCCAAGGTGGAAGGATCACCTGAGGTCAAGAGTTCAAGACCAACCTGACCAACATGGCAGAAACCCATCTCTACCAAAAATTACAAAAATTAGCCAGGCATGGTGGCACATGCACCTGTAATCCTAGCTAATTCAGAGGCTGAGGCGGAAGGATCACTTGAACCCAGGAGGCAGGGGTTGCAGTGAGCCGAGATCACGCCCCTGCACTCCAGCCTGGGCGACACACTGAGACTGTCTCAAAAAATAATAATAATAATAATTAGGACTTTTGTGCTCCAAAGAATACTATCAAGAAAGTGAAAAGACAACTCACAGAATGAGAGAAAGTATTTGCAAATCATGTATCTTATAAGGGAAGAGTATTTGGAATATATCAAATATGTTTAAAACTCAACAATAATAAGACACATAATCCAATTTTATAATGAGTGAAAGGCTTAGACATCCAAAGATATACAAGTGGCCAAGAAACACATGAGAAAATGCTCAATATCATTCGTTATGAGAGAAATGTACACCAAAACCCCAATGAGATACTACTTAGCATCCACTAGGATGGCTATAATCCAAGAGACAGAGAATAACAAATGTCAGCAAGGATGTGGATAAATTGGAAGACTTGTGCGTTGTTGGCGGGAATGTAAAATCATGCAGCTGTTTTGGGAAAGAAGTTTGACAGTTCCTGAAAAAACTAAACATAGAGGGACTGAGCAATTGAACTAATTAAACAGCCATGGGCAGTGAAAACATGTTGAAATAAAAACATGTCCACAAATATTCATAGAAGCATATTCATAATAATCAAAGAAATGAAAACAACCCAGTGCCTACCCATTGATGAATGAATAAATTATGGTATATCCATACAATGGAATATTATTCAGTCATAAAAAGGAGTTGAGTACTGAGTTCTTCTACAACATGAATGGATTTTGAAAACTTTATGATTCATGAAAGAAGGCAAACACAAAAAGTCACATATTGTATAATTCCATTCATATAAAATGTCCAGAATAGGAACATTTGTAGAGACAGAAAGCAGATTAGTGGGTTAGAGGAAAGGGCTGCTATGTCTGACTGGGTGATCAGGGAAGGCCTCTCTACAGAGGTACCATTGGAAGAGTCCTGACAGGGTGTGTCATGCAGATTCCCTTGGGAAGCACATTCCAGGCAGAGGGAACAGCCAGTGCAAAGACTCGGAGCTTGTGGGAAGGGATAGGAGGCAGGGCAGGTAGGCAGAACTATGTGCTGTCAGGCCTAGAGTGCAGGATGGGGAATTTAAAGTTTCTCCTAAGGTAGAAGGAAGCTTTGGGGGGCCTTAATGGTACATGGAAGGTTGGGGGTTGGTTGGTATTGAAAAGACTTCCCTGGCTCTCATGTTTAGAATAAACTGGGGGGGTAGCAAGTGTAGAATTGAGTAGACCAGATCAGAGAGGAGGGAAGAAATGGACATGGCCCTATCCCCAGTGGGAGCTGGGAAAACAGAGACAAGCGGACACATTTAAGAAAGCTTGTTGGCCAGGCGCGGTGGCTCACGCCTGTAATCCCAGCACTTTGGGAGGCCGAGGCGGGTGGATCACAAGGTCAGGAGTTCAAGACCAGCCTGGCCAAGATGGTGAAACCCCCGTCTCTACTAAAAATAAAAAATTAGCCGGGCGTGGTGGCAGGTGCCTGTAGTCCCAGCTACTCAGGAGGGTGAGGCAGGGGAATTCCTTGAACCTGGGAGGCGGAGGTTGCAGTGAGCCGAGATCGTGCCACTGCACTCCAGCCTGGGTGACAGAGCGAGACTCTATCTCAAAAAAAAAAAAAAAAGAAAGCTTGTGGAGCTAGAGTGGATGAGATTTGCTGATGCACTAATGTCCATCTCCCAGCAAGAACTTTTTCCTCTGTTCCTTAGAGGCTTTTATTCTTCCCTCACCCATCTGTAGAGAGAGAGCAAATGAGGGTATTTTTAGAAAGTCTTTAGGAGTGAAAGCTGAAGAGATGAAAGTTCCACTATCACCTGGACTGTCAAAACTGAAGCACGGCCTGTCCACAGACACAACTACATGGGAATGTTCGTGGCAGTTTATACCTAATAGCCTCACACTGGAAACCACACAAATGTCCATCAACAGAAGAATGGAGAAATTGCATGTATTCCTACAACAAAATACTATAGACAACAATGAGAAAAAACAGTCTACTGCCACCAGCAACAACACTGGATGCATCTCAAAAACGTTATATTGTGCAAATAAAGCCAGGCAAAATAGGAGTATATGCCTATGATTATCATACGAAGTTCAAGCACAGGCACAACAAATTTAACATATAATGATAGAAAGCTGATAACTTATAGTGATAGAAATCAGTGGTTACCTAGCGGTGGGAAGCAGAGATTGACTGGAAGGGGGCACAAGGGAACTTTCTGGAAATCTAAAAATGTTCTATATCTAGATCTGGGGGGTGGTAAATGGGTATATATATTTTATTTTATTTTATTTTATTTTATTTTATCTTATTTTATTTTATTTTTTGAGACAGAGTCTCACTCTGTCCCCCAGGCTGGAGTGCAGTGGCACAATCTTGGCTCACTGCAACCTCCGCCTTCTGGGTTCAAGCAATTCTCCTGCCTCAGCCTCCCGAGTAGCTGGGATTACAAGTGTGCACCACCATGCCTGGCTAATTTTGTATTTTTAGTAGAGATGGGGTTGCGCCATGTTGGCCGGCCACCGCGCCCAGCCAATAATGTCTTAATAAAATATGGTGCTGACATGGACAGAGCACAGAAAATGCTCCCCAAGCATTTGGGAGCCCAGCAGCAACAAGGGGGGTGCCGAACTGTGCTCTCCCCAGGCCTGGCTCTCAGGAGGGCAGCTGACTACTCTTGCATTTCCCCAACACCTGAAGGTAATGCAACAGCTACCACAGGTCTCATGTCATTCTCTCAAAGGGTTCTGAACTCTCTTTACAAAAATTCTGTTTCCCTCTTGAACGTCATCGTTGAAAATTCAAATGTCCCACAGATGCCGGGAAACAGCCCTGAGCCAGGCATGGGCTGGTTGAGCGGGTGAAAGAGGAACGACCAGCTCTGGTGAGAAGCCAGGTCAGGCTGTAGCTGCATGGGACAGTCTGGGTTAAAAGCACAGGCTCCAGAGCCACCCTGCCTGGGTTCAAGTCCCAGCTTTGCCCCTTACTAGCTGAATGACCATGGGCATGTCAGTTAACTGTTTGGAACCTCAAATTCTACCTGTGTGAAATGGAAATAATAATACCAGCCTCACAGGGCCCTAAACTTATGTATATATCTTTAAAGTGCAAGGACACCCCATCGCCTATATCTTAATGGATGGAATATCCTGTCCCATCCCTGACATTGGCTTTCTACCTCAATGTCCACCACTGCCCACAGCTGGCCCTCTCGCTTGACTTTACACTCCACCAGCACCTACTGAGGCTGGGTGCAGCAGCTCATGCCTGTAATTCTAGCACTTTGGGAGGCCAAGGCCAGAGGATCACTTGAGGCCAGAGCTCGAGACCAGCCTGGGCAAAATAGTGAGACCCTGTCTTTATAAAAAAATTTTAAATTAGCTGGGTGCAGTCGTACACACCTGTGGTCCCAGCCACTTGGGCCCCTGAGGCAGGAGGATCACTTGAACCCAGGAATTGGACGCTTCAGTGAGCTATGACTGCACCACTGCACTCCAGACTGGACAACAGAGCGAGACCCTGTCTCTAAAGAAACATAAAATAAAATAAAAAACAAACAAACAAAAACCTACTGAGCACTCTCCCACTGGAGACACACCACATGCTGCGGGGAGATGGCTGGAACCTGGCCTGTTTATGCTTTGGTCTCACCGTTCCTGTCCTCTAACACACTCTCTTCCTACCCAAGGCCTTCCCCTCTCCCCACCCTCACTCCTGTGGCTAACTCATACACACCCTTCAGATCACCCTGATGTGTCACTTCCTCTAGGAAGCCTCCCCTGATTCTGTCTGCTTTGCTCGTGTCTCCTCTGTATTCCCCACTAGCAGAAAAGCTCCTGGCATCTGTCCTTTTGCTGCTAAGTCATCTTCAGGACCCAGCACAGGACGTGGAACCTGCAGGCATCCTGCGAGTGTTTGCTGAATGAGAATGGGCGAATGAATGAATGACCATAATTCTGCCTGAGAAATTAGGGAAGGCTTCACAGAGGAGGTGACATTTCACTGAGTCCTAAAGGATAAGTGGAAGTTGACCAGGGGAAGAGTTGAGGGGCAGTGTGCATGGTTGAGGATTGTGGCTGAGCCCCGTGCCTTCTGGGGCCCAAAGGGGAGGAGGCCATTGAGGCTGAGATGTTAGGCTAAGATTTTAGGGCTTGATCCTGTAAACCATGGGTTGCCCTCCGCACTGCCTGAGCGCGAACTCTGTGGACTCTGGTCCAGCCAGCCTGGGTCTCCAAGATTCTAATGAACAGCCAAGTTTTGGGGCCCCTGCTGGGGCATCAAGAAGAAAGCCAAAGCTGAGGAGACTTTCAAGCAGAGAAGGAACATGATCACATCTTCAGACTTACCACTGTGCAGGGAGTGGTGCCGGACAGAGGAAGAGGGTCAAGTTCTAAGAGGAGGGTCAGCCTCAGGCCACTGTGCTTAAGATGACAGAAAGGGGAAATCAAGGGCGATTCCAGCTCCCATTGTCTGTAGGGCATGAGGGAAGCAGTGTTGAGGCTGAGTGATGAAGGCGGTGAGTCGTGGTTTTACTGCTGTGGTAGTAGGCAGAAGATCTAAGAGAAGCAGATGTTCATGATCTGTGTACCAGGCTGCACAGCTCACCCCTCTCAACACATACAAATGCACAGGCAGCCCTTCCCTCTGAAGCCAGCTGAGCATCGCTGGAGACGCCATCCTCACACCCAGCCTAGCTGAGAGTCTGGCTGAGATCTGCAACCTTATAAAAAATTGCCTGCGCACACATTGCCAGGACCAGACCCGGCACAACTCCAATTTCCACAGTATCAGTTTCCACGGAACAAGACAAGCAGTGGCTTCTAGAAGGAGCTTCAGGCTCCAACGGTTTTGCCTTTTCTCAGAAGCAATTGCTACTTTCATAAACGCTGGGTGGGGGCGGGGGGAGATAGCACAGACAGTGGCTAAGCTATGCTCATTACAGGCAAGTGCTGATACAGAGAGGAGAAAAAAAATCCAGCTTGTACTATCTCCAGATATCAGTGTTGTGACTTCTAACAGCATCCACTGTATCTTGTTTCATTACAACTGCCAAAAAGAAAAAAAAATTGAATTACCATGCTAATGTCTTCTCTTTTGGTGAAATCTGTGATTCTGGTACGTGGATATAAAATACATCGTTAGTTGCTTTTAAACTTGTCTCTAATGATGAAAATAACATTGCAGGGCATGAAGGGGAGACATAAGTAAACTCAGGGGGCTGGCAGCACTGGAGAACCTCTCATAAGCCCGTAATGTGACAGTGTACTTTCTTTCTCCCTCCAAGATGACAGTTAATTCCAGACTAGGAAGGCTGTCAAAAATGCTTAGTTCTGCTCCACTTGAGTTAATTACCGGCCCTGGGGCAGGCTGCCCTCTACTCCTCTGCTAATGGGGCTGGGCTCCAGGTAAAAAATCCATTTGCAAGAATGTTTTCCTTGCTCCAGATCTAATTTATTGAATATCAAATATTTATGCCAATGCAATTAAAGTGACAACATTGCTCTCCCTTCTCCCCTGCCCCCAGTCCTAGACGAGCCCCGGATGGCTGACAGAATGCTTTATCCAGTCAACACAGGATGAAAGTTTTACTTGAGCTTCTAAAGCAAGAGCTTTAAAACCCCTTTAACCCACAAAGTCACCTGGGATTCTTTTATCTTCTTCTCCTTTGTAGGCAGCCACGTGACTGGCTATGGAGCACTGACTGAGATGCTGAGGCAGGAGGCTCAACTGTGATTTCAAATCAACCAACACTTGCTGCAGCCCTCTGTGTGCCAGGCACCAGACAAGGCCCTGTGACTGAGCAAGATGGAATAGGCTCAGCCTGTTTCCACAACAATCTTGCAGCCTGACAGCAGAGACAACTTGGGGCATGCACAGAAGAGTGAGAAACACTGACGATGCAGATAAGCTGGAAGGTTCTAGGTATACGTCCTTAGAGATCTTGGATTGGGGGTCTCCAAGGCTTGAAGGCCACCCAAGATCCCCTTCCACCCAACCAGACCTAACTACAGAAAGTTTCAGATCCAGCCAAGTGTATTTCATTTTTCCCAAAACGCTACTCCCCAGCAAGAGGGTCTCAGACTGTCCAGACCTGGAGCTTTGGGCCATTCATTCCCTCTTAGACAGCACCCAACCCTGCTCCACCCCCATGAAGCTCTTGCATCACGAGACACATGATTTGGCATCTGCCCCAGAGGAGTGATGGGTAAAGGTGAGCCCATGGACAATCACATGTGTACCCTCCCTGGTACACTCTGGAAATGGGAAGAAGAAATGCAGCTGGCTAAAGAGGACTTTCTTTTTCTTTTCTTCCCTAAAGCAAGGGAGCTCAGCAAAGCTTACGGCAGCATATTTGAGTTGTGCTATACCTGCTACCTGGCTTGAATTCCTTCAAGGCCTGGCTGGCTACACTCACCTCTCCCTTCTGACAATGGAACAGAGGCCTTTCCTTGGGGCTGAACTGGGTTGTGAAGGAGAAACAGGCATCACAAGGTGGGCCACATGGACAAAGGCCGAGTAGAGAGAATGCAGGACATTGCGTTCAAAGAACTAAAAGCAGATGGATTTTTATTGTAGCCTTAATTGCAAGGGAGCAAGCCCTGAGAATGTAAACATCAAATGAGGTAATCTAAGCATGTTAGAAAATGTCAAACTATGGATAAATGTGAATTACTACCTATATCACTGAGGTGATGGGGAAACCAAGTGATATGTTATATGCATACTAGCATTACATAAATTATAGTTGTTACAGGATATTTTGGAAGATTAAGCTTCAACCATGGACACTGATTTTAAAATATACCTATCTGTCTATTTCTTTTCATCCTACCTTTTTACAGGTGTTCATAAACTGAGAATTATGATCAATTTCTTCTCTGTTCTCTTTTCCAAATGAACACACTCTACCCAACTTTAACCTTTACTTTTAGATATTCTTAGTTTCCTGTCAATTTGACCACCATGCTTCAGGTTTGAAGCATTGTGATCATGTTTTATGGACAGACCATTCTTCTGGCTATGAGTATGAGGGTAAGAGAGTTGGTATTTATATCCCTTTTTATGTCTTCAGTTATCACCTGCTATGGTTTGACTGTGTCTCCCAAAAAGCATGTGTTGGAAACAGAATCCTCAATGCAACAGTGTCAGGAGGTGGGGCCTGTTAGGAGGCGGGGCCTCATGGGAGGTGTTTAGTCATGAAGGCTTCACCTCCATGAATGAATTTAAGGGTTTGAGGCTGTGAGTTTGACCATTTGCTCCCTCTCTCGCCCTCTCTTTGCCCTCCCACCATAAGATGACATAGCAAGAAGGCCCTTGTCAGATGCCGGCCCCTTGATCTTGGATTTCCTGGCCTCCAGAATCATGAGCCAATAAACTTCTGCTCAATATAAATTACCCAGTCTGTGGCATTGTGTTACAGCAGCAAGAACTAAGACACCACCTTATTCAAATGTATTATCACACCACATCTAAGCTTCTGTCATAATTTGAGCTGTATACACTGCCTCGAAGCTTTGTCTCAAAATCATCTTCCTCTTAGCTGGTCAAATATCAATATTATGTTTACCATTAAAACTAACTGTAGTGCTTGCTTTGGCAGCACATATACTAAAATTAGAACAATACAGAGAAGATTAGCACGGCCCCTACACAATGATGACATGCAAATTCATGAAGCATTCCATATTTTTTAAGAAAAAATTATATACATTAAAAAAGCTAACTTCAAAAGGACCTCTACTATAGCCAATGTGATAAAACAAGAAAAATAATAAGGGGTAAAATGGTTGGAAAGGAAGAAATACATTTATCATTATTAGCAGGCAATATAATTACATATGAGAACACCAAAAAAATCACAGAAAAGCTATTCAAACTAACAAGAGAGGCCAGTAAAATGGTCTAATACAAAGTATATTTGCAGCTGGACTCAATGGTTCATGCCTATAATCCCAACACTTCGGAAGGCTGAATTAGGAGGATTGCTTGAATGCAGGAGTTTGAGACCAGCTTGGGCAACATACCGAGACCCGTCTCTACAGAAAAAAAAATAATAATTTTTTTAAATCAACCAGATATGGTGGTGCATGCCTATAGTCCAGGCTAATAGAGAGGCTGAGGTTTAAGGATCACTTAAGCCCAGGAGGTTGAGGCTGCAGTGAGCCATGTTCCCACCACTGCACTCCGGCCTCAGCAACAGAGTGAGATCATCTCAGAAAAAAAAGTATCTATTTGCGTGAAGCAACAGTTTTTCTATATATAACAATAGCCAATTAGAAATAAAACAGAAAAATCTGGTTCATGATATACATCTAGCTACCTTACTGACATCTCCATAAGAATGTATCACAGAAATTTCAGCACAAAAGTGAATTTTGGATCTTCCACTCCAATATTTTCCTCCCCCAGTGCTCCCTAATTCCATGAAGCGCTCTTTCATCTACTTACTTGCACAAGACAGAACCCTAGGATTCTTTCCCTTTCCCCTCTCCCAAACTCCCATCCCCAAATCTGTCATCAAAGCCTGACAACATACTCTACGTCCATCCACTCATCCCTCCAACCCAACTGCCTCTACGTTAGTTCAAGCCTCCATTATCTCTCACCAGGACAACTGTAGTAGCCCTCACTCTTCTCCTCTTTTGTGTTCTTGCCCTCCCCAATATGTCTCTATGAAGCAGGCATAAGGACCCTTTAAGATTTTAAGCTAAATTACACTATTTCCCAGCTGATACCCTTCAGAAGCCGATACACCCCATATCCTCAGCATCACCTGCATGCCTTGGCTTCCCATGGTCCTGAGGACCCTTCTAGCTTTGGCTCAAGCCAATCTCCTCCTCACTACCTGTGCTGCAGCCATGCCAGCCCCCTTTTGTTTCCTTTAATGCCCCTAGTCTCTTTCCTACTTCAGGGCCTTCGCTCTCTGTCTTTCCTCCTGGGAGTAAGAATCACTGACCTTCCTTCAAGAAGACTGAGGAGAGCCAGAGGACATTAGTCCTTGCCAGAGATCACCCTGACTTTCTGGGCCTCAGTTTCCCTGTCTGCAACCCCAACTCGTTGAACTAGAGATTCTCTCTGGAATTGCATGAGCTGAGATTTCAGTAAGAGTTGACAGCAATTGAACTGGTGGAGAAGGAGAATGGGAAGTGGGGAAGAGGACAGAGGGGAAATGGTCCTGGGAAAGAGGACAGAGGGGAAATGGTCCTGGGGAAGAGGGCACAGAAAGAAAAGCCTAGAAAACTATGGGTAACCACTTTCAGGGAGCTTAAAACACTGAGTGCTATTTAGCAAAACAACTCAGATCAAATCTTAACAGGATTTGGGACCATCATAAAAATCTTGTCTGAAGACAGAAAAAGCCAGTGAACTCGCCATATTGAAATATTAAATACATGCACTATATTGAAAATTTGGTTCTACTGCATGAAAATAATCCACATTATCCAAAGCCAAGGGGGGAGGAAAAAAAGGCTATCCATGTAAACAGCTTCTAGCTAGCCAAAGAAAGGGATACCTTAGCTGCTTTTGTTCCTGGCTTTCACAGAGACTCCTGGCTGCCAACTCAAATCTTTCTTCCTAACAGAGCTTTGGTTTCACCCAAGGAAGCAGTCCAATTAAAACGCCGCATTTCCCAGCTTCCTCTGCCAAGAGAGGTGGCCACATAGCATAGTCTGGCAAATGATACTTAAGAAGAGGCTGCTGGGTGGACTTCAGAGAGATGTCACAAAAGGCAGGGCTGGTACACATTCTTTTTTGCCCTTTGTTTGCCACCCTTTCTCCTTCTTCCTTCTTCAACCATCTTGTGACCTCGTGGTGATGATAAGGAACAGGCCAAGAGAATCAGAGACCGCCATGTAAATCCCACCTCTGCCACCTGCAAATTCTATGAACTTGGACAATTTGCTTAACCTCTCTGAGCCTCATTCTTGTCTGCAATATGGGAGTCATAATGCCTCACTTGCAATATTGTTAAGATTAATTGATATGTTCGTATTGTTCTGAGAAAAAAAGATAAATTTAAATAGTTTATCACATATAGGCCACAGCACTTTGTAAACCGTATAGCTCTAAAAAAAAAAAAAAAGCTAAATTGTTTATTTTTTCCTCCTCCTTATTTTGTAAGTGACAGATTCTTCTCCCAACCAAATCTAAAATACTTTAAAAATTAGGATGCTACATTTCTACATGACATTCTTTCATTATAGGAATGTCTATTTCTTTGACATCACACCAGTCCACTTTGTTACAGATGCTGCCAGAGGTCCTTTTATATGCAGTCTGGCCACATGCAAATCACAAGTTATCTTGTATTCTCCAACTTTGCCATTAAAGTTAACTTGGGCCAGGTACGGTGGCTCACACCTGTAATCCCACCCTTTCGGAGGCCAAGGTGGGCAGATCACAAGGTCAGGAGTTCGAGACCAGCCTGGCCAGCATGGTGAAACCCCATCTCTACTAAAAATACAAAAATTAGCTGAGCGTGGTGGCAGGCGCCTGTAATCCCAGCTACTCGGGAGGTTGAGGCAGGAGAATCGCTTGAGCCCAGGAGGCGGAGGTTTCAGTGAGCCGAGATCATGCCATTGCACTCCAGCCTGAGTGACGAGAGCAAGTCTCAAAAAAAAATTAATAAATAAAAAATAAAGTTAACTTGTATTCTTCAATTTTAGCACTAATTATCTTCTAAGTAAAACAGAAATTTCAGATGCATAATTCTTTAAAAAAAAACCTCTCTTTTCAAAGGTGCAGGTCTGTTTTATTGAGCATTATGATGGGTCTCAATCAATCTAGAATTCCACATCCTTCAGTTCTAGAAATTTTCCTTAAATTATTTCTTTGATGATGTTTGCCCTTTCATTTTCTGTACCCTTTCACTCTTAAATTCCTGTTTTTTGGATGTTGGACGCCCTAGTCTGTTTCTCTAGTTTTTCTTATCTTTTTCTCTTCTGTTTTCCATTTTTTTGTAGATATCACTTTCTTTTTGAAATATTGACTCAACTTTATCATTCAATCCTTCTGGTAAATTGTTCACGTTTGAGCATTTTTTGCTTTTAATTTCTTTGAGTTTCTGGTGTTTTATTGTTCTCTGAATTCTGTGTGTTCTTTTCATCAGCATTCCTTACTTGTTTCATGAATGCCATATCTTTCTATCTTGTGTTGTATCTCTGAGAATGTTAACGCTTTTAAGATTTCTTCTCCCTGCATCGTCTAACTCCTCTAGGTTGCTTCTTTTCTTTGCTTATTTGTTTGTCTCTGTCCTTCATGGTAGAGGCTTTACTTAAATGTCAAGTGACCTTTGGTTTTCTGCTCATATTAAACACTGAGACACTAAAAATTGATTGGGACCTCTGAGCTTTTCAACAAAGAGTCATACAAGGAGATCTGAACAGGACATTTTGTTGAGAAGACTCCAATGTCAGTGTCTTTAGGGCTCTACTCCTGGGCTTGTCATATGCTCCAAAAAAGAATCTTTCCATCTTCTGCCTGGCTACCAGCATTCTGGGAGGTGAATGGGATCTTAACATTGAGAATAAATCTCAATCACGTCACTTGCATGCAAGAAATCCCAAATGATTCCTCACTGTCTACAGGTTAGAGTCTATACAAGTAAAGCAGTTAAATCTTGCTCATTCCAATATGCTATTCCAAAATTAACTCTCAGCCAGCTCCCTTCCTACCCACATTCCAACTTCCAACTGGACCCATTTACTTTTGGGTCACAGAATTACACGGGAAATTCTGTGAGTTTCCCGTGTCTTAGTCACAAGTCATCTGCACCCTTCCCCTCTCACATCTCCCTGATAGCTCTGAAAAGGCATCCATCTTGCACCCTTTTTTATGCTGAGTAATTGGACTCAGACTGAGCTCCCCTAAAGCTTCTACACCTACATCTGTCACTGCTGTGTATAACACAAACGATGCTAAAGAGATGGGAACCACCCTCCCTAGGAAGCCATGGAGAATTCTAAATAATAAACACTTCTTTCCTATCACACAAATTAAACAACCCAATCACTTAGATATTTTTAAGTGCTCTCCTGGATAACATTTGAGCTAAAGAGCAAAAATCAAAGCGGCAAACAGACTAGTTAAAAACAATGGAAAAGAGAAAACATATAAGAAATCTCATGGGATGAGACAAAGCTGATTCATAGGCAAATTTGTAGCCTTAAATGGCCTTTATGGCTAATCAGAAAAGAATAAAAATAGGTAAAATAAACTTTCATTTAAGTAATTTGGTTTTAATAAAACATCAAAATAACCAGGGGAAGAAAGCAGTAAAACAGTTAAAAGCAAATATTATTGATTAGTAACCTTAACAGTCAGAAAGACAGTAGGATTAATAAATAAATTTTAGAGTTGGTTCATGAAACAGCTTTGCTTCTACCTTTAGAAGAAACACAAACAGGCCAGTCATGGTGGCTCACATCTGTAATCCCAGCACTTTGGGAGGACGAGGCGGGTGGATCACTTGAGGCCAGGAATTCCAGACCAGCCTGGCCAACATGGCGAAACTCTATCTCTACAAAAAATACAACACTTAGCCAGGCATGGTGGTGCACTTCTAGTCCCACCTACTTGGGAGGCTGAGGCAGAGAATCTCTTGAACCCAGAAGGTAGAGATTGCAGTAAGCTGAGATTGCGCCATTGCACTCCAGCCTGGGTGACAGAGCGAGACTTTGTCTCAAAAAAAAAAAAAAAAAGAAAAAGGAAAAAACACGAATAAATGTTATAAATGCCAAAAGGGAAACTATAGGTTTTAAAACTCTAAGAGGACTCTACCTACAATTATATGCTTATAATTTCAAAACTGCAATGAAATGGATTATTTTCTGGGAAAACATAACATTAAAAAATTGCTTTAAAAATTGCTTCAACAAAAACTAGACTATCTGAATAGAACAATAATAAAGGAAAAGTTTAAAGAAAGTTCTTAAAGTATTGCCTCCTAAAATGGTTATAGCCTCAGATGATTTCACAGGTGAGTTACCTCACCTTTCACAAAACAAATAAATTTTGTAACATTAGCTCTTTCAGGGCATGAAAAGAAAAAGATGTAAATCTTTTTTTTTTTTTTTTTTTGAAACAGGGTCTCACCCTGTCACCCAGGCTGGAGTGCAATGGCACCATCATAGCTCACTACAGCCTCCATCTTCTGGGCTCAAACAATCCTCCTGCCTCAGACTCCCAAAATGCTGGGATTACAGGCATGAGCCACCATGCCTGGCCAAAAAGATGTAAATCTTATCAGTTCATTTTACAAAGCTAGCAAAACAATTGATATAATATTTTCAATGAATCTCAAAAACATTATGCAGCCAGGCACCGTGTAGTCCCAACTACTCAGGAGGCTGAGGCTGGAGGATCACTTAAGCCCAGAAGTTTGAGGCTGCAGTGAGTTATGATCACGTCTGTGAATAGCCACTGCACTCCAGGTTGGGCAACATAGCAAGACTCCATCTCCAAAAAACAAATTTAAAAAACTTTTTTTAATTTTTTAATAAAAACTTTATGTTGAATGAAAGAAACCAGATACTGAGGAATACAAACTATATGATCATATATAGGACAAGTTCAAGGACAGGACAGACCCAACTAATCTCTGGTGATAGAAATCAGGGAAGTGGTTGCTGGGGTGTGGATCGAAGATTGACTGGAGGGGCCATGAGGAAATGTTCTGGGACCATGAAAATGTGCTAT
The DNA here is from genome assembly GCF_000001405.40 of Homo sapiens. Lineage (NCBI taxonomy): Eukaryota > Metazoa > Chordata > Mammalia > Primates > Hominidae > Homo > Homo sapiens. The sequence goes on along the minus strand of NC_000020.11, from coordinate 43,790,429 downwards.
ATCTTGATCTAGATGATGGTGACTGAGGTATACATATTTGTCAGAATTCATCAAGCTGTACACTTAAGGTGTGTGTAGTTTATGTAAATGATATCTCAATAATGTCCTATTAGGAAAGACAAAACCTTGTAACTGTGACTTAAAAGATAGTCAACAACAACAAAAACAGGCCAATCACTCTTAATATGTTATACATACAAAAATACTAAAAAGATACAAGCAAACATAATCCTGCAATAGACTGGGAGAATAATACATCAAAAAACTCCAAGGTTGTTTCAATATTAGAAGTCTATTACTATAACAATTTGTAGAAGAAAAAAACTATAATAATATTTAAATTAGTCTATAAAATTCATTTAATAAATTCAAATGAAAAATAATACCTCAAGATGATAAATAAAAATTAACATTTCAAACCAAATGCCAAAGTCATCCTTAACAGTGAAATTCAGGAGGCAACTTCATTAATGTCAAGAACAAAACAAGGATAGTCACTGTTCCCACTGCTGTTTACTACTGTTCTGAAATTTCTAAGCAATGTACCAGACCAGAAATAGATGTGAATCATAACTACAGGAAAGAAAGCAACAAAAGTATTATTTTCAGTTTGTGATAATATTGTCTTTCTAGAGAACACAAGAGAACCAACTGAAAAACAATATTATGACTGTATAAAAAATAAATATACACAAACAAGTAGTGATGTTCACTGAAGCAGTGTCATACTGAACAATTGGAAACCACCTAAATGTCCAATAATAGAAGATTGGAGAAGAGAAGTATGCAACACAGTAGAGTATTATACAGCAGTTAAAATAAATTAAGTAAAGAATATTAAGTGGATCTGGGTGCGGTGGCTCACACCTGTAATCCCAGCACTTTGGGAGGCCGAGGCGGGCAGATCCCTTGAGGTCAGGAGCTCAAGACCAGCCTGGCCAGCATGGGGAAACCTCAACTCTACTAAAAATACAAATATTAGCCTGGCATGGTGGCGGGCACCTATAATCCCAGCTACTTGGGAGGCTGAGGCAGGAGAATCGCTTGAACCCAGGAAGCGAAGGTTGCAGTGAGCCAAGATCGCACCACTGCACTCCAGCCTGGATGACAGAGCGAGACATTGTCTTGAAAAAAATTTAAAAAGAATATTAAGTGAAAAAGAAAATGCAGAAAAAATATGCACAATGTGATACTTTAAGAGTAATGTTTAAAAACACACTACTCAGTAAGCAACAAAAACACACAACCCAAATCAAAAACAGACAAAGGACTTGAGTAGACATTTGTCCAAAGAAGATATACAAATGGCCAATAAGCCTATGAAAAGATGCTCAACATCACTAATCATTAGGGAAGTGCAAATTGAAAACAAGAGATACCACCTCACACCCATTAGGATAGCTACTATTAATAAAGGGGAGAGAGGCCAGGTGCGGTGGCTCACACTTGTAATCCCAGCACTTCACCTGAGGTCAGGGGTTCAAGACCAGCCTGGCCAATATGGTGAAACCCCGTCTCTACTAAAAATACAAAATTTAGCCAGGCATGGTGGTGTGTGCCTGTAATCCCAGCTACTCGGGAAGCTGAGGCAGGAGAATCACTTGAAACTTCGAACCTGGGAGGCAGAGGTTGCAGTGAGCCAAGATCATGTCATTGCACTCCAGCCTGGCCAACAGAGCAAGACTCCGTCTCAAAAAAAGAAAAAAGAGAGAGAGAGAGAAAACAAGTGTTGGTAAGGATACAGAGAAATCAGAGCTTTTGTACACTGTTGGTAGGAATGTAAAATGATACAGCCACTGTAGAAAACAATATGGCAGTTCTGCATAAAATTACATATGATCTAGCAATTAGACTTCTGGATATATACCCAGAATTCAAAGCCGTGTCCCAAAGAGGTATTTGTACACCCATGTTCACAGCAGCATTATTCACAATAGCCAAAAGGTAGAAGAAACCCGAGTGTCCATTGATGAAAGAGTGGATAAACAAAATGTGGTACCGTATGTATGTGTGCATATGTATGTGTGTGTGTGGTGTGTGTGTATCTACATACACACACAAAAATGGAATATTATCCAGCCTTAAAAAGGAAAGAAATTCTGACACATGCTACAATATGGATAAATCTTGAGGACATTAAGCTAAGTGAAATAAACCAAACACAAAAAGACAAATACTATATGATTCCACTTACATGAAGTCTCTAGAATAGCAAAATTCATAAAAACAGAAAGTAGAATGGTGGTTGTCAGGAGCTGGGGGAATGGAAGTGTCATTCCTTAATGAGTACTGAGTTTCAGTTTTGCAAGATGAAAGGACTTCCGGAGGTGGATGGTGGTAATGGTTGCACAGCAATATGAATATACTTAATATCGCTGTACTTAATATGCTAAATGGACTTCATATACCAAATTATTTAATTACTTAATTAGGTGAGTAATTAAATTAATGTACTTAATATACTAAAATGGTTAAGATGGTAAATTTTATGTTATGTATATTTTACTGCAATAAAAAAATTGAAAAAAAAACACACCAAACTACGCTGCTTGAAAAAATACAAAAACATGGATGTGAAAGATAACTTATCAATTTCTGGACATTGGCTGCCTCTGGGGAGACAGAAAGGGGAATGAGCTGGGGCCAGAGCAGGATATCAAGGGGCTTCTGATGGCCGGGCACAGTGGCTCACAACTGTAATTAATCCCAGCACTTTGGGAGGCCAAGGCAGGAGGATCACTTGAGCCCGGGAGTTGGAGACCAGCCTGGGCAACATAGTGAGACGCTGTCTTTACCAAAAATAAATAATAATAAAAAAATTAGCCAAGCGTGGTGGCACATGCCTGTAGTCCCAGCTACTCAGGAGGCTAAGGCAGAAGGGTCACTTGAGCCCAGGAGACTGACGCTGTAGTGAACTGTGATTGCACCACTGCACTCCAGCCTGGGCAACAGGGCGAGACCCTGTCTCAAAAAAAAAGAGGGGGGGTTACTGCAGCTATAATTGTGCCTTCTTTAAAGAATAAAAAGTCCTGGGGAAAAACACTCTCCATCACCCAGGCTCATTGTGCCAGAAATAATCCCCAAAACTTCCCTTGCAGCCTTTCCACTCAATCCTCTCCCCAACCCCAGCAACCACACCTCTGATTTCCATCACCAGATGTGAGTTTTGCCAGTTCTTGACATTTATTTAAATGGAATCATGGATTTTCTTTCAGCCCTTCTTGGTCTCTCCCCAGAAGACACCTCCTCTGGGACACCTAGTCTCTCTAAGAGACCTGTAAGAGGCGGAGCCACGGTCAAGGGCCACACACCATCGTGTTCTTGGGCTCTGTGGAAGTCAAGGGATGCTGCCTCTCAAAGGAGGCTGCTCCTCCCAGGGCTTGGAGCAAACACCCAGAGAACATGGACCAACCCCTCACACGCTTAACAGATCTCCTCTGTTACTGACCAAGATAGCTATGTCAGTAGGACAATCCGTGGGGAAAAGACTTCACTCACAATATAGATAGATGACAGTTTCTTTTTTTTTTCTTTTTCTTTTTTTTTTTTTGAGACGGAGTCTCACACTGTCGGCTGGAGTGCAATGGCATGATCTCGGCTCACTGCAGCCTCCGCCTCCCAGGTTCACACGATTCTCCTGCCTCAGCCTCCCAAGTAGCTTGGATTACAGGCACACACCAGCACACCCAGCTAATTTTTTGTATTTTTAGTAGAGACAAGGTTTCACAACGTTGGCCAGACTGGCCTCAAACTCCTGACCTCATGATCCACCCGCCTCAGCCTCCCAAAGTGCTGGGATTACAGGCATGAGCCACCACACCAGGCCAGATGACAGGTGCTTAATGTAAGCACTACTGACATCTGACACTAATAATTTTTGTGTGTAGGGGCTGCCCTGGGCATTGTACAATGTACAGCAGCATCCCTGGCCTCTACCCAACAGATGCCAATAGCTAGTTTCCAGTTGTGACAACTAAAAATATGCCCAGAGATTGTCAAATGTCTCCTGGGAGATGATCCCAGTTGACAGATGATAGATTGATAAATGATTGATTGATTGATTAATTTTTTTAACCTACAAATAAAATGTTTAAGATATATGCAGGGCCAGGTGTGATGGCTCATGCCTGTAATCCCAGCACTTTGGGAGGCCGAGGCAGGCAGATCACCTAAGGTCAGGAGTTTGAGACCAGCCTGGCCAACGTGGTGAAACCTCATTTCTACTAAAAATACAAAAAACTAGCAGGGCGTGGTGACGGGCACCTGTAGTTGCAGCTACTCAGGAGGCTGAGGCAGAAAAATCGCTTGAACCTGGGAGGAGGAGGTTGCAGTGAGCCGAGATCGCGCCATTGCACTCCACCCTGGGAGACAAGTGAAACTCCATCTCAAAAAAAAAAAAAAGATATATGCAGAAGTATTTGAAGTAGTGACAAAACTTTGTGGAGAATATAAAAAAAGATCTGCACAGTTAGAGAACATACCATATTCAAGGAAAAGAAAACAATATTTCAAATGGATTATTTCTGCTTAAAGTCATATGAAAGTTTAATGGAATTGCAATTCAAACCTGGCTAGGGCCGGACGCAGTGGCTCATGCCTGTAATCCCAGCACTTTGGGAGGCTGAGGCGGGTGGATCACCTGAAGTCAGGAGTTCGAGACCAGCCTGGCCAACATAGTGAAACCCCCATCTCTATTAAAAATACAAAAATTAGGTGGCGGGCACCTGTAATCCCAGCTACTTGGGAGGATGAGGCAGGAGAATCACTTGAACCTGGGGACGGAGGTTGCAGTGAGTTGAGAGCTGGACATTGCACTCCAGCCTGGGTGACAAGAGCGAGACTCCAACTAAAAAAAAAAAAAAAAAAAAAAAAAAAAAAGGCCAGGCGCAGTGGTTCACACCTGTAATCCCAGCACTTTGGGAAGCCAAGGTGGGCAGATCTCTGAGGTCAGGAGTTCGAGATCAACCTGACCAACATGGAGAAACCCCATCTCTACTAAAAATACAAAATCAGCCGGGTGTGGTGGTGCATGCCTGTAATCCCAGCTACTCAGGAGGCTGAAGCGGGAGAATCACTTGAACTTGGGAGGCGGAGGTTGCAGTGAGCCGAGATCACACCATTGCACTCCAGCCTGTGCAACAAGAGCAAAATTCCATCTTGAAAAAAAAAGCAAAAAACGCCCTGGCTACAAAGTTTCTACAAGTTAAAAATATTAGTCTAAAGTTTGAATGGAAAATAAAAGAGGTTAAATAATAAAGAAAATTTTCAAAAATATAAATAATGGATTTCATCTACCAGATATAAAATGGGTTGTAAAATTATAATAATTAAAGCAGTGTCAAAGAATAGACATAGCTATGAAAGAATAAGCCTGAAAACCATCCCGAGTCTACACAGGAATTTAGTATTGATTAAAGTGGCACTTAAATTAATGGAGAATTTCAGCCAGGCACGGTGGCTTATGCCTGTAATCCCAGCACTTTGGGAGACCGAGGAAAGCAGATCACTTGAGGTCAGGAGTTCAAGACCAGCCTGGCCAAAATGGTGAAACCCTGTCTCTACTAAAAATACAAAAATTAGCCGAGTATGGTAGCACGCACCTGTAGTCCAGCTACTCTGGAAGCTGAGGCAGGAGAATCGCTTGAACTCGGGAGGCAGAGGTGGCAGTGAGCCAAGATCGTGCCACTGCACTCCAGCATGGGCAACAAAGGGAGACTCCATCTAAAATAATTAATTAATTAGGCCGGGTGTAGTGGCTCACGCCTGTAATCCCAGCACTTTGGGAGGCCGAGGCGGCCAGATCACAAGGTCAGGAGATCGAGACCATCCTGGCTAACACGGTGAAACCCTGTCTCTAGTAAAAATACAAAAAATTAGCTGGGTGCCGTGGGGGCGCCTGTAGTCCCAGCTACTCAGGAGGCTGAGGCAGGAGAATGGTGTGAACCTGGGAGGCGGAGCTTGCAGTGAGCCAAGATTGCGCCACTGCAGTCCTGCCTGGGCGAAAGAGCAAGGCTCAATCTCAAAAAAAATAATAATAATAATAATTAATTAATTACTGGGGAATTTTCTGGGGTGCTCAATAAATAATGCAGGAACAATTCGTTAACAATTTGGGGCAGGAAAAAGTTCAGCGTTTCATACCATATATCAAAATAAATTTCAACCGGGCGTGGTGACTCACGCCTCTAATCCCAGCACTTTGGGAGGCCAAGGCGGGCAGATCACTTGAGGCCAGGAGTCTGAGACCAGCCTGGCCAACCTGGCAAAACCCCATCTCTACAAAAAGTACAAAAAATTAGCTGGGCATAGTGGCGCACACATGTAGTCTCAGCTAAGTGGGAGGCTGAGGCAGGAGAATCGCTTGAACCCAGGAGGCAGAGGTTGCAGTGAGCTGAGATCATGCCACTGCACTCCAGCCTGGGTGACAGAGCAAGACTCTGTCTCAAAAATAATAATAATAAAATAAAATAAAATAAATTTCAAATCAATCAAAGAGCTATTATTTTAATGAAGCCATGAAAAACTAGGATAAAATATAGATTAATATTTTTTCTGATATCAAGAGAAGTATGACTTTTCAAGCAAGAGGAGAAAAAGACAAAAGGAAAGACTCAAAAAAGAAAAACTGATATATTGACTATAGTCATCTGCCTACCTTCTGTGTATCAGGAAGCACCACAAACAAAATTAAAATTCAAAAAATACTATTTGTCATATAATGAAGAACATAAGATCTAAAATTTCTTCTCCATCAATATGAAGAGGACAACACCCTACTCCCGTTTTTTAAATGGACAAAAGACACGACCTTGCAATCCACAGGAGTTAAAATAGGAATGACCAAAAGGCATTATGAAGTTAATCATGGCTGCTCTGCCTACAGAGTAGCCATTTTCTTTTCTTTTTTTTTTTTTTTTTTTAAACGGAGTCTCGCTCTGTCACCAGGCTGGAGTGCAATGGCAAGATCTTGGCTCACTGCAACCTCCACCTCCTGGGCTCAAGCGATTCTCCTGCCTCAGCCTCCCGAGTAGCTGGGACTACAAGCGTGCGCCACCATGCCCAGCTAATTTTTGTATTTTTAGTGGAGACGGGGTTTCATCATGTTGGCCAGGATGGTCTTGATCTCTTGACCTCATGATCTGCCCACCTCAGCCTCCCAAAGTGCTGGGATTACAGATGTGAACCACTGCACCCTGCCTCCTTTACTTTCTTAATAAACTTGCTTTCGTTTTCCTCTGTGGACTCACCCTGAATTCTTTCTTGCACCAGATCCAGGAACCCTCCTTTGGAGTCTAGATCAGAATCCCTTTCCAGTAACCTCTTCCTAGCAAACCTCAAAGGGACAATACTGGAGAGAACCCTGACCCAAAGGAAATAGACTGCAGCACCAATTGGTCGACTTTGGATATCACCTTTTGTTGAAATTTTGGAGTTATGAATGGCCCTCAGCATACCAATGCTGTCTGACTGAGCGCCTCTCTACCCTGGAGACGAGAGACCCTAATAGTTAAGCAGGAATATCGTGGCCCCTATTCAGCCTAAAGAAGCTGCAGAAGATGTACCTTCGTCCCTCTGCAACCCTTAGGATTAAGAATCCCCTTGCAATGGCTGAGCGCAGTGGCTCACACCTGTAATCCCAGCACTTTGGGAGGCCAAGGCAGGTGGGACACCTGAGGTGGGGAGTTCAAGACCAGCCTGACCAACATAGAGAAACCCCGTCTCTACTAAAAATACAAAATCAGCTGGGCGTGGTGGCGCATGCCTGTAATCCCAGCTACTCGGGAGGCTGAGGCAGGAGAATCACTTGAACCTGGGAGGTGGAGGTTGCAGTGAGGTGAGATCGGGCCATTGCGCTCCAGCCGGGGCAACAAGAGTGAAACTCTGTCTCAAAAAAAAAAAAAAAAAAAAAAAATCGCCTTGTAAAATGGAGGGGGTTCCAACCAGAGCGACTCCATCTTGAATAGGAGCTGGGTAAAATGAGGCTGAGACCTGCTGGGCCGCATTCCCAGGAGGTTAGACATTCTTAGTCACAGGATGAGATAGGAGGTTGGCACAAGATACAGGCCACAAAGAGCGGCTGATAAACAGGATGTGGTAAAGAACTAGCTGAAACCCACCAAAAGCAAGAGGGGGATGAAAGTGGCCTCTGGTCATCCTCACTGCTCATTATATGCAAATTATAATATATTAGCATGCTAAAAGACACTCCCACCAACACCATGACAGTTTACAAATGCCATGGCAACATCCAAAAGTTACCCTATATGGTCTAAAAAGAGGAGTAATCCTCGGTTCCAGGAATTGCCTGCCCCTTTCCCGGAAAACTCATGAATAATTCACCTCTTATTTAGCATATGATCAAGAAATAACCATAAAAATAACCAACCAGCAGCCCTCGAGGCTACCCTGCCTATGGAGTAGCCATTCCTTTATTCTTTTACTTTCTTAATAAACTTGATTTCGCTTTAAAAAAAAAAAAAAAGAAGAAGAAGTAGTTAATTGCTACCAGGTACAGTGGCTCATGCCTGTAATCCCAGCAGTATGGGAGGCAGAAACAGGAGGATCCCTTGAGGCCAGGGGTTTGAGACCAGCCTGGCCAATATGGCAGAACCCCATTTTTTACAGAAAAAAAAAAATAGCTGGGTGTGGTGGTGCACGCTTGTAGTCCCAGCTACTCGGGAGACAGGATGCAGGGACCTGGGTTGCAGTGACCACAGTACTTCAACTTGGGTGACAGAGCAAAGTTAATACCATTGGAAATCTACATTACACAGATTAAAATATTGAGATACCATCATTCACCTATCAAATTGGCATTTAAATTAATCTCCAGCATTTGAGAAGGGGCCCCGTGAGGAAAGACCATCCAGAGAGGCCTTTGGGTAGCAACACTTAAGAGCATGGGCTTTGCAATAAGCCTGACTCAGTTAAAAAAAAACCAGCCCCACCACCTGTTAGCTTTGTGGCCCACAGAATGTTATTTCACATCTTTGAGCCTCAGTTCAGATGCCTCTGAAAGTGGCAGTAACTGCAAGGGTAACCAAGATGCTGCATGTAACCACTTAGCAGAACACCTCGTGTAAGTCAGGGCTCAGTAGACTCAGCAACTGTCACTCTTGCCAACGAACATGTGTGCATGGAATGGTGTATTAGTCTGTTTTCACACTGTATAAAGAAATACCCAAAACTGGGTAATTTATAAAGGTAAGAGGTTTAACTGACTCACAGTTTCCCATGGCTGGGGAGGCCTCAGGAAACTTACAATCATGGCAGAAGGGGAAGCAAGCACCTTCTTCACATGGCGGCAGGAGAGAGAATGCTTCAAAGGGGGAACTTCCAAGCACTTTTAAAACCATCAGCTCTCGCGAGAACTCCCTCCTATCACTGGAACAGCATGGGGGAAGCCATCCCTGTGATCCAATCACTTCCTACAGGTCCCTCCCTCAACATGTGGGGATCATGGGGATTACAATTCGAGATGAGATTTGGGTGGTGACACAGAGCCAAACCATATCACATGGTGATACTTTGAAAGTCCTTTTAACACATGTTCTCAAGTGGATGTCCCTGCAGGCCAGGGTCCTATCAGAAAGGGCTGAAGGAGGTCATGTGGTTAAAGTTCTTAGCTGTGCCTGACATCCAGTAAGTGTGCAATACCTTCTAGCAATTACAGGCAAATTGGAACAGGTAATGGAGGCTCAGAGAGATGATGGGATGAGGCCAAAGTTGCATTGGTAAATGGTGAAGCATGGCTTTGATCCACATTTGCCTAGTTCTAAATCTCTTTCCCCCATAACGTGTTTAGGATCCTGGCAAGGTCTTAGGTTCTTCTGAGAAGTGGATCCAGCTCCCAGTCTTGAAATGAAGTCAGCAATACAACCAGTGCTGGATCATGTGCAAAGGCTGGGGAGTTAACCTTCCTGGGTTCAAATCCTGGCTCTACCACTTTCCAGCTGTGTGTCCTTGGCAAGCTACCCAACCTCACTGAGTCTCAGTTTCCCCATCTGTAATACGAGGATGATATTAATATTACCTAACAGAGCTCTTGTAAGGATTAACTGAGATGATCAATGTAAAAGGCTAAGCACAATGCTTCAAAACATTAAATAAATGTCGTTGTTGTTTTATCACCACATTAATTTAGGCACCAGTGTCACTTTGCCATGCCCCCTTCCTTCAATATGTTGGTGCAAGTTCCTTAAGCCTAACTGCTCGGGCAAGCCTTCTGCATTGCACAGCTCCAAGGGCACTGTTCATATCTATTCCATTTGAATGGTGTCCTATGGACTTGTGCAGTGCACAACCTATACTCCTGTACATAGCATACTCAGAGCAAACTATGGGGCTACATAGAGGATCTGGATGTCAGAGTCTCTAGTGGGAAAGCATGAGCACCATGAGGTCAACAGAAGTGTCCCGGTTCTGGTGTCCTCCATCTTAAAGCTAGAGTCCAAGCTACTCCCAAAAGTCTGGGGGATATGCCTCACTGCCAGAAGGAGGAGACAGTGAGAAATGGTAGGTGCCCTCAATACAGGAATGCAGCTTGGGAAGCTGGACTGCTGGGTAGAGAAACAGGACTTGGGCAAGCAGTGGTCTCTGGTGTAATTCAGGATCTCCGAGTAGATGCAACTCAGAGTCAAGGGAGAGGATCTATGTATTCTGGTCATGGAAGACAACACATCAGATACTAGTTGCTGCTTCAGAGCATATACTACTATGTCCTGCACAAGAGTAGCCCAGCATTAAAGGTGGCAGAGCTGAGTCTTCAGTGGGCCACTTCATCCTTCTACTAAGCTAGCCACTTCATGTCTGCATGGTAAAAATAGCAAATTCCGTGAGCACAAGCCCATTTCCTCACTGCACTTGCTGTGGCCCAAGGGAACACTGTGGCTATGAAGACACATTTCACAAGTTCATGGATGGTGATGCTGCCAGGCCATAATGGAAATGAAAATCCAGGACATGTGTCTATTCTGGTAAGAACAAATTGTTTCCCCTCCATAGCAAATGGGGACCTATTAATCAACCAGCCACCAGATCCCCTCAGTGTGCTATGGCACCTCATTGAGGACTTGGTGAAGACATCTGCTGCTGGAACATCCAGCACTGAGCAGAGGGGACAGCCCAGGAAGTCTTAGTGTCGGATACATGCATACTGCTGTGGCAACATGGTGGTAAGTCTCTTGAACAATGGGCTGACCAGGGAATGAGGAGGATGGACACCCATGGGGCAAGTTATGTTGTCTACCAAGTACCTACATGGTAGACACTTAATTAACATTTACTGAATGAATATATTAACCTGATCATTGAGAGGCATAGGGGCAGGACCTGGACTAGAGTGAAATGAGTCAAGCACTTGCCTTGAGCAAAAAATTTAAAGGAAGGTGCTCAAAATCTCAGTCATCAAGATAAACAATATTTTGCCAAAATAATTTTTAAAATAAAAATTAATGCCAAGATGACTAAAATCTCAAAATAGTACATTGAAGCAGGATGTGATGGGGCCAAGACAAGAGTGAGATGAGTGTGGCCAAGTTACACAAGCGCAGGGTTGGATCCCACCTTAAAGTTTGGATATTTTGTTTACAACGAATTTTTTGCATTGTTTTTTAAAGCATTGCTTAAAATAGTAATATTAAGGAAAATCTTGTAAAATAGTAAAATCTTGGTGGCTAAAGCTTATTGGCTAACCCCTTTAATTTCGTGCCCCAGGCAAGCGTCTCACTTGCCTTATCCTGGTCACTGCCTAGCACCATCTGCTAGGATTCTTAAGATTTTCCAGACTACAAACAGCATGCTGATCTGCCACCAGGCCTGCCAAGTGGTGGGGTCACTTGTACAGCTGTTGGACCAGCTATAGGACCTCTTTTTGCCTGCAGCTCCACTCAAAGCTGATAACCTTTTAGACAGGGTGGGCACTGGTTGAAATAAGGCCACCCAGATGTGAAGAGATGCATTAGGTATTAGTACCTTCTGCCTCACAAGGGAAATCCCAAGAGGTCCCACACTTATAGACCCCAGGAGCTTCCCCAAAGTGACTGACCTGTGAGGGGTTTTTGTTTCTTTGTTTGTTTGGTTGGTTGTTTTTTAAGAGTTTTTTTTTTTAGAACACGTTTTAAGTTTACAGAACAAGTGAACAGAAAGTACAGAGAACTTCCATATATTCCCTCTCCTTCTCCCATGAACCCTGCAAACAGTTGACCTATTATTAATATATTGCATTAGTGTAGTACATTTGTTGTACTTGATGAATGAATACTAATATATTATTAATAACTAAAGCCTACAGTTTAGAGTTCACTCTCTGTGTGGCACATTCTATGTGCTTTGGCAAATGTCATGTACCTGCCATTACAGCATCATACAAAATAGTTTCACTGCCCTAAAAATGCCCCTGCTCCACCTATTCATCCCTCCTTGCCTCCTTCCAAACCCCTGGCAACCACTGATCTTTTTACTCCCCCCATAGTTTTGCCTTTTCCAGAATGTCATATCATTGGAATCACAGACTATGTAGCCTTTTCAGAATGGTTTCTTTCACTTAGCAATATGCCTTTAAGATTCTTCCATGTCATTTTGTGGCTTGATAGCTTAAAAAAAAAAAATCACTGAGTGATGCTCCATCATGGGGATATACCACAGGCTGTTTATCCATTCACCTACTGAAGGACATCTTGGTTGCTTTCCAGTTTTGGCAATTATGAATAAAGCTGCGGTAAACATCCACGCATAGGATTTTGTCTGGACCTAACTTTTCAACTCATTTGAGCAAATATTAAGGAGCGTGATTGGCCATGAGTTTTTGGTGACCAGGACCTCCTGGACATGGGCCCTTTATTAACTTCCAGCATCCACAGGCATGACTTCTTCAAGGGAGTTGACCGGTAAGATATTTTATGAAATGGAGAGACCATCAGAGTCTCTCACACCCAGACACTGGATTGTCCTTGAAGCAGGAAGGCAAAGGTGTACCGCTGCCCCTATCAGGAGAAGGCAAATGATTTCTAGAGGTCCAGTTTAACGGAAACAGAGAAAGCAAACTTTCCCCACCCCCGGTAATGCCCCCACCCTAGAAAGAAATTGTGTCAGAGAACAAAGAAGGGAGAAAAGGGTTGTATTTTCCAATTTAGCACAAATCTCTTCTCCCCAGATGTAGCAGGGTCCAACTCTTGCCTTTGTGTTTGTTCTCTAAATGAGAAAGAGCTTTTACCTGCAATGATTACTTGCCACAAGGAGATCATAATTAACAGAGAAAACACATATTTCCAAGGAGTCAGAAAACTGTTTTCTAACAACAAATGAAAATATAATTAACGTTCCACAGTTCTTTTCTCTGGAGAGATTTTTTTTCTTACTTTCTACAGATTTAAAGGAAAAAAATATACTAGGAGTATGTTATGGGTTGTTCCCAAAAAAGATAGGTTGAAGTCCTAACCCCAGTAACTGAGAATGTAACCTTATTTGGGAATAGGGCCATTGCAGATATAATTAGTCAAGATGAGGTCATACCAGAGTAAGGTAGGCTCTTAATCCAATATGACCAGTGTCCTTATAAGAAGAGAAGAGACACAGACACCCAAGAGGAGGATGCCATGTGACCACAGAGGCAGAGACTAGAGTGACACAGCTGCAAGCCAAGGAATGGCAAGGATTGCTGGCCAATGCCAAAAGCCAGGAAGAGGCAAGGAAAGGTCCTTCCCAGAGTCTCAGAGGAGCATGGTCCTGCGGACTTCAGACTTCGAGTCTTCAGAACTGTGACAGAATACGAAGCTGTTGTTTTTTCTTTATTTTTATTTTTTATTTATTTATTTTTGAGATGGAGTCTCGCTCTGTCGCCCAGGCTGGAGTGCAGTGGTGCAATCTCAGCTCACTGCAAGCTCTGCCTCCCGGGTTCACGCCATTCTCCTGCCTCAGCCTCCCAAGTAGCTGGGACTACAGGCACCCGCCACCACGCCTGGCTAATTTTTTGTATTTTGTTTAGTAGAGACGTGGTTTCACCGTGTTAGCCAGGATGGTCTCGATCTCCTGACCTCGTGATCCACCCGCCTCAGCCTCCCAAAGTGCTGGGATTACAGGCGTGAGCCACCGCGCCTGGCCGAGGCTGTTGTTTTAAGCCACCCCGCTTGTGGCACTTTGTTACCGCAGCCCTAGCAAATTAATACAGAGCAGAATCACCTGATGCTTCACTTTGCAGATGAATGCCTGAGGCCCTGGCAGGTGCATTGATTTACCTGAGATCCCAAGCAAGTGGGAAGCAGAGATGAGACTCGAATCAAGGTCCACTTGACCTGAAGACTAGTGTTCATTTCACAACATGACTCACTCTCCTGTGTGTGGCACCCTTGCCTGGGGCAGCCAGGTTCCAATCTGGACATGCACTACATTGGGTTCAGCACCTGGGTAACAGGTGAACACAGGCCTGGTGTACTCGAATGTAGAAGGCTTTAGAAACCAAGGTAGAAAAAAATGTATGTGATGAGTGAGGAAGGAAGGATAAAAGAAGAAAAGTGATTAATATTGACTGAGCTCCGTGCCAGGTGTTTTATACATATTGTCTCATTTACCTCCCACAATAACCCTTGGGTATAGGTATAATTATTCTCATTTTTCAGATTAAAAACTGATTATCAGAGAAGCTAAATAACTTGCCTAAAACCATATGGCTAGCTGGTGGGGAGATTCAGACCCAAGTCTATAGGACTCCAAACTCCAAACTCCATGTACTGTTTCTGAGTAGTTTCATCTCTTCCCGTGGTGTTTTTTGTTTGTTTGTTTGCTTGTTTGCTTGCTTGGAGACAGGGTCTGGCTCTGTCACCCAGGCTGGAGTGCAGTGGCACAATCACAACTCACTGCAGCCTCAATGTCCTGGGCTCAAGCCATCCTCCCACCTCAGCTTCCCAAGTAGCTGTGACCACAGGCGTGCACCACCAACCAGCTAATTTTTGTATTTTTAGTAGAGACGGGGTTTTGCCATGTTGCCCAGGCTGATCTCAAACTCCTGGCCTCAAGTGATCTACCTGCCTTGGCCTCCCAAAGTGCTGAGATTACAAGCATGAGCCACGGTGCCTGGCCTCTTCCCATGGTTTTATTGGTCATCTTTAGGTTAGTGGCTCCTAAATTTTTATCTGTAGCCCCACGTCTCGTCTCCCTGTTCAATATCTTCATTTTAACATCTCACATGTCCAAATTCAGCATGTCCAAAATTTAATTCATCACCTTCCACCAAAAAACTGGCTATCCAACCACCAAGATGCCCAAACTAGAAACCTTGGAAGCATCCTCGACTCCTCTGCTGCCTCACGCCCACTCCCTTCCCCCAGCCCTAGCACACAAACCCGACAATTCACCAAGTCTATTCATCCATCCTCTTTCCACATCCACTGCTTCTGCCCTGGTCTGAGCTGCCATCATCCTACTCCTGGGGAGCTGTAATCTTCTGACTGGTCTCTCTGCCTTCACTCTACTTTCCCTTCCACAGTCTAGTGTCTCTTCTGCAGTCTAGTTTCCCTTGTGCAGTAGTGAGAGTGATTTCTTGAAGCACCACAAATCTTATCACATTATTGGCCTGATGAAAACCCTTCAGCGGTTTGGGAAGCCGAGGTGGGCGGATCACGAGGTCAGGAGATCGAGACCACGGGGAAACCCCGTCTCTACTAAAAATACAAAAAAATTGGCCGGGCGCGGTGGCGGACGCCTGTAGTCCCAGCTACTCAGGAGGCTGAGGCAGGAGAATGGCATGAACCCAGGAGTCGGAGCTTGCAGTGAGCCAAGATCGTACCACTGCACTCCAGGATGGGTGACAGAGCGAGACTCTGTCAAAAAAAAAAAAAAAAACCCTTCAGCTGTCATTGTAAATTCTCATGTGCTATTCACTGTTATAAGCCCTTTACATATAGCAACTCATTTAATCCTAAAAACCACCCTATGACATAGGCACTAGTTTGTTCTTCTGTTACCGATGAGAAGATCAAGATGCTGAAAGGTTCAGCCACCCATCCAGGGTCTCACAGCTAGTGAGTGGCAGAGTTCACGCTCTTATGAGTTACACTAAGCATTCTTCTCAAGGATGCCATCTGCTCTGAAGATAAAAGTCCAAAATCCTTATAATGCATGCAAGGGCCTGCAGGGTTGCACCCCTGCCTCCATCTCTCTATCCCATCTCCTCTCTCTCTTTCATTCTTCTCAAGTCCACAGCAAGGACTGAGAGTTTTTTCTTGTTTTTTTTTTTTGAGACTGAGTCTCACTCTGTTGCCAGGCTGGAGTGCAATAGCATGATCTTGGCTCACTGCAACCTCTGCCTCCTGGGTTCAAGTGCTCCTTCTGCCTCAGCCTCCAGAGTAGCTGGGACTACAGGCGCGCACCACCACACCCAGGTAATTTTTGTATTTTTGGTAGAGACGGGGTTTTACCATGTTGGCCAGGCTGGTCTCAAACTCCTGACCTCAAGTGATCCTCCCGCCTTAGCCTCCCAAAGTGCTGGGATTATAGGTGTGGACAAATGGGCCCGGCCAGGACTGGAATTTTTTAAAACATCCTCAGAGTCTCAGAGCTTCTTCCTGCCTCAGGACCTTTGCATGGGCTCTTCCCTCTGCCTAGAACATGGCTGTCGCCCATTTTTCAATGTTGCTTCCTCAGAAAAGCTTTCCGTAAGCCCCAGACCAGGTCAGCTTCCCTGTGTTATGCTGTTATTGTCACCTGTACTTTTTCTTTGTAATACTTATGACAATTGTAATAAACTATGTGTATTATTTTATGGCCAATGTCTGCTTTCCCCCACAGACAGCAAGCTCCAGGAATGCAGGAAGCTTTGTTTCCCTAGGACATTGCCTGGAAAACTGATGTTCAATACAGTGATGGGTTGAAAGAACAAACAAAATAAAGAACAGAGAATAAACGAATGAAGATATTGTGCTACTCTTCAGCTGTCTGTCCAGCCAAGAGGCACATTTCCTGGTGTAATACCTTTTTTCTAAGGAGAACATCTCACACTTTAAGTGTATACACAAATCACTTGGGAATCTTGTTAAAATTTCGGATTGGATTCAGTAGCCTCAGGTGGGACCTGAGAGCCTGCATTTTGGACAAGCTCCAGGTGATGATGGTGATGCTGGTCCTGGAGCCTTACTCAAAGCAGCAAGTATTTAAACCATCTCTCACCTCGGTCTCTCTTTCATGAATGTGTCTTTCAAGTTTCTTCCCCTACCTGCTGATGGCACCCAGTTATTAAAAGAGGGCTTTCTGTGAACTTTTGCAGTGAGTGAAGAGTGCCTCCTCCTTGCTGCTGAATTCCTCCCACAGTCCCCCAGGGCAGGGAAGGAAACAGTCCCTCCTCTCCCTTTATCCTGTCTTATTGAGGTTCTCCTTGTAGTAGCTGTTGCTTCCCAACCCATACACCCTGTCTTGTTCCACTTTCTGTTGCTATAACTTAATATCTGGGACTGGGTAATTTATTAAGAAAAAACATGTATTTCTTACAGTTCTGAAGGCTGGGAAATCCAAGGCTGAGGGGCTGCATCTGGTGGGGCCCTTCTTGCTGTGTCATAATGTGGTGAAAGCATCACATGATGAGAGCCAGGGAGTGTGCCAGCTCAGGTTTCCTCTTCCCGTAAAGCCACCAGTTCCATTATGGGTGCCCCAGCCTGATGACCTTATCTCATCTTAATTATCTCTCAAAGGCCCCACCTCCAATCAACATATGGATTTGGGAATTTGGTTTCCGCAACATGAAATTTAGGGGGCACATTCAAACCATAACACCCCTTTTATCAGACTAGTACCCCAGCCCCTGGGTCTTGTGAGTCCTGAAGGCTCACCCTGTTCCCTTTCCCAGAGACTTGACTTTGGCAGATCTGCCCCCTCTTGGAAGCTACTCTCTTCTCACTCCCATCCCCACCAGTGGCAACCAGTAGCTAGTGACTGACGTGGAAGTACAAATGCCAGTCCCCTGGCCTCAAGTAGGGGCCAATCTGTGGTACAATTCACACTCCAGAGCTTCCTGTGGATCAGGTTAAAGCTGATCTCCAGCTTCAGGTCCTTCCCCTACCATGTCCAGCTCCCTTCACTCCCCATCTGCAATAATTTACTCTCTGCAAAAATTCTGCAAGAATCTCCATCTAGGAAAGCTGACTTAAGACATCCTCTCCATCAGATCCTCTTTCTCCTCCCTAAGGAGTTCTCTACTCTCTTCTTTCTTCCCAGCCATAATGGCAGATGCAGAATGCCAGAAACTAGAAACCAGTGTGCAAATAATGGAACATACCTTGGGAAGTACAACTAAAATATCACAAAGAAGAAACTCTAGCACCTTGAGCACCATGCTGCCATCCACACTCTCAGCTGCAACCCTAGCATGGCCCTGGGGTTCTGTCTCTTACAGGGAGGCCACCCACCAAGCCAGGGAGGAATTGTAGCATGGTTTCCTCGCACGCTGAATCTAAGTTACCAGCAGATGCTTTGTCCGTGAGCCTCACCTGGCCTGGCCCTGGCCTTCCCAAAGCAAAGCCCTTCCCTTGTTACCATGGTGGCCATGTGCAGGAATGGAAATACAATGGGAACAGACAGGAATCTGGAGAAAAGAGAGACATCATCTTCCACGCATTCCTGGCACCTCTTTCTTTGGCCCATTAGGAAACCCACACCCTCTTCCCCCAGCCTATCAGCTGCCCACATTCTGGGACCCAGGATCTTCAGAAGTGCTTTTGATCCCTGCTATGTGTATGCATATGTGTATGCGTATGTGTATGTGTATGCGTGTGTGTATGCGTATGCGTATGTGTATGTGTAGACATATGGCTGGAGGCAGTGAGGGAAGCGAATGTGCCCACAGGCCCAGGGGCAGTGGAGGAAAGGGGGAAGAATGGTGAAAGGAGAGGGTTAAGGAGCTGGCAGCCACACAAACACCTTCCACATTGCACTCCTTGCCATTTCTTTTCTGTGAATTTAAATGCATTCTGTCACACTGAGTTATGTCACCCAGAGGAAATGCCCAACTCGGCGACGTTTTTAAAGATTATTTTTTAGATCACCTATCACTATCCATTTGAGGAACGATTGTTCAATCTGAAAAAAATAAATTCAAAACTGTCCCCATCTAAGCAAGATGGAAAAATAACTTTCCCTATTCTTTTATTTTCTTTCTTTTTATTTTTTTAAGAAGGTTTATTTCTGAAGGACAGGTTTGAAAATCAGTTTTCACCTTGGCATCTGGCTGGATTTAAGCACCTCTGTAAACCTTGTCATACGAGTAAACAAATGAATGGACAGCCAGCTGTGTGACCTCAGGCCATTCATTTCACCTCTCTGAGCCTTAATCTCCTCAATTGTTACACTGAGATAACAATACCGACCATGACCATCAAATGAGATGATGTCCAGGACAGTCCTTGAGTGTGTAAGGTGTCTGTTCCACTAAAGTGTCAATTCCTCAAGGGCAGGGAGCAGGCTCCGGCCAATTCTGCCCTCCCAGTGGAGCTTGTATAGGGCCTGGCTCACAAGAAGTGCTTAATACATGTCAGATGAATGAATGGTTCAACGGATGATGGTTTGGTGGTTGGATGTCTGGACATCCAGAGAAAGGGATGCATGATACAGGGATGGATGGATGAAACAGTAGGCTGAAAAATAGTTTTCAAAATAGCAAACAAATAATCCCAAAAAAAGCCTTTATTTGTAGTGTTCTCCAATTTCCATGGCGTAAACGTTCCCACCATGGCTGATGTCAAGCCACCAAGTGACATCATTAAATGCAGAGTCAGAAACAGACAGGCACAATCAGCTCTTAAGAGACTGTAGAAGCCACCTCCCACACCCAACAGATGGGTGGGTGGGTGGATGGATGGATGGAAGGAAAGAAGGAAGGAAGGAAGGAAAAAAGGAAGGAAGGAAGGAAGAAGGAAGGAAATGAGGGAGGGAGGGAGTCAGGAAGGGAGGAAGGGAGGGACGGAGGGAGGGAGAGATAAGACAGGAAAGGTGGGGAAGAGGAAAGAGGAAGAGAATAGAGCCAGAATAGATGTTTACCATAGAAAAGAAAAGAAAAATAATCAGGGACCAAAGGGAGTGCCAGGAAGAGAAAAACTCAAAGTGGTAGGAAACCTCGGTTCCCCAGCCCTCATCATGGACCACGTCTGAGTCCACCCATCTCCTGGAGTAAATTATTTCTTCTTAAGAACTGATTGGAGAGGGAGCTACTTAGTCCAGCACAATGCTCCTCAATTATTTTTAAGAATTAGAGGCCAGGTGTGGTGGCTCATGCCTGTAATACCAGCATTTAGTGAGGCTGAGGCGAAGGATTGCTTGAGCTCAGAAGTTCAAGACTAGCCTAGGCAATATAGCAAGACCCTGTCTCTACAAAAAAAGAAAAATTAATTAGCTGAGCTTGGTGGTGTGCACTTGTGGTCCTAGCTACTTGGGAGACTGAGGTGGGAGGATCGCTTGAGCCCAGGAGGTTGAGGCTGCAGTGAGCTGTGATTGTGTCACTGCACTCCAGCCTGAGTGACATAGTGAGATCCTGTCTCAAAAAAAAAAAAAAAAATAGGAACATTTTTTCAAATGAAATCTTACTTGGAAGCTCAATAATAATTATAGCTGGTATTTACTGAGCATTTACTATGTACCAGGTATAGTCTAAGTGCATTACATGGAGTACCCCATGATCCTCCTGACAGCCAAGTGAGACAGATGATCTTACTATCCCATTTACCAGTGTGGTCAAAGCACTTGTCCAGGTTCACAAAACAAGCAGAAGATCCAGAATTTAAGCCCAGGTGGTGACAGCAGTCCTAACCACTCTGTTCTCCTGCCCTAATAGATCAAAAGGAAAAGAAATGGCTGCCCCGCTGAACTGTCCCTGAAGGACTTAAGCCCAGCAACTCAGAGGCCCCACACAGAGCCAGGTTCTTGGAAAAGAAGCAGGAAGAACAAGTGCCAGTCCTGGTTCTGCCCATAGCTAGCTGTGTGTCCTTCGGAAAACCTCTGGCCCTCTCTGAGCCTTGGTTCTCTCACTTATAAAACAAGTGGTCATCTTTATAAATGAGAGAACCGAGGCTCAGAGAGGCCCAGAGGGGATTGAAGTGAGCCCCTTCAACCTCCTGGGCTCAAGTGATCCTCCTACCTCAGCCTCCTGAGTAGCTGGGACCACAGGTGCACACAGATGGCCAGAGGGGGCCATGGTGAGGGACTGGTGATAGAGCCCCAAGGCTCAGCAGGTTGTCTCTCCCTCCCTCCCTCCCTCCCTCCTCCCTTCCTCCCTCCCTGCCTCCTTCCCTCCCTTTCTATAGCCATTATAGATTATGCATTGGACAGTTCTCCTCACAAGAAGGGTCTGGAGGCCTTCAGAAAAGAATAACTCAAGTAAGCCACGCTGTATATTTTTTATATACCTCTGGGGCACCAGGACCCATTTGATTTATAATAAAATGCATCTACTTTTGAGCTGATATGACATTCTTGGAAAACCCTGATAGTAATCATATCTCTAATTAAATTAAATCTTGTCAGGCTCATTTTCTTCTCAAGGATAGTTATTTTTACAGTCATTTTTGTTAATGCAAAGTAATAGTAACTTAGTTTCTAGCACTGCCTTCATGTACAATTTTACAACTATGCATGCAATTAAATGTGTTTTTATGGGGAAGAAAAACAACAACAAAGAGCAAAACCAAACAAGTTGGTCAGCCTGGCTGAGTATTATTGTCTATGCAACTCCTATCCCTTTGCAAATCTAAAGAAGAAATACAGATTATTCTCCCCAGAGAAATGCAACACTTACTAAACTTTGGATATAACTATGGGAGGGGAGGCATGAGGGGGACACAAGCCCCGGGAGCTAGGATAAAGGACGGTTTTTGCCCGGACAAGAATGTCTCTGAGGTCCCAGGTAATTCTTCAGGTCCACAATTCAATGTCCTTAATCAATGCAGAAAAATAGCCCAAAGCCACGCAGACACCACCTGAGATTTTTAACATGAAGAATGCTCCTGATAAATAAAACTCTTAATGAAATACAAGCAATTAAGCTAAAAGTTCTATCAAATGCAGCCTGTCACTTAGCAGCCTGACACTTAATTGAATTTCTCTTTCCACCCCCTGGCTCCTTTTCCCTGATAAACAAATTCATTCACTGCAGATCAAGTTTCCCTAACCCAGAAACCAACGATAGTCAATCAACTAATTGACACAACAAAGACTTCTATTTTTTTAAGTTCCCCTAATTAAAGTGGAAATGAAATTTTATAATACTCTGGTGCCTGGTATTAATTACTCTGTGGTTAACCCTCTCTCTCCTCCTCAGGGACCTGGCAGCAGGAAGTGGAGGATTGGGAAGTCCCAGACCCAGACACAAGTCCAAGTTCCAGCTCTATCCTGAGTTCGCTGTGTGATCTGGAGAATTTGCTTCCCTTCTCTGTTTTCCATCAATTGTAACACAAGGGATAGAACTAGGTGACTGCCAAGGCTGCTTCTGGCTCTAACTTACATTTTATGATCCAGAGGACAGCATCATGGCATAGTTCTCTCTCTGTGACTCACAGGTTTGCCAGCACAGCTGCCAGAAGCTCTCTCGCAGCAGAGAACCAAAAATACAGCCCATTTACTTCAACAGGCTCCCTCTACCTGACAAATGCAGCAGCCAGGAATGTATCCACTGCTCTTCCCCGGCATCTATACCCACATTCCCAGGTACACCCCTGATACACACACGTTCATACAAACCTCTCTTTGAAGCACACTCCTTCACATGCTCATCTCTCTCACACATGCACACACACAAATACATCAAGACCAGGTGCACACACACAAGACACACCCTCATGCAGGCACACCTGCATACAAACATACGACCCCTTACAGAGCAAGTCCTGTCAATCAAGGCCATTCACACGCACACAGACACACACACTACCTGCTCCTGAAACACACATATTGAGATGCATGCCCCTTTAGACAGATCTCCTCAAATCTGTGCACACACGCATCTCCCTCACCCCTGACAGAGGCACACACGAGTGTAGCCCAGACTCCTTTTTCAGGCAAATCACCTCCAACAAGGCCATGCACACACGTTTACACACTCACATGCCACACACACTCACATGCACCCCTCCTCACCATCACTGTCAAATATGAGCTTGGGCTGCGTTTGAGGAGGTTATCCAATCACAAGAAAGCTTTGGCTGGGGCAGCCCCAAAGATCTCCAAAACCTGACCGACCAGGACCTTTCCAAACTGTCTGCGTTCCAAAGTCTCTCATTCACCCAAGGGTTCCTGAGTGTCACCGCTGTGCCCGGCATTGCATGGGGAGGAGCATGGTGAATGGGACAGACACGGTCCCTCTGGAGGCGGCTCTCTTCCTGGCAGTTCCCAGCCGCCAGGACATGTGTGCCCAGCCCAGACTCCCTAGCAGGTAGTGAGGACCCCATCCCCAGACACTGACACATCCAGGAGTCTCATTTAGAGGCAGCATTTTCATGACATCATGGCCACAGGATGGCCTTTGGGTCAGGTCTTACGAGACAAGAGAGGGTGCACCAGGCAGAGACACAGTATGAACAAAGACAGGGAGGCTGGGATCGGGGTACTGAGAGGCAGCACGATGCAGGGGTGGGGGCAGCCCAGCTCCACTGCCCGCTGCCTGCAGGGCTGGGGCAAATCACTCAACATCTCCAAGCCTCAACTACCTCACCAACAAAATGGGGACAATAGCAGTAGCTGTCAGAGAAGGACCACCTATTGACTCCACAAATAGAGATCGGGCAGCTACTATTTGCCAGGCACTTGGGGTTGCTGTGCAGAGCAAAGAGGGTGATGAATGCCGGCTCCTGGTGCTATGCCCAGCCTGGCAGGAACCCCAGGCACATGATGGGGTGGAATGGGCAGAAGGCCCGGACTGCCAGTGGGAAGACTGGTACCTGGAATGAATGAAGAGCATGGAGGCTGGGAGGGGCAGAGGCTGAGGCTGGAGTCGGGCTGGGAGGAGGGGGCCGTGGTGAGGGACTGGTGATGGAGCCCCCAGGCTCAAGCCGCCTATCACTCTCCACAGTCTCACACTGTCTCAGCCCCAACCTTGCCTTGTCCCAGCTCCATTCCTCAAGGGGCCCCTTCCAGGGCAGGGGTCTGTCTTCCCCTGCAGCTTTGCAAATCCAGGCTGGGAAAGTGGGGGCAGCGGGCACTTTTCTTCCCCCTTGGACCTGGAGCGGATGCTCTCCGCATCTAATGCCTTCTGTTTAGCTCATCTCCCTGTCTCTGTTTTCATGTTTTCCTCTCTCACGCTGGCTGTGTGGAGCACATCTCAGAAAATACTTGCTTTTGAAAGTTGTTGCCATAACAACCACTTCATTACACGCCAGGCCCAGTATCTCAGAAATGCAGAATCTTTCCTTAAAAGCGTGCGCTGCACATCAAAGGGGAATAGGAGCTCATTATTTTTACATTATTTTGCAGGCAAATAGATATTTTCCAATACACATTTCTTTTCTAAGTTGATTTTCTTGTTCAGTGGAAATGCACATTTCTTTCTTAACGCTTTCCTGCCTGCAGGGTGCAGGGCCTCAAAACAGGGCCCGAGTTCCTCAAAACAGGAGAGAGAAAGCATTTCTTTGCTGGGCTATTCATTCCTTGGTCCTCAACGCAGCGGCTTATGACGGGTGGTTTGCTCTAATTCGCAATTTGATTGCACCTAGAAATTCTAGAAAAGGCAGGCATTGTTTATGTAGCATCCACACACTTTCACTCATCTGACTTTGTGCTAACCAAGATTTTGTAATAGTGAAGCTAATTATTTAAGGAGCCAAATCAAAACCAAACCAAACAAACTTCACCATATGGGATAGAGATGTGGTCCAGGATCTTATTTTCTGAACCAGAGGGTGCTGTCCAAATTTCATAGTTCTCTGTGAGTGCCTAGCATGTCTCTCTCCCTCGCCAGCATGTAAACCCCATGATTTTTGTCTGTTTGGATCACGTCTTTATCACCAGCACCTAGAACAGTGCCCGAGCCTGCAGGCACTCAGTAAATATCTGCTGAATGAACCAACGAATATGCTGTGAATACTGTAACTTCTAACAATTCTGCAAAAAATGGGGTAATCAACCCCATTAGACAGATGAAGAGTTTAAAGCTCCAATAAGTTAATTTGATAATAATATTAAGAAAAATAATAAGTGCTAACTTTTTGTTTGTTTGTTTTGAGACGGAGTCTCGCTCTGTCGCCCAGGCTGGAGTGCAGTGGCATGACCTTGGCTTGCTGCAACCTCTGCCTCCCAGGTTCAAGCAATTCTCCTGCCTCAGCCTCCCGAGTAGCTGGGACTACAGGCGCACACCACCACGCCCGGCTAATTTTTTGTATTTTAGTAGAGACGGGATTTCACTGTGTTGCCCAGGCTGGTTGTGAACTCCTGAGCTCAGGCAATCCGCCTGCCTCAGCCTCCCAAAGTGCTAGGATTACAGGTGTGAGCCACCACACCCGGCCTAATTTTAAGCTTTTTATTGAAGCATAATATGCATATAGAGAAGCGCACGTAAGTGTACTGCTCCCCCACTTTTCATAAACACCCCTGGGTAACTAACACTCAGATCAAGAAACAAAATATTGAGAGGGAGGAAGAAGACTGTGATCAGGACTAGCTTCAGGGGTAGCCTCACAGTAATTCCCTAAACTGCAGCAGGTTTATCTTATGTAATCTTTTCAATGTTTTATTTAATTTTTTTGAACCAGGGTCTGGCTCTGTCACCTAGGTTGTGGTGCAGTGCCACTATCACGGCTCAGAGAAGCCTCAACCTCCTGGGCTCAAGCAATCCTCCCACCTCAGCCTCCAAGTATCTGGGACTACAAGTGCGTGCCACCGTGCCTAGCCAATTTTTTTTTTATTTTTAGTAGAGACAAGTCTTGCTGTGTTGCTCAGCCTCGTCTTGAGCTCCTGAGCTCAAGCAATCTTCCTGCCTTAGCCTCCCAAAGTGCTGGGATTACAGGCATGAGCCACCACACTGGCTGTTATTTAATTTTTAATTGACAAATAATAATTGTATGTATTTATGGGGTACAATGTGATGTTTTGATATATGTATACATTGTAGAATAATCAAATAAGGGTATTAAACTGGCATATCCATCACCTCATATATTAACCATTTCTTTGTGGTATGAACACTTAAAATCCTCTTTTGGCTATTTTGAAATATACAATATTTCAAAATTCACCTCCCTGCTGCATTATTTCTATCTGTTCTATTTTACAACAAAAATGGCAAACCCCCATAACCAATATCCTGACCTCTAATATCACAGATGACTTGTGCCTGTTTTGCGATTTCTATGAATGAAACTGGACGGTAAGTGCCCTTTTGTGCCTGCTTCTTCCTGTCATTAGAATGATTTTGAGGCTCATCCATGTTGTTGCATGTCGTTGACCATCATTCATTTCCCTGCCAATAGCGGCTAATTTTTCATGAGCATTTACTATGTGCTCTGTAAACTCATTTAATCCTCCCAACACTCTAATATGAAAGCAGTATTAAAAGTGATTTGCCTAGACCAGCCAGGCACTGTCTGTAACCCCAGCACTTTGGAAGGCCAAGGCAGGGAGATCACTTGAGGTCAGGAGTTCAAGACCAGCCTAGCCAACATGGTGAAAGCCCACCTCTCCTAAAAATACAAAAAGTAGCTGGGTGTGATGGTGCGTGCCTGTAGTCCCAACTACTTGGGAGGATGAGGTACAATAATCACTTGAACCCAGGAGGTCAGGATTGCAGTGAGCCAAGACCGCATCACTGCACTCCAGCCTGGGTGACAGAGTGAGACTCTGTCTTTAAAAAAATAAAAATAAAAAAGCCAAGCGTGGTGGCTCTCGCCTATAATCCCAGCACTTTGGGGGGCCGAGGCGGGCGGATCACAAGGTCAAGAAATTGAGACCATCCTGGCCAATATGGTGAAATCCCATCTCTACTAAAAATACAAAAAAAGTAGCTGGCCATGGTGGCTCACGCCTGTAGTTCCAGCTATTCAGGAGGCTGAGGCAGGAGAATCACTAGAACCTGGGAGACAGAGGTGGCAGTGAGCTGAGATTGTGGTATTGCACTCCAGCCTGGGCAAAAGAGGGAGACTCTTTGCCTAGAGCCCTGCAAACAGGGAGCAGAGAATTGAACCCAGAACTTTATGATCCCAAAGCTCCTGCTTGGTTGTTGGTAAGCTCTTTCCTGGGTGACTCAAGGCTATGGCTAAGAACGGTCAGTGGCTGCGCTAGGCCAGAGTAGAGCGCTCTGTGCTCTGACATTGAGCGGCCCCAGCATGCCATCCTGGCCTCGTGTAATTGCTTTGATATTTCTCCAGTTCCTGACCTCACTGACAGGCTTCCAGCTACTCCCTCCTGCTGGTGTCCATGTGCCTACCAACAGCCATGCCATCAACTCTCACTTTACTAAAAATAGTGGAGTTATTAGACTTGTGTACAAAACAAAAGAAAATGGCCATGAGCAAGTGCCTGCCTGTGCATGTGATTACGGGTGACGAGGTCCATGGTAGTTTGCTTCCTGAGTCCAGGCAGAAGTGTGTAGTTAGGTCAAGTGCCACTCTGGTGAGCTTAGGAAACTTCTCCCTTTGTAACTACCAGGTTAGGGGCTTGAGAGCTTCGGCCTTGTAGTATTTCTGTAGTTAGTGATGATGGTCAGTACAAACAAGGTAGCTGAAGTCACATGAGTCCCGAAATCCCATTGGACAAGGCAGCAAGGAGAAGGCCAGGTGCAGTGGCTCACGCCTGTAATCCAACATCTTGGGGGGCCAACTCAGGAGGATCACTAGAGACAGGAGTTTAAGACCAGCCTGGGCAACATAGCAAGACCCTGTCTCTACCAAAAAACAAAAATAAAAATTAGCAGGTGACCGGAGTGGGAAGATTACTTGAGCCCAGAAGTGAGTTTGAGATTACAGTCAGCTACAATTGTGCCACTGCAATCCAGCCTGGGAGACAGAGCGTGACCCTGTCTCTAGAAAAAGAAAAAAGAAGCCAGGAGCAGGACAAACACAGAAGCCCTTTGCTGCTCTCAGTTCTGAGGCAGAAACGAGTGCCGAATGGTATCTGAGAGGGACTGGTTTCTTGTCCCATGGCAGAGCTAGGGTCTGCAATCCCAAGCTTTCATGGTCTGTTCCCACTCTACTCTTCTGGAAGGTCCCCTCTCATCCCCTCATGCCCCAAGGTCTGCCATGCATTTACCACATTTGGGGCCTGTGCAGGGAGCTGGGGATGCTTAGCACAAAAAGGACAAGGCCCAGACAGCGGCATCCCCCACAGCCTCCTGCCCCTCTGCTAAGCATCCCTGGAGCACTGCCCAGGTCTGGGTAGCACAGTCTCGCTTGAGTCCCATCCGGCCTGTCCACCCCTCCGTCCAAGCACCACTCACTCTACTGAGCACTTGTTGGCTCTCAAATTTTTTTAATGAAAGACTAAATCTTCTCCCCATTCTCCTTACTGCTCTTGGAAGAAACCAATTTTGTGTCTCTTGACCAAAACATTCCTAATTACCTATATTAATGTCTGTTCTCTGCATTCTCTCCTGAGCCAGTTTTTAACATCTTACTGGTCCCTTCATTAATTAATGAGCTTAAAAATCTTTGGCACACATTTGAAAAAAAAAAAAAAGAGAGTGAATCTACGCCTTTGGAACTTTTGTCATGAGCGTGTGCACCCCGCCTTCCTGGGTTTCACACTCCCCTAGACCCAGGGCCTGATACCAGAGAGAGCCTCTCTTCATGAATAAGGACAGCTCCTTGCTTGTTTTCTGACACTTTTTGCAGCAGCTCCGATGACTGTGCTGTAAAAAGCCACTCCACCCTGGGCCCAGAGCGTACGTTTGGCAACTGTGTTCCTTTAATGGATGCACACGTGTCTATTGTGAGTACAAACATAATGGTCTCCATGGAGATATGGTCACAATGACTAATTAGACAAAAGACAGTGTATCTCAAGCCTTGAAAGACATCATGGATGTCATAAACGAACATCGTCTTATTCGGTTGCTGTATTCCTTCTCATTTCTCCCTAGAAACGTCAATACGTGGTCCCTAGCAACATGACCTTATTATGAAGTCACAGTTTTGTTTTGTTTTTTTTTTTTGAGAAGGAGTTTTGCTCTTGTCATCCAGGCTGGAGTGCAATGGCACAATCTTGGCTCACTGCAACCTCCGTCTCCTGGGTTCAAGCCATTCTCCTGCATCAGCCTCCCATGTAGCTGGGACTACAGGCGTGCACCACCGTGCCTGGCTAATTTTTGTATTTTTAGTAGAGACGGGGTTTCACCATGTTGGCCAGGCTGGTCTCAAACTCTTGACCTCAGGTGATCCACCCGCTTCAGCCTCCCAAAGTGCTGGAATTACAGATGTGAGCCACCACGCCCGGCCTGAAGTCATACTCTTTAGCCACCTGGTCAGAACATTTCAGATCCTCAACTGCAGGATTCCAATCCTGGCACACATTCCCAAGGCAGCCATGGGGCACTCATTCATGGCTGGCATTTCCTGACTGGGCTGTCCAACTACAGCCCTGCCTGCTCCGTCTTATGATGGCTGCTAAGGGGACCAGGGATGCTCCAAGCTACGGGGCCCTCACAGCTCCTTCCATCGCACCAGCCTGACTCAGCCATCAGCTGCCCCACTGGGCTCACCCCAATACTGATTTGTTTCAGGATGCCAGATGGGATTTTTCTTATTGTGCCCCTCCCCAACAAGGCTGGGGCAATGAGTATTAAATATCCTGCGTTCTGGTTTTGGTTTTTGTTTTTGAGACGCAGTCTCACTCTGTTGCCCAGGCTAGAGTGCAGTGGCACCATCTTGAATCACTGCAACCTCTGCCTCCTGGGTTCAAGTGATTCTCATGCCTCAGCCTCCTGAGTAGCTGGGACTACAGGTGCCCACCACCATGCCCAGCTAATTTTTGTATTTTTAATAGAGATGGGGTTTCACCGTTTTGGCCAGGATGGTCTCAAACTCCTGACCTCAAGTGATCCTCCCGCCTCAGCCTCCCACTGTGCTGGGATTACAGGCGTGAGCCATCACCCCGCGTCTGAGTTTTTGTGTTTTAAGGGACAAGGCCTTGCTCTGTCATCCAGGATGGAGAGCAGTGGCACAATCACAACTCACTGCAGCCTCAAATTCCTGGGGCTCAAGCAACCTTCCCGCCTCAGCCTCCCAAGTAGCTGGGATTACAGGTGTGTGCTACCATGCCCAGCTGACTATCCCACATTCTAAAGGGAAGCTATCTTTCTCCCCAGGGAAGTGCAATCCTAGCACATTTTCACACCCTCAGAAGTGAGAACATATTTCTTCCAGAAATATGCACTGCCCCAATATGCTTTTCCACTTTCCTACCCCTCATCCCACCATGATCCCAGGCTAAAGGAAAAATGTTAAGAACAAAAAATATCTGGACCTCAAACTATGGCAAAATCTATCTCAGACACACTGAGAAATGAGTCCAAGTTCACACTGTATAACAGCAAAAAGAATATTTGAACAGAAATGCCCACACACAAGTAAGAAACTGATGGAAACTATGCACACACACTCCCACCAAAACCCCCAAGAAAAAAAGCACCCAAAAGACAAAGAATCCAGCCTAGAAGGAGATATAACCCCAAAACTGGAAGAAAACTTCACATAGGTGCTCTCTGCTATAAAACGACAGAACAAGAACAGGAATTTGGTAAAACAAACTTTCAAAGATCAGTTGATTAAACAACAGAATGACACACAAAAGAGAGACCTAAGGAAACAAATTGAAATCAAATAACATTACAGAAGTCCCAAATTAATGATAAATGTCAAAATCAGAAGAGACCCTGCTGAAAATGGAATTATGAATAGACAGATAATAGATATTAAGAAAAACAAAGATATGAAAGCAATCAGAGCCAGGTGTGGTGGCTCACACCTGTAATCCCAGCACTTTGGGAGGCCGCGGCAGATGGATCACTTGAGGTCAGGAGTTCCAGACCAGCCTGGCCAACAGGGTGAAATCCCATCTCTACTAAAAATACAAATATTAGCTGGTCATGTTGGTGCACACCTATAGTCCCAGCTACTCGAGAGGCTGAGGCAGGAGAATTGCTTGAACCTGGGAGGCGGAGGTTGTGCTGAGCCGAGATTGTGCCACTACACTCCAGCCTGGCAACAGAGCAAGACTCTGACTCAAAAAAAAAAAAAAAAAAGATGTCATCAAAATTTGGAAGATTAAAAAGTGAATGAATGATTGGTAATTGGCCCAGCAAATGAGAGAAAGTTAAGTCCTATGTGTGCCTGCAGGGTGAAGAACCTGAGAACAGAAAATCTATTTGAGCCACAAAACTCTGCATCAACCAGAATCCCTCTGAAAGGTGGGGTGCAAGAGCGGCTGAAAACAGAAGTGGCTGAGAGTCTGTTTGATGAGCATTTAGAACCCAGACCCACTTTTATGAGCCTGCATAGTCAGGTAATGGTGCTCCCCACCCCCAGCAGGTGGGAAATTTACTCCCTGCAGACGTTGAAGCCAGAGACTTGAAAAGGAACACCACACACAGCCAATAATAGGCATGAGATACTGTGATGAAAACATTAGAATTAAGATTTACATTGCTTCCCCTTCACCTTCTGCCATGATTGTAAGTTTCTACGGGCTCCCCTGCCATGCAGAACTGTGAGTCTATTAAAACTCTTTTGTTTATAAATTACCCAGTCTCAGGTAGTATCTTTTTTTTTTTTGAGACAGAGTCTCACTCTGTCACCCAGGCTGGAGTGCAGTGGCGTGATCTTGGCTAACTGCAACCTCCGCCTCCCAGGTTCAAGCGATTCTCCTGCCTCAGCCTCCTGTGTAGCTGGGATTACAGGAGCGCACCATCACACCCAGCTAATTTTTGTATTTATAGTAGAGATGGGGTTTCACCATGTTGGTCAGACTGGTCTCAAACTCCTGACCTCATGATCCACCTGCCTTGGCTTCCCAAAGTGCTGGGATTACAGGTGCCCAGCCTTCGGGTAGTATGTTTATAGCAGTGTGAGAATGGACTGATACAGATTATCTTCTAATTATGTGATTCTCTGGAAAAGGCAAATCTACAGGTACAGAAGGCAGATCAGTGATTGCCAGGGTCCAAGTGAGGAAGGAGGAGCCCATCAGGGGCAGAGACTGTTGGGGATGATGGAGCCACTCCACATCTTGATGGACACATGGCTAAGCTTATTCAGAACTCAGAGCACTAAGTGCGCACATCTGTGAAGGGTGCACGAGAAAAGGACAGGAATGGTGATATGGTTTGGCTGCGTCCCCACCCAAATCTCATCTTGAATCATAGCTCCCATAATTCCCATGTGTTGTGGGAGGGACCTGGTAGGAGGTAATTGAATCATCGGAGTGAGTCTTTCCCGTGCTAGTCTCATGATAGTGAATAAGTCTCATAAGATCTGATGGTTTTATAACGGGGAGTTTCCCTGCACAATTTCTGTTCTCTTGTCTGCCACCATGTGAGATCTGCCTTTCACCTTCTGCCATGATTGTGAGGCCTCCCCAGCCACATGGAACTGTGAGTCCATTAAACCTTTTTTTATTTTTATTTTTTTTGTAAATTGCACAGTCTCAGGTATGTTTTTATCAGCAGCATGAAAATGGACTAATACAAATGGAAAACTTGGTTACAGACTTTTCATAGAATATGCCTGTCTTCTGATTTAATGATGAACAAATTCACATTACTCTCAAAAATCCTATCATTGGATTAATTTAAGTATTTTATCTGAGAAGAATACCATTGTTAATTGTGCTTATAATAAAATACAAAGATTTGAAAAAACTATGTAACTCCAATCGCAATGTTTTTCCTAATCTCTTGTTAAATTTAGAGGGATCTTGACCAGGCATGATGGCTCATGCCTGTAATCCCAGCACTTTGGGAGGCCAAGGCAGGTGGATCACTGGAGGTCAGGAGTTCAAGACCAGCCTGGCCAACATGGGGAAACCCCGTCTCTACTAAAAATACAAAAATTAGCTGGGCATGGTGGTATGCACCTGTAATCCCAACTACTCGGTAGGCTGAAGCAGAAGAATCACTTGAACCCGGGAGGCAGAAGTTGCAGTGAGCTGAGATCGCACCATTGCACTCCAGCCTGGGCAAAAATAGTGAAACTCCATCTCAAAAAAAGAAAAAAAAAAAAAACTTAGAGGGATCTTTTAGGAACCAATTCCATTGGTGATAATGTAATATTTATTTAAGATTCAGATTCCTTTGGTTTTGTTTCCTTGTCTTCTGTTTATGTTAAGTAAAATTACCTCTAATAACTTTTACTTTCAAAAGTATCCCATTTTATAAAAGTAGGCCTGTCTATCTCTCCATCTAGAGACTCCACATAGAAACATAGCTTGAATGATGGTTTTGCAGGGAGGAAACCTGGGATGTCCTTTGTTTTATCTATTGTAGCTTTTCTAAATGTTTTGCCTTTCAAGGCATCTGAGCTTTTTTTTTTTTTTTTTTTTTTTTTGAGACAGAGTCTGGCTCTGTTGCTCAGGCTGGAGTGCAGTGGTGCGATCTCGGCTCACTGCAACCTCTGCCACTTGGGCTCAAGTGATCCTCCCACCTCAGCCTCCTGGGTAGCTGGGACAACCGGTGAGTTCTACCATGCCTAGCTAATTTTTTTGTTTGGGTTGTTTTTTTTTTTTTTTTTTTTGTAGAGATGGGGTTTTGCCATGTTGTCCAGGCTGGTCTTGAACTCCTGTCTCAAGCAATCCACCCACCTTGGCCTCCGAAAGTACTGGGATTACAAGCATGAGCCACCACTATGCCCAGCCTTCATCTGTGCTATTTTTATGAAAACAGTAAGTCCTTCCCTGACCCCACTGCAGCTGGAGTCACAGCTCTCTCCTCTCTCTTACCCATGTCCCTCTTCCTACCCCAGAGCTGTTGCCACACTTATCCCCACCCTTTTCTGGATTCCAGTCTTGAGGGACAAGGGTTCTGTCTTGCTCCTCCCCATACCCATGGAGTGCCCTAGTGCACACAGTAGGTCCTCAACACATACAGCTCAAATAAAGGAGACCACATGCCAAGGAGAGAAACCCATCATGAGTCTGCAAAGTTAAACATCTGAGTTTTCAATCCTGAACTGGGGTGATGGTCCTGCTGTCTACTTTCCCACAAAGTGAGAGAGAAATCAAGCGATAGGGAGAATGTGGCTAAAAGCCCTTCGCTCACAAGAATGCTGGGAGACCAAACACAGCCTCCGACATCTCACACCTAACATCTGATAAGATGTCTTTCCTCCTAGCAAGAGACTGAGCCTTAGACAGGAATCCAGGGGTTGGGATTCTAGAACCATGAGTACACAAAGTTGAGAACATGACGGAGCCACTGGAGCCGGGAGGACATCGAGGTTAAAGCAGAGATGGAGCAAATAAACCCACAAGATTCCTTGGCATTCTTGAGTTCACCATGAATCACTTGTAAGCTGTCCTCAAGGACTATGATTGGGATCATTCGTTATTTCACTGAGGGATGGGTTCAAATCGTGCACTGCAGAACTGGGGGCAGGTGCTGAAGCTGAGTCCCTTAGCCAGCGAGAGAGGCAGCCACCGCCAGGGCCTCTCAGCATGGTTCTGCTCCTCTCTCTTGGTCCTATGTGTCCCCAGCTACTCCCACAAAGTGATGAAACTTTGCTTTTTGTGAGAAAGGGCCCTAAAATAAATCCAACTGCTCATGTTGGTGATGGGACAGAAGAAGAAGTGAAGAAAGATTAAAGGCATCCAAAAAAATGATGATGTGGAACTACATACTGAAAAGCGATATCCAATTATCCTGAGGCTCAGATCCACCATTGGAATGCCTTCAATGTACACGCAACACAGAAACCGGAAAGTGTGACTCAGGAAACTGTCAGTGAGGCTCCTGCCATGAGCAAAGATACTTACCATAGAAAGCTCCGTTTATTCCTTTTGAGATGGAGTCTCACTCTGTTGCCCAGGCTGGAGTGCAGTGGTACGATCTTGGTTCACTGCAAGCTCCACCGCCCGAGTTCAAGCAATTTTCCCATCTCAGCCTCCCGAGTACCTGGTATTACAGGCGTGCCCCACTATGCCCAGCTAATTTTTGTATTTTTAGTAGAGACGAGGTTTCACCGTATTGTTCAGGCTGGTCTCAAACTCCTGACCTCAGGTGATCCACCTGACTCGGCCTCCCAAAGTGCTGGGGTTACAGGCGTGAGCCACCGTGCCCAACCTCAGTTTATTCCTTTATTGATCCTTCATTCAATTCAACCAATGTCACTGATGTGGTCAGGCACTAGGCTTGACTCTAAGGATGTAGCAGGGAGAGGAGCAGAGATGCGGCTTTTGTGGAGCTTATATTCTAGTGGGGAAAGAATCAACAAATACATGTCAGGAGGAGATATAATAAAATTAAGAGGGAAAAAGAATAAAGAGTGAAGGAAGTTGATATTTTATTGCAGGAAGCTGATATTTTAGGTAGAGTGGTCAAGAAGAGCCTCTCTGGGATGGAGAGAATGGAGCAGAAACCGGAAGGAGGGGAGAGAGGGAGACTCATGGGTATCTGGGGCAAGAGCTCTCCAGGTAGAGGGAAAAGCAAGTGCAAAAGCCACACAGCAGAAATGTGCCTGAAGGAATAGCGCGGAGGCCAGAGAGGCTGGAACGAAGTGAGCAAAAGCAGAACAGCAGGAGATGAGCCCAGAGAAGAACCAGGGCAGACCCAGTGAGGTCACGGAGGCCCTGGTAAGAACTTGGGCTTTGACTCCTGGTGGAAGGGAAACCATCGGAGGGCCTCGAGCAGAGA
This sequence comes from Homo sapiens, assembly GCF_000001405.40. Taxonomy (NCBI): domain Eukaryota; kingdom Metazoa; phylum Chordata; class Mammalia; order Primates; family Hominidae; genus Homo; species Homo sapiens. Next base: position 43,754,638 of record NC_000020.11, on the reverse strand, counting down.
CTTTGCCATCTGACTCAAGCCTTAACAGATCCCGCAGCATAGAGAGTCACCTACAAGGTGAGCAAGTTTGGAGGAGGAAAGGAGCGCGGAGGCTTCTGTTTCTGTCATAACCCACGTTGTTGGCTAGTGGCTTGAATAAAAGTGGCAAAGTGGAAGTGGTGAGAGGAGCTCCGATTTGGGATATCATTTGAAAAACCAGAGGCCGAGCTTGGTGGCGCACACCTCTAGTCCCAGCTACGTGAGAGGAAGATATTGTTTGGATCTGTGTCCCCGCCTAAATAGCATGTTGAATTGTAATCCCTGGGGTTGGAGGTGGGGCCTGGTGGGAGGTGACTAGATCATGAGGGTGGTCCTTCACAAATGGTTTAACGACATCCCCTTGGTACTGTTATTGTTGTGTGAGTGAGTGAGTTATTGCAAGATCTGGTTGTTTAAAAATGTGTAGCAGGCCGGGTGCGGTGGCTCACGCCTGTAATCCCAGCACTTTGGGAGGCCCAGGCAAGCAGATCACGAGGTCAGGAGATCAAGAACATCCTGGCTAACACGGTGAAACCCCGTCTCTACTACAAAAATACAAAAAATTAGCCGGGCGTGGTGGTGTGCGCCTGTAGTCCCAGCTACTTGGGAGGCTGAGGCAGGAGAATGGCGTGAACCCAGGAGGCGGAACTTGCAGTGAGCTGAGATCACGCCACTGCACTCCAGCCTGGGTGACAGAGCAAGACTCTGCCTCAAAAAAAAAAAAAAAAAAGAGTGTGTAGCAGTGCCCCATTTTCCACTCACTCCTACTCTGGCCATGCGATGCGTGTGCTTCTCCTTCACCTTCTACCATGACTGGAAGCTTTCTGAGGCCTCCTCAGAAGCCAAGCAGATGCCAGCATCTGTATTGCCTGCAGAATCATGTGGCAATTAAACCTCTTTTCTTTATAAATTACCCAGTCTCAGGTATTTCTTTACAGCAGTGCGAGAACAGATGAATACAGAGGATCTCTGGAGCCCAGGAGTTCGAGCCCAGGAGTAAGCCGTGGTCACACCACTGTACTCCAGCCTAGGCAACAGAGTAAGACCCTGTCTCTATAAAACTGTAATAATAATGATTTGAAAAATCATATTCATGTGTCTAGGGGATGGATCTTCAGATCCATCCCTAGAGGGTATCAAGGGTTGAGCAAGAACGTTTACTTGTGTCAAGCCATTTATATTTATTTTAGTGTAACTTAAAATTATGCCTTATATTCTTAAATACATTACTGATGATAATTAATGGTGGCTTATGTTCAATTTCAGTTCTGTTCTCATCTTGATAAGAATAACCAGTCAGGTGGCCAGGCACAGTGGCTCACGCCTGTAATCTCATCACTTTGGGAGGCCAAGGTGGGTGGATCACTTGAGGCCATGAGTTCAAGACCAGCCTGGCCAACATAGCAAAACCCCATCCCTACTAAAATGCAAAAGTTAGCTGGCACAGTGGTGCATGCCTGTAGTTCAAGCTACTCAGGAGGCTGAGGTGGGGGGATGGCTTGAGCCCAGGAGGCAGAGCAATCACACCACTGCACGGCAGCCTGGGCAACCGAGCTAGACCCTGTCTTAAGAAAAGAAAAGAAAAAAAAAGAATAACCAGTCAGGGCACTATAATCTCACATGGGTAACTGACCTGTAGCCAACCCCGCTATTTGGAGTGAAGTTCAGGTCCAGACACAAGCACTTACATACTTGATGTCAGACATCCAAGGCAGGCGGTAGACGTGGGATGCTCAGGAGGATACGCCCCATGTGGCATCTGATCAAGTCTGGCTTAGGTGTAAGGACAACGTTCAGGACAAAAACTATGCCTTTCCCATTTTACCATTGAAGATGTCTTAGACAACCAATAAAGTGGACGGTGTAGGACCACAGCCCTGCACAGCGACGTTCTTGCATCACTCGGCTCAACCACAGGAAGTCTCACACCACTGAGTCTGACCACAGGAACGGGCAAATGAAAAGTCATGCAGCTATATGGGCAATGGAACTTCCCTGCCTCCAGTTCCTGGCCAGGAAGTGGGGGCTGGGTGGAGAAATCTGGAAGCTGCCTGCTTACCTACCAGGTCTCCACTCTGTTTTGCTATGAAGCCTCTAAGCCTTGATACCTGTTAATGGATGTATTTGTTGTGAGAAATAAATGAGATGGTGGGGTCAGTTTCCAAAGTTAACGACAGTTTGAATCAAACAGGCTTGGGCACACATGCCACCTCTGCCCCTTGCTCCCTGTGTGGCCTTGGGAAAATTACTTAGACCCTCTGCCCCTCAGAGGTGGGAATAATGTGAGAAGGAAATGAGTGCCTGCACTTGGCCCTCAGAAAGCCCCAATCCACGTTCAGCCCTGATACCAGCTTCACGAATGTTCCCTTGTAAGTCCCAGAGACAGGACTTCCTGAAGGGTCCAGGTGCCTTCAGGCCCCCTTGGGTCTGTGAGTACTGGACCACATGCATCCCCAGATTAGACCTCAAGGACTTGGAATCCCCACATCGGGCCACAGTGGATTTATGCATCTCCAGACAGGACCAAGGGACTCACGCATCCCCAGATTAAACCACTGACCCACAGGGCAAGGAACTAGGGTGGTTTGTTCTCAGTGGAGTCTGGAGAAGGAGATTTCGAGTCGCTAGACTTCATTGGTGGGGGCAGCAAATGGGGAGTGAAATAAACCAACACTCTTGGGGAACTCTAAAATGCTCAAAAGGAAACTAAAACCCAGGAGCTGAAGGTAACATCCAAAGTCACACCACCAGCAAAGGCCATAGAACAACAAAACTAGAGAAGTTCTTGGAGAGCATCTGGTCTAGCCCTTCATTTTCCAGATGAGGAAACTAAGGCCCAAAGAAAGGAGGAAGTTAACCTAAGCCACATGGTCCACTTGTGGCAAAGCCATCCCTCAGACTCAGATCCCAGATTTGAGGTCTGGCGTCCCCTCAATTCCCCAACACCAGCACCCACGTTGCACACCCTTCACCATCTAGCAGAGATCTCCCCAGGGCTGCCATGAGCTGCCCCATGACACTCCAAGGAGCTGGTACGAAACATTTTGTTTTGCACCTTGCCTGTGGTGACAGCTGCGTTAAACCGAATGTTCACAGTCATTATGCTCAGAAACTGAGCAAGAGTTCCATCTATTGGGGTTTCAGAATGAATCAGATTTCCAAACTCTCCTCTCTCCACCTCAGCGCATGTCTGTATATGGTAACCTTTCAAAAGTGAGTCTAATAATTAGTCATCTTGGCCTAGTTCAAGACAACAGTATGTTCTCCAATTTCACTTTGTTTTCAACAAGACAGCGATGCCAACGGTAATGTTCACTGTGGTTAAACACACTTCTCAGCTGGTCCCTGCAGGTGGCCAAGACAGCTCTGGTCCCCGCAGTTGCCCAGTGCTTCCCCACAGCTCTCTAACCAGGCTGTACCCTCTGCCCAGATCCACCCCCACCCCCAATATTGACACCAACTGTGTACCAGGCACTACATTAGATGCTTTGGGCTCATCATTACATGTTATCCTCTTTGCAAGATAGATGGTTCTCTTGTTGCCCCATTTGAAGATGGGAAATTTGAGAACCTGAGGGTACTGGTCCTTGTCTACTGCCCACACCCCAGGTCTAGCCAGTCCCTCTCTTCCTTCCTGCTCCAACCACACTCTTCTGCCAAGGCAGTGAGCTCATTTCCACCTCAGGGCCTTTGCACATGAGTTTCCTCTGTCTGAAACACTCTTCCCTCTGACTCCACCTGGTTCACTCCTTCTCACCCTCAGATCTCAATTCAAGCATAATTTCCTAAGGGAAGAATCCTTCACATCCTCAGGTTCCTAGAGCTCTTTTCATCCACACAGCACCCTATGAATCCCTCCTCCTTCAAGGCAGCTCCTATAAATTGTAATTTTATTTTAAATTTTTTGTAAAGATGGGGTCTTGCTATATCGCCCAGGCTGGTCTTGAACTCCTGGCCTCAAGCAACCCTCCCACCTTGGCCTCCCAAAGTGTTGCAATTACAAGTGTGAGCCACTGCGCTCAGCCTAACATGTAATTTTATATTTGAGGGATTATTTGCTGCTATCTGGCTCCTCCACACAGGCATGAATTCTAGGAGGGCAGGGACGCTGTCTGTGTTGCTCACCACTATATCTCCACACACAGAAGGGACACATGGTAAGGGTTTAGTTATCATATATTTATGGATGATGGATGGATGGGTGGTCAAATGGAGGGTGCGTAGATGCAAAATGCTTAACGAAGAATTTGCCACCCATCCAAGTAAGAGGTGGGCCCAAATGCAAGCCCAGGCTTCCGACCGGCAATCCCTCTCGGTGTGTGTGATAATCCTCCGCACACACACACACATCACCCCCAAACTCTGACCCTGGGAGACAGTGCCCACCTCCCTGGAGCAGTGTTCTCAAAACTCCCCTGACCAGCACCCCACTGTCCAAACCCCCTAGCTCCCACGCCACACACCTGGAGCTTCAGGGATGCTGATTCTGTAGGTCCAGGAAGGCCCCAAACTCTACACTGTTAACAAGCACCCAGGTAATTTAGAAGGGAGTGTGTCCCAGAGCTCGTTTGAGGATCTCTGGACTAAGATGAGTCCAGGCAAACCCGAATCCCCAGGGAGAGCCGCCCAGCGCCACCCCAGCCGCCCGCGTGGGAAGTGGCCGGGAGCCGCAAGCCGGGGCCGTGCTGCCCTCTGGTGGTGCATAGCGGCACTGCAGCCTCTGGGCTCCCTGAAGGAACACCGGCCGCCGGCGCCCCAAGGGCTGTGGTGTCCCGGTGGCCCACGTCGGCCTAGGTCAGCGCACCTGGATTCCAGTCCCTGACCCTCCAGAGACCTCCCCAAGACTTTTTTTTTCTTCATAAATGGAAGATAATCAACGTTTCCCAAACTTCAGTTCTTTGGGTACCACCTTCATCATCTTGCCCATCTCATTTATACATGCTATTCTTTACTTAATTTTTCTCTGAATTGCCGGGTGTGGTGGTGGCTGTCTCCTGTAGTCCCAGCTATTCAGAAGGCTGAGGCAGGAGGATGGATCGCTTGAGCCCAAGAGTTGGAGGCTGCAGGGAGCTATGATCACCCACTGCACTTCAACTTGGGCAACAGAGCGAGACCCTGTCTCAAAAAAAAATTTTTAATAAACGTATTTATGTATTATAATTCATGTTAAGAGAGAAATGAATACCCACAGTAAACAGAGGTGGATTTCACTTGCCATAAATGGTGGGCTGGGGGAGAGGAGGGGACATGGTGGGGAGGGGATGAAAACAAAACCAGGATTACCAAGATTTTCATAAATAAAAAGACTGTCATTTTACAAACAAAACAAACAAGGGCTTTCCTAAGTGGTGAAACTATAAAGAACAGCAAAGAAATTAGCGTTATAAAAATTAGGATAGCCAGGCACAGTGGCTCACGCCTGTAAATCCCAGCACTTTGGGAGGCCGAGGTGGGCGGATCACTTGAGGTCAGAATATTGAGACCTGCCTGACCAACATGGTGAAACCCTGTCTCTACTAAAAATACAAAAATTAGCCCAGTGTAGTGGTGCACGCCTGTAGTCCCAGCTACTCGGGAGGCTGAGGCAGAAGAATCGCTTGAACCCGGGAGGCAGAGGTTACAGTGAGCTGAGACTGTGCCACTGCACTCCAGCCTGGGCGGCAGAGAGAGACTCCATCTCAAAAAAAAAAAAAAAAAAGATAGTGCTTTTCTCTGGGGATCAGGAGGCTGTCATGGGAAGAGATGGTGGGGGCCCCAGGGAACCCAGTTCTCCTTCTTTGTGTAGGATATTTTTACAGTCCTGTGTTAACCTGCACATATGAGCTTTATGCATTTTTTCCTGCATTTTATGTGTCACAATAAAACATGTTATAGAAACAAAAAGTAACCAGTGAAATACAAGTAATTTACAAAGGCACACATGAAAACAGGAGAGATGAGGCTAGGCGCAGTGGCTCACGCCTATAATCCCAACACTTTGGGAGGTCAAGGCAAGAGGATTGGTTGAGCCCAGAAATCTGAGACCAGCCTGAGCAACATAGCAACATCTTGTCTCTACAAAATATCATTTAAAAATTAGCCAGGCATGGTGGCATGCATCTGTAGTCCCAGCTACTCAGGAGGGTTGCTTAAGGCAGGAGGATTGCTTAAGCTCAGGAGTTTGAGGCTGTAGTTAGCTATGATTGCACCACTGCACTCCTGCCTGGGCAACAGAGTAAGACTCTGTTTCTTAAAATAAAAGAGGGGGTGACACTGAGCAGCAGGTCAGGGGTGACACAGCTGCTCAGGGGACAGTTTCAGGGGTTAAATATCCCAGAAACAGAGTGACCATCCAGGGGGTCCTGTGTGAGAGGCAGCTCCAGGCAGCAGCCCTCCCCCCACCCCCACGCTCCTTTCTTCTTCCCTACCCTCCCCTGAGCTCCCTGTATGGAAGCTCAAAGCTCAGAGTGGATTTCTGGAGGCCAGGATGGTGGGGTGAAAACAGCAGGAACCCACTCTTGGGGGACTATGAGCACCCCAATCACCAGGCGGGTGGGGAAAATTGAGCCCCTTTCAGTTCAGTTATGAGTCCCAGAGACATTCATGGCTATTTACTGCTAGCATCCGTTCTGATTCGTTGATGCCTGTGCCATTCAGTTGTCAAATATGTTTATGATCAGCCCCGCTAAGATGCATTAAAACACATGTGTATTAGTCCATTCTCACACTGCTATAAAGAACTACCTGAGACTGGGTAATTTATAAAGAAAAGAGGTTTAGGCCAGGCGTAGTGGCTCACGCCTGTAATCTCAGCACTTTAGGGGGCCGACGTGGGCGGATCACCTGAGCTCGGGAGTTCCAGACCAGCCTGACCAACATGGAGAAACCCTGTCTCTACTAAAAATAAAAAAAAATAAAAATAAATTAGCCAGGCGTGGTGGCGCATGCCTGTAATCCCAGCTACTCGGGAGGCTGACGCAGGAGAATCACTTGAACCCGAGAGGCGGAGGTTGCAGTGACCCCAGATTGTGCCATTGCACTCCAGCCTGGGCAACAAGAGCGAAACTCTGTCTAAAAAAAAAAAAAAAAGAAAGAAAGAAAGACAGAAAAGAGGTTTAATTGACTCACAGTTGCCCAGACTGTACAGGAAGCATGGCTGAAAGGCCTCAGGAAACTTACAATCATGGCAGAAGGCAGAGGGGAAGCAGGCACATCTTCACAATGGCAGAGCCGGAGAGAGAGCGCATGAAGGGGGAAGTGCCGCACACTTTTAAACCATCAGATCGCATGAGCACTCACTCCCTACCACGAGAACGCAAGGGGGAAATCCACGTCCACGATCCAACCACCTCCCACTAGAGCCCTCCTCCAATTTGACATGAGATTTGGGCAGGGACACAAACCCAAACCATATCAATATGTAATTACTGAAATTAAAACTGTCCACCAAAACACCATGAAATGTCACTCACATACCTCCAGTGGGGCACAGTGGGGCACGCAGTGCATTTTAGGACGTGGTAGGCATTACCTGGCCCTGCACAGGGCGACTCTAAGAACTAAACGGGCACTCCACAAGTGCTGAGCCCCACACAAAGTGTTAACGTGGTTAACACGACAGCCTTCCAGGAAGCTGGGAGCTGGGATATCCCCAGCACGGAGGACAATGCTGAAACAGACCCACAGGGCGCAGGGGCTCCCATGGGAACTCACAAGTGCTCTGCAGTTTGCCTGTCTCTCCTGCCTAAACAAGGAGCAGCTGGGGAAACTCAGGCTTGGCCAAAGCACCAACCATTCCCTCTCTCCCTCCACCACCTCCCCACCTTTTTTTTTTCCCTTCATTTTTCTCCTCTGTCTTCCAAGGAATTCAGAGTGCAGGTCTCACTATGAGTTCCCAGGCGAACCCACCTCTCCCGACTTCCTAAACTGTGAAAGGAAAATAAAACTTGGGACTCCAATTCACTCTACCCAAAGGAAAAAAATTAAGCTGAAAGCTGAGTCATGCAAGAAAACGCCTTCCCTTTTGTGCCTAAGCAGATAGGTAGAGATAAAAGGCCAGATATCTCCAATTACTCTGGTTCACCTTATCTTACTTAAAGTGCCAATTTACTGAGTGCTAGATGAATACATAATTGACGAGTCCCCCATCTACTCCTTTTCTCTTGCAACATGTGAATTCAGTAATATGACCACACCCTCCCTCGTTTCCCTCCAGCCTGCTTTTCCCCTTTAAGTACTGACACCCTCAAAATCATCTTTGTAGAAAGGCACAGACTGTTTCTGTGATTCTGTGTTCTGTTCTTCTGGGCATGTCCTTAACTTCGGCAAAATAAACTTCTCAATTGATTGAGGCCTGTCTCAAATACTTTTAGGTTTACAAAGCCCACTCCCATTTTTACTAAATGTGTGTCCACACATTTGGGAACAAAAGACACTGGGGACTCTAAAAGCAAGGAGGAGTCGGGCACGGTGGTGACTCTCGACTGTAATCCCAGCACTTTGGGAGGCCAAGGCAGGTGGATCACCTGAGGTCACTTCAAGACCAGCCTGGCCAGCGTGATGAAACCTCATCTCTACTAAAAATACAAAACTTAGCCGGGAGTGGTGGTCACGCCTGTAGTCCCAGCTACTCCGGAGGCTGAAGCACAAGAATCGCTTGAACCCAGGAGGCGGAGGTTGCAGTGGGCTGAGACCGTGCCACTGCACTCCAGCCTGGGAGACAGAGCAAGACCCTGTCTCCAAAATAAATAAAAAGCAAGGAGGGAAGGAGAGGGGCAGGGGTTGAAAAATTACCTATCGGGTCCTATGTTCGCTGTTTGGGTATTAACAGAAGCCCAAACCCATATCACACAATATATACCCACGGAACAAACCTGCCCACACACCCCCCCCGAATCTAAAATTAAGAACATTAAAATAAATCAATATGTGTCCACACACAGAGAGGCAGCCTGGAAGACTAGACGCCAACACATTCTTTTCTTCTTCATACAATGTTTGCATTTTCCGACTTCTTTTTACAACAAAGTCTGAAAATGAGAAGCGACCACGCAGCTGTGTGTGCAGGCAATAAAGCACGGTGTTGAGCAGGAAGCCCTCCTATGAGAAGAAGGAAGTCAGGGGCTGAGTCCTCATGGTGCCCTTCAATTGCTAAATGACCTTAGGCAAGTCCTTACCCTGTCTGGGCTTCAGTTTCCCCATCTGTTCTTTAACTCAAGCCCCCCTCCACCCATCTTTCCACCCTGCCGTGGGCCCTGGAAGGTTGGCCCCTGTGGACTGCATCACCCACACATCGTTGCTGGCTGGCTTCCAGGTTTCGGATGCTGGGAGGAGAGAGAGAAGTAGGGATATTTCTTCCTGCTTCCTTCCTTCTTCAGGTCTCATTCTGGGCAGTGGCTTAGTCCCTCAACCCCAGCTCTTGCTGGGTGGTTCTACTTTCTGTCTCCAGCTGTCAATGGACTTCAACAGCATAATCCCCTACCCCACCCCGGCAGGCTTCCCCTTGCTGCTGGTGCCTGGGAGCCTCTGCAGCCTTGGTTGGGGCTCTTTGCCCCGCCCACCTCTCCATAATAGTCCATGAAATCCATCTGAGTAGGATTCTGTTCTTCGCTGGAACTTCAAGCAATACAAGGAATGAGTAAAAATACTCGTATAAATACTATGGAATGAGTATAAATTTCCCAGACTATATCTTCAGGGATAAAAACCTATTACTTTCTCTATTTCTGCATATTTAATTTATCTGAGTTTTTGATTTTTTTTTTTTTTTTGGTCACTCTGTTGCCCAGGCTGAAGCGCAGTGGTGTGATCTCAGCTAACTGCAACCTCTGCCTCCCAGGTTCAAGTGATTCTCCTGTCTCAGCCTCCCGAGTAGCTGGGACTACAGGCACGAGCCACCGCTCCCAGCTAATTTTTGTATTTTTAGTAGAGACAGGGTTTCACCATGTTGGCCAGGCTGGTCTCAAACTCCTGACCTCAAGTGACCCACCCACCTTGGCCTCCCAAAGTGCTGGAATTACAGGCATGAGCCATCGCCCCGGCTTATCTGAGCTTTTAAGCTCCCATTTCCACTGAAGGTGGGAAACAGTTGCAAACATGAAGTACAGCAGCCACTTCACTCCACTGTTCTTTAGGTAAACACTCACTGAATTCAGATTTCAGACACGCATCCGGCATGCATACACACACACACACACACACACACACACTCCACCCAGAGGTGGTGCAGCTGGTGTGGGGAGGGGCTTACCTACCACTCCAGCATCTGGGGTGAGTCGCCTGGCTGGGAGGGTTCCTCGCTGACCTCGCTGGAGTCTGAGTCACCCCAGTCCCCACTGCCTCTGCAGAGGTGACTATAGGTCTGCCATGGTCCCTGATCACCCATTCCTGGGAGCCTGAGCCCCCCCAGGACAGTCATCCACCCCAGCTACGTGCACGCTCTCTCCAGGGGTGTGAGAACTCTAATCTGCTCCCTCACACTGTGCAGGATCCCAGATCCCCAGGAGGCTGTCCTGAGGCCACTGCATTCCAACACCTCCCTTTGCCACTGCTGCTCCACCAAAGTGGGCTTCTCTGTGAGTCTTCCGGGATCCCTACAACCTTAACATGGGTTTCTATCCTCTGAGGGATGGGGTGCTGGACTCATTCTTGGGGACCCAGTAACTCCTATCCCTAACCACACCTCCTCCATCTGCTCTTTTCCGAATCATCTCCTTTTGGGCAAGGGAACATTCTTCACTGTCACTCATTCTTCCCCACCCTGTGCTTCACGGTGTAAGTCACAAGCTCTGGGTCCCCATGGCTTTGTGTGTGCTGTGCCAAGCCAAGCTTAGGAAACTAAAAACACAGAAAACCTGCTGCAGCCTCCGCCTTCCGCGTACAAGCCATTCTCCTGCCTCAGCCTCCTGAGTAGCTGTGACTATAGGCGCACGCCACCATTCCAGGCTAGTTTTTGTATTTTTAGTAAGAGATGGGGTTTTGCCATGTTGGCCAGGCTGCTCTCGAACTCCTGACCTCAGGTGATCCACCCATCTCGGCCTCCCAAATGGCCGTGGTGAGCCACCATGCCCGGCAACACTCTAAAATTTGACTCTCATTTCACAGGCTTCTCTGGGGTCCTCCCTTCCCTGGGATCTAAGCCTTGAGATCTACTTTTAATAATAGTGATGACCTTCAGTGGCTCTTCCAGCTGTGATCAGCTCTAAATCATTCATTTATTCAAAACAAATACTTCTTGAGCACCTGCTATGCACCAGGTGCTGTGCTGGGCACTGGAGATACAGCAATGAATTGAAAAAGACAAGGTGCATGCTTCTGGGGACTGATAGTCTACTGGGGGAGGCAGGCATTCATCAGAAAATAGAAAGAAATAAATGTAAAATGACAGTTGTCATATAATGCTATGAAGGAAAGGCATGTGAGGCTACGAGGGTAAAGAATAGAGGAATTTAATTGAGTCAGAGAGTTCAGGGGAGGCTGAGCTCCAAAGGCCAGGCAGGAGCTTCTGCACGTAAAGAAAGAAGACAACAGAAAGCAGGAGATGCCAAGGCCATGTGGTGGCAGAGAGCACGGAGCCCAGGAGTGGCCAGGATGGGCCAGTGTGGCTGGTGTGCAGAGAGGATAGGAAGGAAGCGCATGCCAGGTATGGCCAGGTATGGCAGCCCTCGGAGGGTGCAGAGCCTTGTGGGCACCTGAAGGATCCTGACTAGATCTTAGTGTAGAGGAAGCAGAATGGGGACAGCCTGCCTGCATTTCTAGACCTTCCCTCAGGGTCAGGTCTAGAAGACAGAGACCAGAAGGGAGTTGGGAGACTAGTTAGTAGACTACTGCCTTAGACTAGGCGAGACATAATAGCCAATAGGACTAGAACAGTTGTGATGAGGATGAAGAGAACTGGATTGATTCAAAAGCTGTTCAGAAGTTAAGAGTAACAGGACTTGGTGATTGATTAGACATGGGGGAGGTGGAAAAGAAAGGAATCACAACTTCTGGTTTGCAGGACTGAATGGAAGTGGATGGGTGATGTCAGCAGAGGAAATGGGTGATGGTTAATTTTATTCATCAACTTGACTGGGCCACAGGGTACCCAGATTAAACACTGTTCCTGGGTATGCCTGTGAGAGTGTTTCTGGCTGAGATGAGCATTTGAATCAGTGAACTTGGTAAAGGAGGTGGCCCTCCCTAATGCGGATGGGCACCATCCAATCCACTGAGGGCCTGAACAGAACAAAAGGCAGAGGAAGGAGGAATTTGTCCCTTTTTTCCTAACTCACCGCTTGAGCTGAGACATTTCTCATCTTCTCCTGTCCTCCAACCAGGATTTATATCATCATCTCCCCTGCTTCTCAGGCCTTTGGACTTGAACTGAATTCTACCATCAGCTTTCCTAGGTCTCCAGTTTACAGATGGCAAATCATGGGACTTCTCAGCCTCCATAATCACATGAGCCAATTCCTCATTTTTCCTATCCTGTTCATTCTGTTTCTCTGGAGAACCCTGACTAGTACAGATGGAGACTCTAAAACAGGACCAGGTTAGGGCAGGAAGGTCAGTTTTAGATTGGTTTGGAGAAGGTTAAGTATGAGGTATCCATGAGATGTCCAATGTGGATTCACAGGCTTGCACTATGCAGATGGTTTAGACCTCCAGATGCATACTGGTGAGTTATCTACATCTAGACAATAAGAGAGAAGAGAAAACTAAGCTCACAGGACTCCAGCATTTGATGGCCTAGCAGCAGAGAATAAGATTGAGGAATCCAAACAGCAAATTCAGAAATAGGGAAGAAACAGTACAGAGAAAATAAAAGCCAACAATGAAAATGCAAAAATACAGGGCTGACCACAAATAATGAGGCATGCAACCTATTGCATATGTCCAAAATAAATATTAAAGCTGAAGATACACAATATGTTAAAATAATTGTTTATTAATGACCAGGTTAGGGTAGGAAGGTCATAACCATCTGGTTCTGAAAATCCCAAATAATTTCCCCAAGTGTGAAGTATATGAAAAGGGCCAGCTATGGTGGCTCACGCCTATAATCCCAGCACTTTGGGAGGCCGAGGCAGGTGTATCACTTGAGGTTAGGAGTTCAAGACCAGCCTGGCCAACATGGTGAAATCCCGTCTCTACTAAAAATACCAAAAAAATTAGCCAGGCATGGTGGTGCACACCTGTAATCCCAGCTACTCAGGTGGCTGAGGCAGGAAAATCGCTTGAACCCAGGAGGCGGAGGTTGCAGTGAGCCAAGATCATGCCACTGCACTCCAGCCTGGGCAACGAAGGGAGACTCCGTCTCAAAAAAAACAAAAAAGAAAAAGAAAGAAATACATGAAAGGAAGTAAAAGAAGAATGGCATGGGGAATCATATCTTAGACTGGACATGAGATAATGGTCAATAGTACTGGAGTAGTAGTGATGAGGATAAATTGGATAGATCCAAAAACTGTTCAGAAGTTAAGAGTTGCAGGACTTGATAATGGATTTGACATGGGGAAGGAGGAAAAGAAAGGAATCAAAACTCCTGGTTTGCAGGAGTGAATGGAAGTAGATGAGTGATGTCGTCAACCAATGAGATGGTATTCTGGTTATTTTTATTCTTGCCATTTGATATGTAAACAAAATGGTCTCAATATTTTTCTATTTAAAATAACTTCTGATATAATAAAGGATGTGTAACTTCTAAGACACCAAAGAAAACTAATTCAAGAAAACATGGCTCACTAAAAACAAAAAGCATAACAAGATAACAGAATTAAGACCACGGGTAACAGCCGTCATAATAAATGTGCATGAGTTAAATTCATCTAAAATGCTTAGGTTGAATCAAAAAGCAAAATCTAAACTACAGATTGTTAGACCTCAAAGAAGTGAGATGTTTAGTGTTTTGTTTTTGGCTTGGTGGTTATGTTTGTTTTTTTTCAGTGACAGGGCCTTGCTAGGCTGCCCAGGCTGGACTTGAACTCTTGGTTTCAAGCAATCCTCCCGCCTCAGCCTCCTGAGTGGCTTCAACTACAGGCACATGACACCACGCCTAGCCAAAGTGAGGTTTTAATGATATATGATGGCAGCTCGCTGGAGGGAATACCCAAGTCCTACCCTGCCCATTAACCTTCCTCATGAAGTTCCAAGGAACAGATTCTCAAAAGAAACAAAAGAAAACGGAAAACGTGTTTCCACATTATTATAATGACGTTGCAGACCTAACCAGAGGCTCCATGGAAACCCAAATCTGGATCTGACGGCCAGCTGTTCCAGAGAACCCCTTAGAATAGTTCTTAGAGTACATGGGTTGCCAGATTCAGCAAATAAAAATAGAAGACGCCTAGTTAAATTTGAATTTCACACAAACACTAAACTTTTTCTTTTTCTTTTCTTTTTTTTTTTTTTTTGAGACGTAGTTTCGCTCTTGTTGTCCAGGCTGGAGTGCAATGACGTGGTCTCAGCTCACTGCAACCTCTGCCTCCTGGGTTCAAGCGATTCTCCTGCCTCAGCCTCCAGAGTAGTTGGGATTGCAGGCACCCATTAACCTTCCTCATGAAGTTCCAAGGAACAGATTCTCAAAAGAAACAAAAGAAAATGGAAAACACGCCCAGCTAATTTTTGTATTTTTAGGAGAGACGGGGTGTCAACATGTTAGTCAGGCTAGTCTTGAATTCCTGACCTCAGGTGATCCACCCATCTCGGCCTCCCAAAGTGCTGGGATTACAGGCGTGAGCCACCACATCCAGCCTAAACTTTTTTTAAATATAAATATGTCCCAAGCAATATTTGGGACATTGTGCTAAAGAAAACTATTCATTGTTTATCTGAAATTTAACTTGGCCTCCTGGATCGCATGTAGCAACCCAGCACACCATAACAGGTGTGTTAGAAAATAAGAGCCAAGAAAGGGGCAGATGGCCCCCTCCCAGACCCAGGAGGAGCAAAGTAAAAGAGGGAGCGACCCTCCCACCAGGAAAAGTGGGTTCCTCAATCTGGAATACCAGGTCAGCAGCTCCTCCTGGAGAGAAGACAGAGTGAGAGCAAAGGGCAGAGCTTTCCCTCCCCATACACAAATAGCTTGTTTACAAAAAGCCCAGGGCCAATGAAATGCTACATAAAGGTTAAAAGCAAAGGGATTTCCAGATGACTGACTCTGGGATCCATTTAACTGCTCCCTGCCAAATGCTTGCTAAAATGGTCAAAGGAAAAACACAGGAAAATCTATATTCACATGTAAACCAGCGAGGAGGCCAGACACATGCTAGAAGCCCTTGAGGTGAACTGGAACATAAGGCGGACCCCGCAGAGTGAGGAACCGGCCCAGTGCTGTGTCTGGTGGAATTGGCCCACACCGACTCACTCACATTTCCACAAGGCTGAAAGACCAGGATAGCTGAAACAATAGGGCTAGAATTTACTTCTCAATTCAATCAGCTTCACTTTTGCTAAATGCGTAGTCTAGGAAAAGATTGCCCTGAGCACGGCAGTGTTTAATACGATCTTCTAGTCAGTCTTCAGTTTACAGATGAGAAGCCTGCACTGGAGGGGCACTGGTTTGTTCAAAGCCACCAGTCTATTAGGTTTTGAATCCAATTCTCCTTACCCTCTGCAGCAGTGTGGCCCTCACCAGGGGAGAGGGGCCGGGAGGGGCTGGCAAGGGCTGGCAGGGGGTCCTGTCCTCTGTCTGGGATGTGTTCTCCTGCCCTGGTCTTTCAGAGGGGATCCTCCTGTTGTGCTTGAGAATGGTGGTTGCTGTGTGCTTGGGTTCCTGTACAGTCCAGCTGTGCTTAGACCATGGCTTTGTGTGGGTGGGCTTCTATAAACCACCTCTCTGGGCAGATTTCTCTAATCTCTGCTTTTTTATTTTTATTTATTTTTATTTTTTGAGACAAGTTCTAGTTCTATTGCCCAGGCTGCAGTGTAGTAGCACAATCACAGCTCACTGCAGCCTCAACCTCCTGGGCTCAAGCAATTCTCCCACCTCGGCCTCCATAGTAGGTGGGACCACAGGCGTGTACCACCACACCTGGCTAATTTTTTCATTTTTTGTAGAGACGGAGGCTTACTATGTTGCCCAGGCTAGTCTCAAACTCCTGGGCTCAAGTGATCCACCCACCTTACCCTTCCAAAGTGCTGGGATTATAGGCATGAGCCACCACTCCAGGCTAATCTCTGCCTCCTTAGCCCCCTAACCAGGCCCCCTGCCTTTCTTGCTGCTCTTAAAACCACAGGCCCCAGAGACAGAAAATAAGATGGAAACCTGTCCACATCACTTCCTTACTTGAAGCCTTCCTCAGCAACCCGTCACTTCAGCACCCAGCAAGGATGCCCTCAGGTCTGAACTCCATGTGCATTTCCACCCCTCCCCTGCCAGCCCACTTTGTAGGGGACATCTCATATATAGTCCCCAGCCCAGCCGCTCTTACTGCCTCGGTGCTTTGCTCATGCTGGTCCACCTGCCAGGAACACCCTTCCTACAGCCTGTTGGTTCCTGCTTATCCTCCAGGCCAGCTCAGTCTTTATCTGAAAGACAGCAGCCAGCTGTCCCCTCATCCTTGCACTCACTGTATCCTGATCAGAAGGATGTCTGTCTGTCTTCCCACCAGAGATCTTTGACCCACAAGGTCAACACCGTAAACGCCTGAGCTCACCTGAACCTGATGTCACGAAAAGTGCAAGAGTAAGCCGGGTGCGATGGTTCATGCCTATAATCCCAGCACTTTGGGAGGCTGAGATGGGGAGATCACCTGAGGTTGGCAGTTGGAGACCAGCCAGACCAACATGGCTGTATTAGTCTGTTTTCATGCTGCTGAATCACTTGAACCCGGGAGGCAGAGGTTGCAGTGAGCTGAGATCTTGCCACTGCACTCCAGCCTAGGTGACAGAGCAAGACTCCATCTCAAAAAAAAAAAAAAAAAAAAAGGGCGCAAGAGTATTTTAGTTTGGCAGGCTTGGGCTGCACCCCCAACTCTGTCACTTGCTACAGGTCTATCTCGAGGAGTGTTACTTTACCTGTTTTCCTCGCCTGTTGACTGCTGTTAAACCACTGGTAGCTTGAAATTGGCCATGGTGGGAATATTGACAACATGGAAATTGGCAGATGCTACAAATGGATGCTTTTTTTAAAATGCTGGCTGTTTAAGCATTTGTGGGACTGACTACCCCGTAAGTCACCAAGTAAGAAGACATGAATCTCTAAGTTGGAGGGACCCATGGCACAAGTGGCCTGCACCCCACCTGTATCCCTGTGACTTTTCAGTGTGCTCTGGCCAGCTTCCACTTCCAGCCTCTGCAACTAGAAATGAGGCTCTTGCTCCCAGAACTGCCCATGCCTGACAGGATGGAACTGCCAAAGACCTTATGATGCAGGGCAGGCAAGCCCCAAAGTGGAGCTCAGTCCACAAGGGTTCTTGGCTTTGCCCAGGAAAGAATTCAAGGGCCAGAGGTAAAAGAAAACAGCTTTATTGAAAAGACGGTGTTATAGCTCTGTGACTGTTCCTGCACAGCAGGGCTACCCCATTGGCAGAGAGTAGCTGCTCAGGGCACTTTTGCAATCGTATTTACACATAGTTTTAATTGCATGCAGATAAAGGGGCAGTTTATGCAGAAATTTCTAAGGAAAGGGTGGTAACTTTGAGGTCATTGCTTTGAAAAGGGGTGGTAACCCTGGGTGTTGCCATGGCAACAGTAAACTGACTTAACACACTGGTGGCTGTGTCAGATTGAAAGCTGCCTTCACCCCAGCCCTGTTTTAGCTAGTCCTCAATCTAGACCAGTGTTTGAGCCCCACCTCTGGAGTCAAGTCTCACCTCCTATCTCACAACCCCAGAAATAGCTTTTAACAAATGACTCTCTTGAGGGTTGGGGTGTAAATGCCCCAGCTCCCCCACCCCTTGGGTGGGGTAGTTCTGAGTTGAGTGTTTTGTATCACTTCCCACAGTTTCCCCTAAAGGCCTCAGATGCCCACTGAAGTAGACAGCTGAATCACGTGGGGGATTTTTCACACTTTGACCTTTGAAAGTCTTTACTAGTTTCCATGCTTTTCTAAATATAATTTTTGCTTGATTTTTCTTGTTACAGAAAAATATGCCCATTAAAACTTTAGAAAATACAAAAAAAGGCTGGGTGCAGTGGCTCACGCCTGTAATCCCAACACTTTGGGAGGCCGAGGGGATCGGATCACCTGAGGTTGGGAGTTTGAGACCAGCCTGACCAACATGGAGAAACCCCGTCTCTACTAAAAATACAAAAAAGTAGCCAGGTGTGGTGGCACATGCCTGTAATCCCAACTACTCGGGAGGCTGAGGCAGGAGAATCGCTGGAACCTGGGAGGTGGAGGTTGCAGTGAGCCGAGATCACGCCATTGCACTCCAACCTGGGCAACAAGAGTAGAACTCTGTCTCAAAAAAAAAAAAAGAAAAAAAGAAAAGAAAAGAAAATACAAAAAATTGTTATAATTTTTGACTCTTATTAGTTTTAAATATTGGTATGTGAGTACATCTATAAATGTATCTTCCTTACTCTTTCTCCACAGCCTTACCTGCACTTCCCGAATGAACTACTTATATCTGAAATCTCATCTTAGGGTCTACTTCTGGAAGAACTCTAGCATAATACCAGTAGAACTCCACAAAACTGAAAAGCTCAAAGCAGCAGGTGGCAGAGAAGCAAATGCCACCAGGTATCACTGAGGACTAAAGCTCAGCGCTGATGTTGCCCCTGCTGAAGGGGCAGGAGGGCTGGCCCATCCCATGGTGCCACAGGCTGTGGCCACATCTCACGCCCTCCTGCGCTGATGTTGGAATGAGGTGTGGGTTGTTCCTGAGGTCCAGCTAACTTTGGGCTGCTACAACAAAGAGAAAAACCCTTGGGCGCATCAGTAAAGTCACTACACAGCTTCACTCCTTGGTTGGGTCCCTCGATAACCAAGTCTCCAAGAGCAAAAGGACAGAGAATCCAGCCTGAACTGAGACAGCCTCAGCATCAGACAGAAGCCACACGGACACACTCCACTCCAGCAGAGAAGCAGCTCAGCACTCACAGATAGGCCCAGAGATGAAAAGGAAGAGGTCAACTGGGCACTGTGGCTCATGCCTGTAATCCCAGCTACTCAAGAGGCTAAGGCAGAAGCCAAGAGTTCAAGACTAGCCTGGGCAACATGTGAGACCTTGTCTCTAAAACAAATTTTAAAATCTTAGCCAGGTGTGGTGGCAGGAGGATTGGTTGAGCCCAGGAGTTCCAGGCTACAGTGAGATACGGTTGCACCACTGCACTCTAACCTAGGTGACTAAGCAAGACCCCCGTCTCTAATTTTTTAAAAAAAGGAGGAAGTTGGCCGGGCACGGTGGCTTATGCCTGTAATCCCAGCACTTTGGGAAGCCAAAGCGGGCAGATCACAAGGTCAGGAGTTTGAGACCAGCCTGGCTAACATGGTGAAACCCCATCTCTACTAATGATACAAAAAATTAGCTGGGCATGATGGTGCATGCCTGTAATCTCAGGTACTCGGGAAGCTGAGGCAGGTGAATCACTTGAACCCGGGAGGCAGAGGTTGCAGTGAGCTGAGATCAAGCCATTGCACTCCAGCCCGGGCGACAGGGCAAGACTCTGTCTCAAAAAAAAAGGAAGAGTTTGGCCAGGCACAGTGTCATGCTTGGAATCCCAGCACTTTGGGAGGCCAAGGCAGGTGGATCACCTGAGGTCAGGAGTTCGAGACCAGCCTGGCCAACATGGTGAAACCCCATCTCTACTAAAAATACAAAAATTAGCTGGGTATGGTGGTGGGCACCTGTAAACCCAGTTACTCGGGAGGGTGAGGAAGGAGAATCGCTTGAACCCGGGAGGCAGAGGCTGTAGTGAGCCGAGATTGCACCACTGCACTCTAGCCTTGGTGAGGCAGAGTGAGGTTATACCTGAGAAATGAGTACTGATGACCCTTAACAAATAGTTACTCCCCAAGAAATACGAGAAAACCTTAAAACAGAGTTTTCTCAACTAGTTCCACAGGAAACTAGCTGGTAGAGGTAGCAACAGGTGCTAAAGAGAAAAGGCTGCACCTGGGAGACACTGAGTGAAGCAAAGGTTCATGGTTGGCTTTTCCTTAGGCCTTCTTGGATCTGTGCTGATGTCCACTGAGATTCCCCAGGAGAAGGTACAGTGTGACAATCCCCAGAGCAGCTTGTAGGACTCACATTCCAAGCAATGCCAGCGTGGAAAAACAAGCATCATTTAATAAATAGGTATAAACAGGGAAGACATTTAATTCAAACATCTGTAAGGAAGTGACCAAAACTGATGACATTTTAGGCCACCAAGAACACCTCACAGGCACTAACAAGCCATCGTTTTCTCAGGCCACATTATCTATCCACCGTGCAATAAAAACAGAAATTAAAAACAAAAGGATAGACAACAACAACAAAAAAATGAAATCACTTGGAAATTTATGCCTAAATAACTTGAATCAAAGAAAGGAACAAAACTGCAGTTATGGGCCATTCAGAACGTCATGACAATTGGAACTCCACGTAGCCATACTTAGGGAATGAAACCGAAGTACGCCCCATAGCTGCAAATGTTTCTGTTATTCAACAAGGAAGACTGAAGGCAAATGAAGCATCCAACTTAAGGAGCTAGAAAATAAGCAACACGATAAACCCAGGGAGAGAAGCAGAAATACAGATAAAAACTAATGAAATAGAAAACATAAAAATCCATAGAACTGATAAATCAAAGACTTGGTTTCTTGTAAACAGCTGTAGGACACCCAGCCTTGTGGAAGCCCAATAAAGGGAGGGGTCACACGGCCAGGCGCGGTGGCTCATGCTTGTAATGCCAGCACTTTGGGAGGCCGAGGCAGGTGGATCACCTGAGGTCAGGACTTTGAAACCAGCCTGGCCAACATGGCGAAACCCCATGTGTACTAAAAATACAAAAGTCAGCCAGGCGTGGTGGCAGGCGCCTGTAATCCCAGCTACTCGAGAGGCTGAGATGGGAGAATTGCTTGAATCCAGGAAGTGGAGGTTGCAGTGAGCCGAGATCGCACCACTGCACTCCAGCCTGGGTGACAGAGCAAGACTCCGACTCAAAAAAAAAGGTTGTGGGGTGGGCAGGGGGAGGAAGTAGGAAGCAAGTGAGCGAGAGAGAACACAGAAACACAGTAGAGAAGTCAAGGAAATGTAATCAAAGACACAGAGGAGAGGTTTCAAATTAGAAGAGTATTAAATGCATGCAGTGTGCTAGTCAGCTGGGAGAGTTCAGTGGAGAACACGTGTCTTCCTCAGCTCGGGCTGCCCTAAGGAAATACTACAGACTGGGTGGCTTAAACAACAGAAATTTCTTTCTCACAGTTCTGGAGGCTGCAAGTCCAAGATCAAGGTGCCAGCAGGGCAAGGTAAGGCCTTTCTTCTTGGCTTGCTGATATCAGCCTTTTTTGCTCTGTGCACACCTGGCCTTTCCTCTGTGCAGGAGTAGAGAGAGCTCTAGTGTCTCCTCCTCGTCTCCTAGGGACACCAGTCCTATCAGATCAGGGCCTCATCCTTATGACCTCATTTAAGCTTAATTGCATCCTTCAAGGCCCTATCTCCAAAATCAGTCACATTGAGGGTTAAGGCTTGTGAAAGGAAAAATAAATCTTGGGACCCCAAAATCACTAAGCTAAAGGGAAAAGTCAAGCTGGGAACTGGTCAGGGCAAATCTGCCTCTCATTCTATTCAAAGTCTTCCCTCTGCTCACTGAGATAAATGCCTATCTGATTGCTTCCTTTGGAAAGACTAATCCGAAATGCAGAAGAATGCAACTGTTTGTCTTTTATCTGCCTATGACCTGGAAGCCCCCTCCCTACCTTTGTTGTTGTCCTGCCTTTGTTTCCAGTTGTCCCGCCTTTCTGGATGGAATTAATGTACATCTTACATATACTGATTGATGTCTCATGTCTCCCTAAAATGTATAAAACCAAGCTGAGCCCCGACCACCTTGGGCACATGTCGTCAGGACCTCCTGAGGCTGTGTCACGGGGGCATCCTTAATTTTGGCAAAAGGAACTTTCTAAATCGACTGAGACCTGTCTCAGATATTTGGGGGTCACAGGCTTCAACATATGAATTTGAGAGGGATGCAATTCAGTCCATAACAGCACACTTTTCTAGAAAAATGAGAATTGCCAAGAGAAGTAAAAAACCAGGGAATCAACTTTAAAACTGACAGAGGACTATTTCCCAACAGGGTGTGGGTCAGAGAGTTTAGCAGACAAGTTCTCTCAGACTTTCAAAGAATGTTTGTAGGCTGTTTAAGCCATCCAGAAAACAAAAAAGAGAATGTGCTCTGATTCAGTTTACAAATCTAGCATAGCTGTGACATGGAACCCGACAAAGACAACCAAACGTCACCCAGTCAGGCATTTTAACCAGAACCCAAGCGATTCCTGGCCACATTATAGTTTGAGAAATGCTACATGGTGCTACACTCATTGTCACTACATGAAGAGAGTTTTCTAAATAAGGTCCTTGAGTCAAAGGAGTTGGCAGGTGCCCAGACGGCTGAGACCAGAGAAGCCCTTGGGCAAGGGGTGGCCCACAGAGGTGGTCAGCATGGAGAAGCCCTGAGCCAGAGCCCAAAAGCCCATGGGGGCTACCTATGCTGTCCACACCTGTCTCCTGGACATGGCAGGGAGACTCAAGGAGCCAGAAATGGAGTGGCCACCCATACTAACGCCACATACACACAGCTTGAGTTTAGCATGCTTAGGATCTCCTTTAACCTGCAGGAGGTGCCTGGGGCAGAGGGCACAGTGTTGACACTAACTGCTACAGGGTATGAGGAGGCGGTCAGCTCGGTGTGCAACCTAACAATTGAACTGTCTGGAGAGGTAGTGAGCTCCCCATCGCTGTCTGACCATCCTCCAGGGATGCTCTGGGGGGCATGCCGGCCCTGGGAGAGAAGCTGGCCTGCATGACGTCAGACTCTCTCCTCGCCTGGAGACTTCAGATTCATGATGACTAATCCTCCGATGGCTGCATCCCACCCCATAATGATAATTGCTGACTCAGCTAACCAGGACATGCCATTTCTCATTTTCAGAAAACACTGTTTCTGCACACTCTGTGACCTCCTCTCCATGCCTGTGTTACCATCTGTTGGCAGCATCTCTCAGGATGAAGATCAGCAGGGAGGGGAGTGAGAGGAAAGCAGGTCCGATCTTATTTGCAGCGCTGGTCACACATGCACAGACAGGGTTGAAAAGTTTCACACAGACAGATGTGTGTGCATCCCTAGCTCCTCTTGGGTTGCCATGGTGAGCAACCTCTCAGGTCCCAGGCTCAGAGCAGGTGCCAGGAGGAGGCTGCAGGCTTGAGGACCATTCAAGATGTCCATTAGAAGCACAAACAGCCGGGCGCGGTGGCTCACGCCTGTAATCCCAGCACTTTGGGAGACCGAGGCAGGCGAATCACGAGGTCAGGAGTTCGAGACCAGACTGGCCAACATGGTGAAACCCCATCTCTACTAAAAATACAAAAAATTAGCAGGGCATAGTGGCGGGCACCTGTAATCCCAGCTACTCAGGAGGCTGAGACAGGAGAATTGCTTGAACCCGGGAGGCAGAGGTTGCAGTAAGCCGAGATCACACCACTGCACTCCAGCCCGGGCAACAGAGTGAGACTCCATCTCAAAAAAAAAAAGAAGAAGCACAAACAACCCCAGCCTTCCCTCTCTCCATAATGGACTGAATCTCAGCCTGCCACACTAATAGGTGCGTGGTCACAAAGAAACCTGCAACAGCAATGTCTTACTCCTCATTATGTGGATTTCAATGACGGATACAGTGCTTTCATTGTGATCTCCATATGCAGAATTTAAAAGCCTCTCTCAGCCAGGCACATGTAACCTAGGCTTTGGAAACCCTCGCAAATAATTTTTCAAGGACAATAAACCACAAACGATCAAAGACAACCAGAATTACAGAAGCCTGAAGACTCCAGCCTGGGCCACCTCTGGTCGGAAGCATGAAAAAGACTATGGCACTAGGGATTAAAAAGTCACTGTCAGCCGGGCATGGTGGCTCACGCCTGTAATTCCCAGACCTTTGGGAGGCCAAAGTGGGAGGATCACTTGAGCACAGGAGTTCAAGACTAGCCTGAGCAACATAGAGAGACTATATCTCTACAACAAATAAAAAAATCAGCCGAGTGTCATGGCTGGCCCCTGTAAGTCCCAGCAATCCGGAAGCTGAGGTGGGAGGATCACTTGAGCTCAGGAGTTTGAGATGGAGTGAGACTAAATCTTGCCACTGCACTCCAGCCTGGGTGACAGAGAGGGACTGTATCCCAAAAAGAAAAAAAGAAGATTGCTATCAGCATCATTGGCAGACACTGCACCAGGCTTGGGGGTGTGGAAGAGCAGATGCTGAACTCCCTGTTAACTCCCAGTAAGGACAACACTATAGTTCCTTTTAAAAAATATTATTTTAGGCCAGGCATGGTAGCTCACGCTTGTAATCCCAGCACTTTGGGAGGCCGAGGTGGGCGGACCACAAGGTCAGGAGATGGAGACCATCCTGGCTAACACGGTGAAACCCCATCTCTACTAAAAATACAAAAAATTAGCCGGGCGTGGTGGCAGGCGCCTGTAGTCTCAGCTACTCGGGAGGCTGAGGCAGGAGAATGGCGTGAACCCAGGAGGCAGAGCTTGCAGTGAGCGGAGATCGCACCACGGAACTCCAGCCCGGGCGACAGTGCGAGACTCCGTCTCAAAAAAAAATTATTTTAATATATTTTTTGAGACAGGGTCTCACTCTGCTGCCCAGGCTGGAGTGCAGTAACACAATTTAGGCTCACTGCAGCCTCAACTTCCCAAGCGATCCTCCCACCTCATCCTCCCGAGTAGCTGGAACTAGAGGCACGCACCACCACAGCAGGCTAATTTTTGTATTTTTTGTAGAGATACGGTTTTGCCATGTTGCCCAGGCTGGTCTCGAACTGCTGGGCTCAAGCAATCCGCCCACCTCAGCCTCCCAAAGTGCTGGGATTATAGGAGTGAGCCACTGCACCCGACCATATTTCCTTTAATAGTGGGCTGTAGGCTTGAAGAAAATGGGCTCTGTGTTACATGCATGATATGGAAGGTACAGTTTACCAAGGACACTCAGCAGAGCAAACCAGGAGCTATCCCTAGGGTGAGTGGGTTGGGGTACAGGGAACACAACTTCTTGGCCTCATACTCCTCATAGGAGCCAGCTTGGTTTGAGGCACTAGAATTCCACTGGTCTGGGGTAAGAGCCAGATCTCAAGATCTCAAGAAGCCCCAGGAGAGCACTGAGTAAGCCATTGATCCCCCACTCTGAGCTAGGACTTTGGGTTTTCTTCCATGGGGAAGAATATGCTCCGTGTGTGTGGAGAAAAGAGAAATGAATGCTGGTGACGAGAAGGGCAGACTGGGGAAGCCCTCAGGACTTCCCAAAGTTCCTATTCTCCTCCTTCTGGGCATGTGGAAAGACCGTACCTCCTTGCTCTTTGAAGTTAGGTAGGACTTACTTTGAACCATGAAACAGTAGCGGAAGTGATGTTTATCATTTCCTGGTGGAAGCTCGCGCATGACTCCCCACATCCTCTTCCTTCTTCTAGAAGGAAGCAAGTGTTGCTATGGAGGCTCCATCAGCCTGGCTCCATTAACCACAAGGAGCAGATCCCCAATACCCCTCCCCAACCCAGAAACCTGCTTTAGACTTGAAAGTGACTCATAAGCCTTCGTTGTTTTAAGCTACTGAAGTTTTGGCACTGTACGTTATTGCAGCCTAACCTTGCCTATCCTGACTGGCACACCCAGAATAAATGGTGTAGTTATGAAAGATGCCTTTTTTTAGAATCCTTTGTCTAATCTTTTGTCTATACCTGGGTTCCCATTACAATTTCTTACTATGACATCAGTGAGTGTCATGTTGCTAAATTGTCTGCATGTCATATGATAGTAACAAGACATCCCACATGTATGATCAGTTGCAATTATGTAACAATGTAGACAAAGCCAATCACTTCAATTCTCAAAAAAGGCTGAACACCATAGCTAGGATGTGGAGAGATGGAAAAAGTGTCATTTACAATGACAAAAAAAAAAGAAAAAGAAAAAACCATAAAGCATCATAGATTAATTTTTTTTTAACGTGCAAAAAATAGAAAGAAAACTACAAAGCCTACCTGAAAAGACACCATCAATAGAGCTTAGTAAATACCAGGAAACACACACACACACATACACACACACACACTCACACACACACCTTCCCCAAGGTCACATGGCTGGTAAGTGGCAGGAGGTAGAATTTGAATACAGTCAGCTTCCTTAACCACCACCAAGAATAGGATGGGTGAGCTTTTTCTATAATGGGCCAGACAGAAAACATTAGAGGTTTCTAGGTCATCTGGATTCTGTTGCAACTACTCAAATCTAGCTCAAAAGCAGCCAATGGACAATATATAAACAAATGGGTGTGGCTGTGCTTCAATAAAACTTTATTTACAAAAGCAGATAGCCATCTGGATTTGAATCATGGGCCCATAGTTTGTTGACACATGATCTAGAATAACAAATCCTTGAAGATAGTCAAGGCTTTTGGGGGGAAAACTAATAACAAGCAGAGACTTGCTCTATCAGATATCAGCACATAAAGCTACAAAAATTATTTGGAATTGCATTATATTTATGTATCAATTTAGGATGACTATGTAATTTATGTAATTTAGTTTACAGAGAATATTCATTTATGATTTTGAGTCTTCCTATTCAGGAATATGGTATTTCTCTACTGTCACTCAGATCTTGAGAAACAATTTAACAGGGTGGGGGGTGGGAAGGAGCTCCAGGCCAATTTTTAGAAGAAATCCTACCTAACACCAGACATGTAAATAGAATGTCAGAGGACCAAAACCACTAACACCCTGAGATATGTGTCAATTGCGTCCATTCAGACTTTGGTCCAGTTCTGTGAGGGACAACGGCAGGGTCGACCTAAGATGGGGCGTTTTATAGGAAATGTTTCCCATGTTAAGCTGAACACCAAAAGGCTTCACCTTCTGCGATATATGAATAGATTTAAACCCTTCCCCCACACCCAAGGAGACTAGGCTGCTGTGGGCCTCAGCAGAGCAGAAGGGTAAAGAAAGACGGCCCTGAGAATCACATCCAAAAACCAGCCCTGGCAAAGCGCAGGGGCTCACACCTATCATCCCAGCACTTTGGGGGGCTGAGGCGGGTGGATCACCTGAGGTCAGGAGTTCAAGACCAGCCTGGCCAACATGGTGAAACCCGTCTCTACTAAAAATACAAAAAATTAGCCGGGCATGATGGCAGGTGCCTGTAATCCCAGCTACTCGGGAGCCTGAGGCAGGAGAATCACTTGAACCTGGGAGGCGGAGATTGCAGTGGGCCAAGATCGCACCACTGTACTCCAGCCTGGCAACAGAGCGAGACTCTGTCTCAAATAAAACAAAAACAAAAACAAAAAACAAATACGTACAGTTAAAAGACTTAAGTCACAACATACATCCATGAGCAATTTTAGATGGCAGCATTCCCAAAGCCATCCACCCCTCCCAAGCAGTGCACAATAGCCTCTTCCTGATGACTTAGGCTGCCCATTGTGACCACCGGTGACTGCAGCTTGACATCATAGTATATCCGTGAGTCAAGCGGCTGTGGGTTTTTGGCTCTTGCATCTGCTATAGTTCTGTCTCGGGTGCCATTTGCTAACTCTGTTCTCTGTGTAGCTGCTTTTGGCAGCTCCTCATCTCTCTTCTAATCCACCACTCACAGTCCTAGAGAACAGACCACAAGTTAAGACCGTCACCTACAGAATCCCAAGGGCCAAAACTGGGCAGAGGACAACTCCATCCTTCTTACAAAAGGGCTTCTCCACAAGAAGCATTTCCGTTAGACTCTAGCAGTGAGATACCCTGCTTCAAGAATTTCTCATGGAGCCAGAAGCCTTTGAAATTTGCCCTTATGATCCTCACCACCGAATCCCACTCAGCAGATTCCAGTACCACCTGGCATCGTGCAGGAGAAAGAACCCCAAGAAAGCCAAAAAGATGGCCACCTGCAAATACAACGCCTGCCACGTGGTCCCCATCAAAAATCTGGAGGAACATGAGGCTGTTTGTGTCAACAGGAGCGCTGTGGAAGAAGAGGACACCGAGAACCCTCTGAAAGTCAGTCCTCCTAGTTCAGAGCAGAACGATGACACCCAGCAGGTCTCACCCTGCCTTCCCAGCCCCGATATCTGGAATGTCGATGGCGCTAATTGCCAGCATGTGTTTGTCCTTAAGACTTTTTTTCCTCAAAAGGTTGTTTGTGAAAATGACACGAAAGAGTCAGCAAGAGAGACCAGTCCCCAGAAGATCCTCAGACCAGGACAGTAAACTGCCAGCTGAGGAAGGAGCACACGCCTCATCAATGCATGGAAGAACGTGCAATGCATCAGAATAAAAGACATGCAAAGTAAACTACCCTGGGCTACCTCTTTTTTTAACCTGGCAGATTGATAAATATCAAAAGGCTTAAAATACTCTGCT
Source organism: Homo sapiens (assembly GCF_000001405.40). NCBI lineage: Eukaryota > Metazoa > Chordata > Mammalia > Primates > Hominidae > Homo > Homo sapiens. Next base: position 43,726,094 of record NC_000020.11, on the reverse strand, counting down.
GGCAAAGGTAGGGCAAAATGGGCACTTTCATAACATTGGTGAGAATGTCAGTTGGTACAACCTCCACAGAGGGCAATTTGACAATAGCTATAAACATTATCAATGCATACAGGCTTTGATTGAGCAATTCCACTTCCAGGCTTCATTCTGTAAATATAATCACACATGTGGAAAATGAGCTAAGTACTAGCTTATTCACTGCAGCATTATTTGCAGCAGCAAAAGAGTTAGAAATGAGCCAGGTGTGTTGAATCACAGCTGTAGCCTGTTACTCTGGGAGCTGAGGCGAGAGGATCGCTTGAGTTCAGCCTGGGCAACATAGTGAGATCCTGTCTTAAGCAACAAAAAAAAAAGTCAAAAATGACCTAAATATCCATTAAAAGGGCCTGATTAAAAATAAGTTATACTGCAGCCATACAACAAAATATTATGCCGCCTTAAAAAAAGTGAGGAAGCTCTTTCTGTGCTGATATAGAAAGGTTGAGACACACTGTTGAGCTCAGAGGTCAGCAAACTGTTTCTGTAAAAGGCCAGATGGCAAATATCTTAGCCTTTGTCAGCCACACAGTCTGTGTTGCAACTACTCGGCCCTGCCACTGCAACACGAGAGCAGCCACATATAATATGTAAACAAATGAACAGAGGTTCCAATAAAATGCCTTACAGCCACAGGTGGCAGGCTGGACTTGACTGGTGGGCCATGGTTTGCCAACCCCCAGTTTAACTGATAAAAACCAAGTCCAGGCCGGGCCCGGTGGCTCATGCCTGTAATCCCAGCACTTTGGGAGCCGGAGGCGGGCCAATCACCTGAGGTGTGGAGTTCGAGGCCAGCCTGGCCAACATGGCAAAACCCCATCTCTACTAAAAATACAAAATTTAGCCGGGCGTGTGGTGGGCACCTGTAATCCCAGCTACTCAAGAGGCTGAGGCAGGAGAATAGCTTGAACCCGGGAGCAGAGGCTGCAGTTAGCCGAGATCACGCCATTGCAATCCAGCCTGGGTGACAGAGCGAGACTTTGTCTCAAAAAAAAAAAAGGAAAAAGAAAAGAAAAAACAAAAACAAGTCCAGAGCAGTCTATACAGTATGCCACCATTTGGGGAGAGTTGCGGGAGAAGACATGAATATGTATGTGCTTGTTTTTGCATAAAATTTCTCTTTAAGGATACTCTAGAATGGAGATCTGTCCACAAAGCCTGAAATTTTTCAACCTGTTGCCTAATAGAAAAATTTGCTTGCCTCTTCACTAGAAACTGATATTGTCTGCCTCCAGGGAAGACAAGAGAGAGCCCTTCTTTACTATTGACTCTTTAGAATCTTTTACATGGGAATATATATGAATATGTTATCTGGTCAAAAATTAAACTATATTTTTTTAAACAGCAGGTAGAAGACTTAAGTCCTTTGAAAGTTTTTCAGGAGGAAATCTTAACTGTTAAGTTTTTTTTTTGTTTTTTTGTTGAGACAGAGTCCTCGCTCTGTCGCCCAGGCTGGTGTGCAGTGGCGCAATCATAGCTCACTGTAGCCTCAACCTCTAAGGCTCAAGCAATCCTCTCGTCAAAGCCTAACAACTAGCTGGGACCACAGGCGTGCACCACCATAACTGGCTAGTTCTATTTTTTTGTAGAGATGGGGTCTCACTATGTTGCCTAGGCTCACTGCTTTTTTTTTTTTTTTTTAAGTAATCATAACTTTGCCACCCAGCTGGCCCCTTCAACTGCTTACACGAAGTATTATAAACAAAGACTTCTTGGGGGGATAAAAAGTTCTGGATGGCAGTGATTAATGAAGTGCATGAACTAGAGAACTGACATACAGGAAATAGGGGGAAAAAGTGATGTGGAGAATATATGTCTATAAACCATAGGCCAACAGGACCAGGAAAACTTACTCTTCCTGAAACTCCCTGAATTGGGCCATAAGGGAGTGAGCCTAGTGGAAGCGCTACCCACAGGGGCTCTGTCAAGACAGAGCAAGATAGAGCTGACGTCTGTCACTATGTAGTGGCAGCCTGGAGCATTCTGTAGGTATCCTCCAAGCTCCCAAAAGGCAGCTGGCCACCAGGCAGTGGGGAAAGGCAGCCCCACCAACCCTGGGCAACAGGCAAGCTTTGCAGGTTCATGCTGAGGGTTCCTGGCAAAGAGAGTGCGGTGGAAAAGCTGTGTCTTGGGGCAGAGGGTGCTCTGGCTGGCAGAGGAAGAAGAGAGAGGAACTATATTCAGGTCAGGTGCCTTGCTGAAATAATTCCATTAAATCCAGGCCACAAAACTGAGGAGCAAGTATTTTTATCTCCAATATACAGATATGAAAAGTGAGTTTCAGAAAAGCTAAATGACAGCCGGGTGTGGTGGCTCACACCTGTAATTCCAGCACTTGAGGAGGCCAAGGTGGGCAGATCACTTAAGGTCAGGAGTTCAAGGCCAACATGGCGAAACCCAGTCTCTACTAAAAATACAAAAAAATTATCTGGGCATGGTGGTGTGTGCCTGTAATCCCAGCTCCTCGGGAGGCTGAGGCAAGAGAATCACTTGAACCCAGGAGGCAGAGGTTGTAGTGAGCCGAGATTGCACCACTGCACCCCAGCCTGGGCAATAGAGCAGAACTCCGTCTCAAAAAAAAAAAAAAAAAAAACCTAAATAATGTGCCTTGGTTCACAAAGTTAGTGCATGGCAAGTGGCCTAATTGAATCCATCCCCAGCAGTTCCACTCCTAGATATGTATAAACCAGATGTGCATGACAGTTCACCAAAACATGAGGATGACATGTGCATAACAGCACTATTTTTTTTTAATTTAAAAGTAAACTTTAATTTCGAAAATGCAGACGTGGAGAGGGCAGACAGATCACACACAAGGCTACCACTTCACACTTGGAGGGTGGCACAGCAGCTGGGCAAAGCTGCTCCTCACTTCCCAGATGGTGTGGCAGCCAGGGAGAGGTGCTTCTTACTTCCCAGACTGTGGGGTGGCGAGGCAGAGGTGCTAACAGCACTATGTGTAATAGTCAGTCTGGAAGCAATCCACACATCCTTTGAGATAATGGGTAAATTGTGGAAGTCACACAACGAAAAACCAATATTGTAAATTTCAAAATTGAGAAGAGTAGACTTTAAATGGTCTCAACACACAAAAAAAGCACGTGAGGTGATAGATATGTGAATTAGCTTGGTTTAATCATTCTACTGTGTATGTATAAACATATCAAAACATCACATCATACCCCATAAACATATACAATTATTTGTCAATTAAAATTAAATTGGCCAGGTGTGGTGGCTCATGCCTCTAATTCATCCCAGCCCCACTTTGGGAGGCTGAGGCAGGAGGATCACTTGAGCCCATGAGTTCAAGACCAGCCTGGGCAACATAGTGAGACCATGTCTCTATAAAAACATTTAAAAAAATTAGCCGAGCGTGGTGGTGCACCTGCAGTCTCAGTTATTCGGGACGCCTGAGGTGGGAGGATCCCTTGAGCCCAGGATTTCAAGGCTGCAGTGAGAAAATCATATCACTACACTTCAGCCTAGATGACAGAATAAGACCATGTATAAAATAAAATAAAATATAGAAAATAAAATAGAAAATAAAACAAAATGGTCATGAGAATGAACAAATGATAACTACCCAGATCTACTTGGATGAATCTCACATAATGTGAAATTCTGTTGACATAATATTTAACGAAAATAAAAAGGCAAAGCAAAGCTGGTGTTTGATGTTAGGATGGCGGTTACCCTTCGTGGGTGGAGAGGGGGTTTCCAGTGCTGCTCTTGTTCTGTTGTTTGATCTGGGTGCTGGTTATGCGAGTCTGTTCACTTTGTGAAAACATATCCACAGCCACGTGGGATTCATGCACTCTTCTGTATGAATATTGCACTCCGATGGAAAGATTTTAACTGAACCTCTATCTAACGCTTACGGTTTTCTTCTATGGCACCATACTCCTACCCTGGCTGACAGGTATTGTCATTGGCTGCTGCCATCACATGGGCTGCAGCAGGGAGGCACCTGTGGCAGGGAAGCGCAGCGGGAGCTGCACACTCCATGGATCTGGTGCTCCCCAGGGGCCGCTGCAGCTGCCCAAATCTCAGCTGCCAACCCAGGCCTCCAGCTCCACAGAGCAGGCAGGAACCCTGCCCTACTGGACAGGGCTGCAGCTGCCCAAACTGCAGCTGTGGATCCAAGCCTTCCCGTGCTCTTAGCGGGGCTGGGAGCAGGCAAGATCTGCCTGTCTGGGTGCAGCTGCAGCCACCCGACTGGCGGCTGCAGACCTGGGCCTCCTGCTCCACAAACTAGGCAGGAGCTGGGGACAAGCAGGATCCCCACCCCTTCCAAGTTGGCGGGGCGGAAGCTCCCTGGGTGCAGCTGCAGCGGCCCTCCCAAGTGCAGGACCTGGGTATCTCTGCAGCCTGCATTCTCAGGCGGGGAATGCTCCCCATCCCTGCAGGCTCAGGGGTGTCTGCTCCCGCTGCCTGGACTATCTCCTCTCCAGGCACCTGCTCCAATCTGGGAGCAGGGTTGGGGCTGCACCCCAGGGGCCATGAATGGCAGCGGGAGTCAGATTCCTGGGCAGAAGGGGGCGAGTCCCCAGTAAGGCCCCTCCTTCAGGCCAGGGAGGGCCTGAAGGCTGGGAGCCAGCTGCCAGTCCTGAGGGCCGGAGTGGGGACTTGTGGTGCTCCCTCCCTGCTGCCCATGGCCACCCACAGAGCAATCAGCATGCACTTCACCCCCTCTGAGGTCTATAAAAGTCCCGGGCTCAGCCAGAGCAGGAGAGAGGACAGAGAAAGGGATGACCAGCTGCAGAGAGGAGCTACTGTCTCTGCTGGTAACTGGAGATAATGGGACAAACAGTAGCAGAGAGGAGCAACATCCTCCAGGGCCTCCTCTCCGCTGAGAGTTAACACTGCAGACCATCTGCCTACAGACAGAAGTTACTCACTGAGGGTCTCCTGTGAACTGTTGTAACACTCAATAAAGTTTCTCTTAATCATGTTCACCTTCCACCTGTCTGCGTACCTCCTGGACACAGGACAAGAACTCGGGTAAAGGTGCCATCAGCCACAGATGTTTCTGGCCAGAAAAGTGACAACCCAAAGAGCCCATAACAGTATGACACAGAGGATGGCATGGAATGGGGCATACTAAAATGCCAGACTTGCTGTCCAGGATTGGGCTCAAGTCCTGACTCAACCACTGTCTACCATCTTCCCTCCCAGCACTCACCTGAAACGTGGGCACTAATTTCTCCTTTGCAGGGTATATTGTGTGTAACAAAGAAATGAGAAACATGTAAAAACATACTAAGTAATAACATACTAAGAGCCCATGTTATCTGAGCACCAAGTATGTGCCATATTCTTCCCAATCCCTTCAACAAGTCTGAAGTTGAAGGATTCTCCCTATTTTACAGCCAAGGAGCCAAGGCTCAGTGCATTGAAGAGACACACAGCTCCCAAGAGCTAAGCTGGGTTTACACCCAAGTCTGTCTGATCCAAAGTAAGAGCTCTACCCAGGACTGCAGGAGGACCTGGGAGAGTCTGCCAGATGCCATGAGCCATATCTCTCCCCACTGCCTTCAGCTCTGGGGAACAAGACACAGGTATGGTCACAGTGGCTTTGAACTCCAGAATCCTTCACCCCATTCATTTCCCGCAAAGTTCCTGGAACCCTAGGTCTCCTGTTTCTCCCCAACCCTGATGAGCCCATGGCTCAGTGTTGATTTTCCTCAGTGATACACCAGGGTCTGCTGAAAAAGTGGCTAATTAAGACTCCCAAACTACTCCTGGCCTATCAAAACTGCTCCTGCCCCAGTCCCTGCCTTGCTCTGAGAAGGACATTTTATCTTTATCCTGGACCACCTTAAGTACTCACATGTCCCAGTTCCTCATGCCAGCATCTCTATCAGTCAGCTTCTGCTGTGTAACAAACCATCCTCAATCTTAGGGCTTAAAGCAATACTGATTTATTATTCTCATGACTTTGTGATCAGATGGGCAGTTCCTCCAGTCTGGGCCAGATCAGGTGAGGCTGGATGGTTTAGGGTGGCCTTACTCACGTCTGGAGTCTCAACCAGAACAGCTAGAATTCTCACCTCCTTCAGCAGATTCTCCCAGAGTCCCTCAGGGGCAAAGTCAACCACATGACCCACTCATGGGAATAGCTACAGGGAGCAGTGATCCCTAGGGAGCCATTGCTGGAACAATCTACCACAGCCTCTATATCTGTGAGCCTCTCACCTCCAGGCCATGCTGGTCACCAAATGCCAGACAATCATCTGGATCTTGCCAGAATGGCAGATTCACCCTCTGCCATTTTTTTTTTCCAAGATAGTTTTGCTCTTGTTGCCCAGGCTAGAGTAAGTGCAATGGTGCGATCTTGGCTCACCGCAACCTCCGCCTCCTGGGTTCAAGCGATTCTTCTGCCTCAGCCTCCAAAGTAGCTGGGATTACAGGCATGCGCCACCATGCCCGGCTAATTTTGTATTTTTAGTAGAGACGGAGTTTTTCCATGTTGGTCAGGCTGGTCTCAAACTCCCGACCTCAGATGATCTGCCTGCCTCGGCCTCCCAAAGTGCTGGGATTACAGACATGAGCCACCACGCCCAGCCTCCCTCTGCCATCTTAACTAAGCCTCATCTTTCCCTCCTGCCTGTCCCTCTCCCAGGCTGACCGCAGCACCCCCACTCCTGTACTACCATCCTGAACTCAGGCCCTCTGCCCCTCAGCGCTATCTGGCTAACTCTTTCTTGCTTGCCACACTAGCCTGGGAAACATCAGGCCTGGATCAATCCTCATGACCAAGTTCCCCAAACTCCTGATCAAACAGCAGCTGGGCCCCCAGCACCTCCTGAGTGGCAACCAATCTGCCTTCCCATGTGGGCTCTCCCTGTCCCCATGATGGCCAGGAGCTGTCAAATCTGACTCCTCCCCACTTTCTCTGAGCAGATGACTGGCCTCACGGTACCCCCTGCTTTACTTCAAAGTTCCCTCTGGCACATTTTATATCAATTGGTTGGTTTATATCTGTCTGCTTTTTAGAATTTAAGCTCCATGGCCGGGCGCAGTGGCTCACGCCTGTAATTCCAGCACTTTCGAAGGCTGAGGCACGCGGATCACAAGGTCAGGAGATCGAGACCATCCTGGCTAACACGGTGAAACCTTGTCTCTACTAAAAATGCAAAAAAAAAATTAGCCGGGCATGGTGGTGGGTGCCTGTAGTCCCAGCTACTCGGGAGGCTGAGGCAGGAGAATGGTGTGAACCCAGGAAGCGAAGCATGCAATGAGCCAAGATCGCACCACTGCACTCCAGCCTGGGCAACAGAGCAAGACTCCATCTCAAAAAAAAAAAAAAAAAAAAGAATTTAAGCTCCATGAGAATAAGGTAGTTTTTTGGTTTTTGTCTTTTGAGATAGGGTCTTGCTTTGTCACTCAGGCCGGAGTAGAGAGGCACAACCACAGCTCAAGAGATCCTCCCACCTCAGCTTCCTGAGTAGCTGGGACTACAGGCATGAGCCATCATGCTATCATGCTAAGTTTTTAAAATTTTTTGTAGAGATGGGGTTTCACCATGTTGCCCAGGCTGGTCTCAAACTCCTGGGCTCAAGTGATCCTCCCACCTCAGCCTCCTAAAGTACTAAATTACAGGCATGAGCCACCACACCTGGCCTGGTTTCTATCCTTTACTGCTATATCTTCAGCACTACAACTATGCCAGACATGTGGGGGTAGGGTTGGAGGGTCCCTCAATAAATGTGGTTTTGTTTTTGTTTTTGAGACAGTGTCTCCCTCTGGTTGCCCAGGCTGGAGTGCAGTGGAATGATCTCAGCTCACTGCAGCCTCGACCTCCTGGGCTCAGGTGATTCTCCCACCTCAGCCTCTCGAGGAGCTGGGACTAAAGGCACATGCCACCATGCCCAGCTAATTTTTTCTATTTTTTTTTTAGTAGACAGAGGGTTTCATGATGCTGCCCAAGCTTATCTCAAACTCCTAGACTCAAGCAATTTGGCCTCCTCGGCCTCCCAAAGTGTTGGGATTACAGGCGTGAGCCACCATACCCGGCCTAGTATTTATTTAATGCATGAACCAAAGAACAAGCCCACAGCACACAGAGCTCAGTGAGGATGGTATGTTAAGCTTGCTGTTACCTGCAGCCACTCTGTTCTTTACAGCCTCCTCCCTCCAGGACAGGAAAGGGCCTGAGGGCAGTCCCTGGGAATGAGCAAGACCTCAGGCAAGAGAGGGCATGGGGTACAAGCCCCTGGAGCCTCACAGGCGTCAGCTCAGAGTGTAGCCAGTCAACGCCCTGCATGTGAATAACCCACTGGTGGTTTGTTAAAAATCCCTTTTTGCAGGCTCCACCCCAGGTACCTGACTCAGAGGGCCCAGGAATTTTCATCATTAGCCTGCAGCGCACTGCATTTGAGTTTGACAAAGTTGTTCCACCGAGTCTTGGTGTGAGCTATAGGAGACAAGGTAATGCAGCCTCCATCCTCACCGTGGGGCACAGGTCATCCACCTTGGGTGACCAAGGACTGTAGGGAGCGGCCAGTGACAGACCTTGGGGAAGAAGTTGGGGAGGGGATAGGCTCCATGCTGACAAATCACAAAAGCTCAGGGCGTGAGTTAGGTGTGGTTCATCCATGGAACCTGCAGGTGCATGCAGCCCAGCCACATGGGCTGCGGGGTGCGGGGTGCAGGGTGGGAAGCACAGAGCCCCCGCCCCTCCTCGGCTTTAGATCAAGAACTGGGACACTGCCAGGACCAAGCACGGCATGCCTGCATGTGAATGGACAGGAGTAGGGGGACTGTAGGCGGGAGCTCAGCAGGGAGAAAGGGGTGTGTCTGAGGCCAGACACATCTGAACTCTGGCACCCTAATTAACTCAGTCCCCATCCCTCTAGAGTTGGCCGCATCTCTTGCCCCAGGTGAGGACCTGCCCCAAGTCTGCTCAACCTCTGCCCACAGGGATGTTCATGTGCCTGTCCCATGAAGCCTGCTGCTGAAAACATCAATTCCTCATTTAGACATTCTCAGACTTGGCATCTTCCCCTCTTCAATCCCCAGTGACTCTTCCCAACCACCTGCCAAGCACTGTGCTCTGTAGCCACAACCCTAGGGATTTAGGGCCACAAGGGCAGAGGCTCTGGCCCATCCTGGCCTCCTGCTCAGCCTTGGCCAATGGGGCTAGAGGGTTCTGCCCAGCTGCCTTCACCCCTCTTCCTTGCTTACTGGTCTGACCTGGGGGCCACGCTCAGCTTGAGGCAGGGGCTTGTTAATGGGCAGGTGAGCCACCCAAGGCAAGGGCCAGGCAAGGCCCTACTGCACCAACCCATCGTCCTCCTCCGCCCCCAGTCTCTGCCCACCCCCGCCCAACCCCATGGCTATTAATACTCAGAGCTTTGCAGAGATGCCCACTGGGTGCAGAGACGAGAGAAATTGCTCTCATCTCATTGTGCCCCTCTGTGGAAACAGGGTCAAGGGCTCAGGCCTGGGCTGTGCCGATAAGGCTGGCCTCTGAGGATGAGCATTCAGGTCCCTATATCCCAGAAGAGGCCCCTAGGTCACCAGGGAACCATGAGCAGGGCCCAGTAGAGAGGCAGAGTCCAGACCAGCACAAAGAGAGAGGCAATTTTATTCTTCCAAAAAAATGCACCAAGAGAGGGTGAGCACAGGAGCACCCCTGGCCACATCCCCCATCCTAAGCAGGGTCTGAGATGAGGCCAGGCCTGACGTGGGCTTGGGAGAAGCTGACGGAGCTCCCTGTGGCCTTGGGGAGGGAACCAGGCAGACCTGGAAGTGGAACTTTGTTGTTAGCACCAGGAGCCGCCCACAGCTGGGCTCGGCAACAGGGCAGCACATGGCCCTGTTGCCTCCACCTGAGAGTCTGGGGAGGGGCTGGTGGCAGAAGGCTCCCTGCAGGAGGTCACCTGAATGACTCTCAGATTCACAGACCCCCTCTGCCCCCACAACCCCTGTAAACATGAGAATGGGCTCGTGACACCCTCAACACCTCAGGACAAGATGAGGGTCCGAGATGTGTGGCTGGGCTTCAGGCGGCCCAGGAGCTGCCGGGCTTTCTCCTGCATGAAAAGCTGGTCCCTGGTCCCCCCGCAGGCCACCGTCTTCCAGGCACTGGACATCTGGGAGGAGGCAAGAGGGTTACCATCCAGGCAGGGACTATGTGTTCCCAACAGACCCTGGTGATCCTGGCCAGGGAAGGGTAGAGTTATAAGCCTCCCTCCCCTAGAAGCCAGAGCCTTCTTATTCTCTCTCCACATTCCCTGTGACCCTGGACAAGTCACTTCCTGGCTGTGGGCTTCCTCAACTGTAAGTAGGACGCTGGACAAGGAGACATGGCCATGCACTGCCCGCCCCGTGCAGCACCAGCCTCGAGGAGAAGCCACAGCCAGGAGGCGGGTGAGAAGGAGCAGTGAGACGGGTCAGCAGCCTGAAGCCAGCCCCTGCTTGAGGACAGACATGTACTAAGCAAACCAAATACAGGGATAATGACTTAGTTACAAGTGAAACCCAGGCCACAAAAGAGAGAATGGCAGAATGGGGGTATCTCTACAGAATGTAGGGTCAGAGAAGGCTTACCCCTAAGGAAGCAGCATTGAGACTGAAATCAGAAGAGTAAGTTAAGCAAATGCAGCCACGGGAAGTAGCAGGAAAAGCACCCAGGCAGAGGAACAGCCTATGCAAAGGCCCTGAGCTAAGAAGGCGGGCACTGCAGGACCCCCAGGGATGGCCAGCACTCAGCCCTGAGCTAAGAAGGCGGGCACTGCAGGACCCCCAGAGATGGCCACAGCACTCACAGGGGCAGGTGTCGTGAAGTGGCTTCGGGGCTTCTGGGCCACTGCTGCCTTCTCGGGCTTGGCCTGCAAGAAGCCCTGGTTGAGCAAGCTGTTGTCTTCTTTGATACCTGACAGGGTGAGGCTGGAAGAGTTTGAAGGGGCAGTTGTCGGCTGAAACCAAAACCAAGTCAAGGAGTCACCATTTTGCGAGAAGCTGTGAGAGGGAAGAAAAAAACCCGCAATCCCACCCCAGCACCACCACCTGGCTGCTGAGACCTGAAAGAGGATACACACTTTTCCAAGCCTCAGTTTCTGCTTTCAGATAGGGAGTTTACATGAGCTTAAGCTTACTTTATACTTAAAAGATTAAGCAAAGGGCCAGGAGCGGTGGCTCACGCCTGTAATCCCAGCACTTTGGGAGGCCGAGGCAGGCGGATCACGAGGTCAAGAGATCGAGACCATCCTGGTCAACAGGGTGAAACCCCGTCTCTACTAAAAACACAAAAATTAGCTGGGTGTGGTGGTGGGCGCCTGTTGTCCCAGCTACTTGGGAGGCTGAGGCAGAAGAATGGTGCGAACCTGGGAGGAGGTGGAGCTTGCAGTGAGCCGAGATTGCACCACTGCATTCCAGCCTGGGAGACAGAGCCAGACTCCGTCTCAAAAAAAAATTAAGCAAAGAACTTAATCTTGTTCTAAAGAACTTTCTTACTTAAAAAAAAAAAATCAAGTAATCAAGTAAAGAAACGTGTGTGCGTTTCAGAGCCTGATTCAGTGGTGTGTCTGGAGGCACAGTCAAGTACGTGGGGGCACATCAGCCCTGGGATGGGTGCCGTGCAGCCCCCAGGCCATAATAACATAATCAATAAATGTGGAGTATCACTGAGCATTATCCAGTAATAACATACTCAATAACGTTGGCTTTGTCACATAAAGCCTCAGGAGGAGCCAAGGCTGTTCCTAGTTTTCCTGGGACCAGAAACATCCACAAGCATCATAAAGACGCAGCTTCAACCCCAAGCACAGCGGAGTTGCACAAAGCCCCTCCCACGCCCTTCCAGTCTCTCTGCTCTGCTTGGCACTGTGCCCTCCTGACTTAGGCTTGGCACCCCTTTTATAGGCTTTTAACTGGGGCTCAGGGAACCTGAAAGATCCCAGAGAGCAGTGATGGTGTCATAACTCAAACCCAGGCCCACCTGACTCAATCTGTGCTCTTCACTCCCTGCGGTGATGTTTTTTTCTTTGCAGTAACCTGGCTGCAGGTCCCCAGCCTGTCAGAGACCCCTAGCCAGGACAAGGTTTCTCTGCAAGGACCGTGAGGGCAGCAGTCTACTTGGAAGATCAGGCAACCCTTAACCTTTGTTCATGACGCCGCCATGCCTCTCACCGCCTCCCCACTCTGAGCCAGGGCAAGCCAACTCACCCCATTGTGAGCAGAGAGGGATCAGCAGCACACCCTGGCTTCTGGGGACCCAGGCTCTGCACAGGCAACAACCCCCTTTCTGAGGTCGACCTCACTGTAGCACCCGGCACAGCAAGTCCACTGGCCTGGGGGCTGTATAGCACCCATCCCAGGACTAATGTGCCCAAGTGCCTGGCTATACCTTAAGACACATTACTAGGCTGGGCACGGTGACTCACGCCTGTAATCCCAGCACTCTGGGAGGCCGAGGCAGGCAGATCACCTGAGGTGGGGAGTTCGAGACCAGCCTGACCAACATGGAGAAACCCCGTCTCTACTAAAGATACAAAATTAGCCGGGCGTGGTGATGCATGCCTGTAATCCCAGCTACTTGGGAGGCTGAGGCAGGAGAACAACTTGAACTCGGGAGACGGAGGTTGCAGTGAGCCGAGATGGCACCATTGCACTCCAGCCTGGGCAACAAGAGCGAAATTCCAATTCAAAAAAAAAAAAAGAAAAAAAAAGACACATCACTGACCCTCTCTGGGAGAGCGCAGGAGACCCAGATGCATGTTTTTAAAACATGTCCTAGCCGCGCAACTCTGCCAAACAAAACCTTCTGTGAGAGACAAGCAGAGCTGCTGACTGAAGCCATGAGTGGGTGCCCGGACCCACCCTCCCTGATAGCCCCTCCCTGCAGAGCCCAGGGTTCCAGAAGCCCAGTTGGAGAGTCACTACACTAACTCCACCTTGAGGGTCCTCTCCAAAACTCAACAGTTCCAAGGAGCAGAAGCCTTACCAAGGATAGAGACTTGGGCAGTGTGGACATCATCAGCTTCACATCCTCATCCACAATGTCAAGAGCCAGAGACTTCCGGACTTTCTTGATGGGGCTCCGCCGCAGCTAGGGGTTGGCAGATAGAAGGGGGTTAGGGTGAGTGTCTGGATTCCCCATGGTCAGCACCTGGATGGTCATGGCCATGGATGGTCACAAAACCAGGCCCTGCTGCAGTGCAGACTTGGAGCAAGGCCCAGCTAGTGGGAATCTGCTGTCAGAAGAATGGGGTGGCTGGGAAAGTTAGGCCCCATGGCCCCATTAGACTCTGTACCCAAGGTAGACCCTATCCTGCCAGGTGCTGCGACAGTGAGCAGGAACACAGCATGAACCTCCACCACGAAGTGACCTGTTCTCACCCCGAATGGACCAGACACAGCCCCTCAAACAGGCCCAGCAGAGAATCACCCCAGTAACACCTAAAATAGCACCCACAGGCCAGTAATATGGGAACACAAACCCCTCAGGACAAGCCCCTCTACAATGCCTAATACAATCAAGGAACGCCCCATTCCTAACCGTGCACCTCACAGAAGCAGGTCCAGGGCCTGCTCCGATACCAGGGAGCGGCTCTGAGAGTCACATCCCCACTCTACCCAACAGTGCACTCAGCAGGGGCTGCCATGGCTCACAACCATCCCCACCAAGGAGAGGCCAGGGAGGACCCTGGAGGCCAGAGGCCAAGTTCTCTCCACGTGCACATGGGGTGCCAGCTCGGGCAAGTCCCGCCCAGGCTGACCGCCCACCTCCCCTCCTTACCTAACACCCTGTACATCCCACCGTTCCCAGCTCTCCCTTGAGGAGAGCAGTCTGGGAAAAAGGAGCACTAGGAGACTCGAAGGGATCGCGCACTGTCATGAAAGCTAACGACGCAGTGGGAGGGAGGCTGGCATAGAACGGAGGCTTGGGACAGTCCCTTCCCTGCCCCCCTGCCCAGGAGCCCCTGCAGACTCCACCTCACCTGAACCCACTCCCCCACCCCCAGCTCATGCAGCTTGACACTCAGCCAGGCACTGCCTGGCCTGGCTGGCTCATCCCGACCGCCTCGCCTCCACCCAAAAGATTCCTTTGGAACCTCCCTTTCTGCGGCCCTTGGTACCCTGTGAATTCAGTCATGGTGTGTCTGTCTAGCATCTGTCTCTGCCCCCTGAACACTAAGGGGAGATCCAGTCTGGGTCGTAATTGCTGCTCCATCCACCACATCCAGCCCAGCCCAACTTGAGCAGGGTCCGAACACAATGCTGGATAAGTAAGTGAATCCTTCAAAGCAGAGCAGAGGAGGGTCCCAGAGACACTGTCCTTATCTTGTCAGTTTCCTCAACAACCACCGTGCGAAAGGGGGCAAAGGGGATATGCTACGCCCCCATTCTCCCCAGCGCCTCACTTTCTACAACCTGTCCCCAGACGCCTCCCCCATGCCACGGCTCCAATTCCCCCTGCCCAGGCTCTCCCACCCCTACCCTACTCACCCCAGGCTTCCTCTTCTGCTTCTCGGGCCTGATGTCGTCCTCGATGATGAGTTCGATGCCAGCCTCAGAACGCAGCACCTCCTTCAAGTCCTCCTCCAGGTGCGGGGTCTGTGGCTGTGGGTAGGCACGGGGCAGCCCACGTGAGGCACCACACTCGGGCTGTGTGTGTGTGGGACTGTGGGACCAACCCAGCTGCAACTGGGCTGTCCTGGGTAAGGCAGGAAGGAGGCCTGACGCCAGGATGCAGATCTCACACGCACCATTCACAACCACTAACTGCTGCCTTGGACAAGCAGCTGATGACCTTGATTCCCAGGGGCCTGCCATGGCTGGGAGCAGCCCAGAGACGCACTGTAACCCTCACACAGCCCTGTGCAGTAACCGTCATTTTAAGCAGGTAGAAACAGAAGCTCAGAGATCAACAGCCTGGCACACAGTCACACAGCTGCTGAATTAGGACCCCGACAGCTCAAAGCCCAGGCTCACTCAACCCTTTGTTCCACACTAATGGGGGCTCTCAAACCCATTTCCCTTTCTCAGGCCTCGGGGTTCCAAGGACCTCTCCAGCTTCAGGCAACAGAGAACAGGGGAGGGCGAGTGCTACTAAGAGTGAAAGGTGCGAATCACAGCCACTCCTCATAAGTCATCCGAAAAGCCCCCACAAACTTTAATTACAGCTGCCAAGGTCATGTGATTTGCCCTCACACCTGTTTGGAGAGCATGCAGATATTTTAGTACAGAGGAGCCAAATCTCCACTGCAACAGGAAAGGAGCACTAACTAGTGCCTCACCTCGGCTCATGTAGCATGGTCCGTGGAAAGTCTGCTTGACTCAGAATCAGTTCCATGGCAGGCCCAAGGGAGCCTCAGCCCCCAGCCACCTTGGGCTTCATAGGAGGCTCCATGCAGTGGAGAGAGACAGCAGGGGGACCCGCTGCAGACCTTGTTCACAGTCCAGTGCCTCCACAACCATGCCTTTCTCTCACCCTCCACTGATTTCTAAAACACCTGTGTGTTTCAGAAAGCCCAAGGTGCCAACTCCTTTTTTCATAGAGAAAACACAACCATCCCATCAACTGGGAAGAGCAGGGGAGAAGGGCAGCCTGCACACTGCAGGAAAGACGTCCCCGAGGGGCTTTCCCGTGCTCTGTAGAGAACTGGGAGTTGGTCAGAGACAGGCCAGAGTAGCAATTTGCCACTTCTCTGAACTAGGCCCAGTGCTTATCTTTGCCTGAAAGTGTTTAAGTTATTTGTATTTCACATCAGTCTCCCCCATCCTGAGGCTGAGTGTCACGGGATACCACCATGTCTCTAGCACCAGCCGGCGCGTGCTTGCAAACTCAGGTGCTCAGGAGCAGTCGGAGGAAGTGACAAAGAGCAGCCTCAGCTTCCCCATTTATATTATCAGGATCTCTGCATCTTCTCAGGAGAAAGAATCAAATGAGACCTCAGAGGGAAGGGTCCTGTGGACTGAACATGGTTGGATGAACCGAAGGGATCCCACTGTGCAGAGATCCACGGCAGCGACCACACCACGTACCAGGGGCTTCAGGGGTCCGTACTTCTCCAGGGCGTTCTTGAACGGGGTTGGCGTGTGGGGAGTGTTGTCCATGGAGTACTTCTGATCTGGGGTTACAAACCTGCCAGGGGCCAGAACGGGGGAACTAGTGACAGGATAGGGGCCGACGCCAGGCACTCTGCTGCCCTGGCTCCACCTTCCCCCAGTGCGACCTTTGGCCCCAGCACAGGTTCTCGTCCCATCCCTCTCCCCACCCTGCAGGTCCAAGTCAGGGGCTCGGGGGAAACAGAAGGGAGAGGGGAGTCTAAGAGGGGCCAGGAGCCCCAGACAGGTGGCAGATAGCCGAGAATGCTGCTCAGTCATGGTCCAGACTTGGGACTTTCCAGAAAACAAGGCAGTCCGTGGCCACACTTCAGGAACAGTGAGAGGGGGCACGGAGCAAGGTGGGAACCCAGGAAGATCCCATCCTGCCCAGCTCTCCCTGGAGAGCCTGTGTGAGAAGGATGGTGGCAGCACAATGAGGGAAAGGAGGGGCGAGAGGTGAGGCCAGCATCTTCCCAGGTCTCCCAAGAGTTCACCGAGGTGATGGACACGTGGAGGGAACCCTTCAGCAGAACAGAGAAAAACCCAGGATGGTCTGGTCCAGAAGCAGAACTATAAGATGCTTCTATCAGATGTAGACCCACCATGGGTGATTTCCACCTGCCCTAGAGCAGGGGGGCAGAAAAGGCACCTCACGCCCCAGAGCGCCAGGGCTGGTGGTATGGGGCTGGGCCAGGCTGGCTGTGGGCAAATGTCAGCTCTGAAGGAAGCTACCAGGTTCCACAAACACGAACCCTTGTGTGCTGGTATGTGACCTTAGTCACCTGGAGATACCACCATGGCTGACTCTCATGGCATAACCAGGGCACTCAGAGGATGAGAGAAACACCCCAGGTAGCCAGGGACCTGGGTGATGAGGCCAACTCCTAGAAACAGCAGCCTGGGGCCTCGCCGCCTCCACTTCCCGCAGCTGGCCAGCCACTCCATGGGGAGATAAAAAACTAGAACAAATGCAGACCATTCTTTTCTTCCTTCCTCAGGACCTAGAGATTAGGCAGGGATCCACAGTCTCTTCCCAAACCCTTGTTATCCCCCATCTGGGACACACAGAGATCCCCCTCTGTAAGGAAGAGTGAAGACAGATAAGCACAAGTCAAATGTACACATCTTACAGTTCAAACCACAATTCACAGAGGTGAATCTGAGCCACTCAAGCATCTCCATGGGACATGGAGTTTCTGAGGAACATGAGAAAATTCCAGAACCTCTCTAATTCGTGGCATCAACAAGGACTAAGAGCACACACATGGCCAAAGGCAGTGGTTCACGCCTGTAATCCTAACACTCTGGGATTAGTGTTAGGCTGACAGGAGAGGATCACTTGAGGCCAGGAGTTAAAGAACAGTCTGGGTAACACAGACTCCATCACTACTAAAAATAAAAAAATCAGCCAGCCATGGTGGTGCTTGTAGTCCCAACTACTCCAGAGGCTATGGTAGGAGGACCACTTGAGCCCAGAATTCAAGGCTGCAGTGAGCCATGATTGCACCACTGCACTCCAACCCGGGTGACTAAGAGAGACCTTGTCTCGGAAAAAAGAAAAAAAAGAGTGTATATACACACATTAGAAAACTCAGGGAGAGGCCGGGCCTTGTGGCTCACCCCTGTAATGCCAGCACTTTAGGAGGCTGAGGCGGAAGGATTGCTTGAGTCCCAGAGTTCAAGACTAGCCTGGGCAACACAGTGAGACCCTGTCTCTCAAAAAAACAAAAAAATTAGCCAAGCATGGTGGTGCACACCTGTGTTCTCAGCTAGTTAGAAGGCTGAGGTGGGAGGATCACTTGATCCTGGGAGGTAGAAGTTGCAGTGGGCCATGATCACACCACTGTATTCAACCTTGGGGACAGAGCAAGACTGTCTCAAAAAGAAAACTCAGGGAGGCAGGGAGGCTGACTTGAAAAGGGAATTCAAAAGATTGCTTGGAGATAAAAAATGCAGCTCTGTAAATCAGAGAATTCAGCAAGTTGGAAACCACAGACAACCAAACTGGTGAATCAGAAAACAATCCCATCATGTTCTCCGAAGATTAAGGAAATGGCTTAAGATGGTGAAGAGGCGTATGAAGACGAAAAAGACACAGAGACCAATCCAGCCTATATATGAAGGAATTCCTAAGGTAGGAGAAGGGGCAGACAGGGAAAGAAAAACTAAAGAAATAAACACTTCCTCAGCTCAAGGTTTGAATCTTTAGTCTGATATGAAAGCCGGGGGGGAAAAAAATAGAGAAATACCACACCACCATACAGCCTGTCAAATTTGAGGGATAACTAAAGAGACTCTCTACAAAGGAATAACAGCTGGATTACAGCTCACGCCTGTAATCCCAGCACTTTGGGAGGCCGAGGCAGGCCATTTGAGTCAGGAGTTCGAGACCAGCCTGGCCAATATGGCGAAACCCCATCTCTACAAAAAAATAGAAAAATTAGCAAAAAAATATAAAAATTAGAACTCATCACCAGCAAGCCCACACTACATGGTTAAAGGATGGCCTTCAGAAGGAACCAGATGGAAATATGGATCTAAAGAGGAATGAAGAGCACTGGAGATGCTTCTTCCTATGGAAAAAAGGAATTGGAAGGAGGCAGCAAATGAGGCCACATGGATAAGAAAGAAAGGGAGAGAGAGAAGTATCAATGCCTTTTGTAGTGACAGCATCTCTGTTTAAGGGCTTAGATGCGAAGTCCAAGATTCTGGTTTGAACGGACAATCATTTCTCACGAAACCTATCTAAGTTATGCTTTAGATCAACTCTTTAGAGACTGATTTCTTTTTTCTCTTTTTTTTTTAAAAAAAAAAAAAACTAGAAAGAGAGTCACGCTTTGTCACCTAGGCTGGAGTGCAGTAGCCAATCATAGCTCACTGCAGCTTCAAACTCCTGGGCTCAAGCAATCCTCCCACTTCAGCCTCCCGAGTAGCTGGGACTACAGGCACACACGGCCACGCCCAGCTAATTAAAAAAATTTTTTTTGGCTGGGAGCAGTGGCTCACACATATAATCCCAGCACTTTGGGAAGCCGAGGCGAGTGGATCACAAGGTCAGGAGTTTGAGACCAGCCTGACCAACACGGTGAAACCTCGTTTCTACTAAAAATACAAAAATTAGCTGGGTGTGGTGGCGCGTGCCTGTAATCCCAGCTACTCAGGAGGCTGAGGCAGGAGAACTGCTTGAACCCGGGAGGCGGAGGTTGCAGTGAGCCGAGATTGCACCACTGCACTCCAGCCTGGGTGATAAAGCAAGACTCCATCTCAAAAAAAAAAAAAACTTTTTTTTTTTTTGTGTACAGACAGGGTCTCCCTATATTGCCCAGACTGGTCTTAAACCCCTAGTCTCAAGTGATCCTCCCACCTTGGCCTCCCAAGCGCTGGGATTACAAGTGTGAGCCACTGAGCCGGACTTTGGAGACTGATTTCTGACTAAGGGATTCACAAATCTTTTCCCGAAATTATGTATCACTATCAGGGCTAAAATTCCTGAGCTGATTTCTGAATCACAAAATAGCGATTTCCTCCTCCAGCAAATGTATCAAGCAGAGGAATAGTTAAGCAACTCTCTCTACCTGGAATTTAGAATCATGATGACCCAAGGAAGTAAACTTATTGTAAAAGCACTTCCATTGTAAAAGCAGGCTGGCGAGCAACCTGTACAGGCTTCCAGACAGAAAATGTCATGCTCCGTAAGCTCAGAGGACAGGAATGCAGTCTCCACTCTTGATAGAGGGATGGGCACTTTCGCCCTGCACATAAGGCTGCTCAAACACAACGAATTTGCACCTGAAACCTTAGGAAGCGGAAGAGATTATGTTTTTCAGGCTAATTTGGACTCTCCATTCCTGAGACAGAAAATTATCAAATGAGGGCCAGGTGCAGTAGCTCACGCCTGTAATCCCAGCGTTTTGGGAGGCTGTGGCAGGAAGATCACTTTAAGGCCAGTTCAAGACCAGCCCAGATAAAGTAGCAAGACCTCACCTCTTAAAAAAATTTTAGCCGGGTGTGGTGGCTCACGCCTGTAATCCCAGCATTTTGGGAGGCTGAGGCAGGAGGATCACGAGGTCAGGAGATCGACACCATCCTGGCTAATACGGTGAAATCCTGTCTCTACTAAAAATACAAAAAATTAGCTGAGCGCGGTGGCGGATGCCTGTAGTCCTAGCTACTCGGGAGGCTGAGGCAGGAGAATGGCATGAACCTGGGAGGCGGAGCTTGCAGTGAGCCAAGATCGCGCCATTGCACTCCAGCCTGGGCAACAGAGCAAGACTCCATCTCAAAATAAATAAATAAATAAATAAATAAATAAATAAATAAATAAATATTTTTTTAATTAGCTGAGCATGGTGGCATGCACCTGGAGTCCCAGCTACTCAGGAGGCTGAGGCAGGAGGATCACAAAAAAGGAAACTATCAAATTAAAAAATACAAATGAGGAAAAGCAAAGGTGGAGCCCAAAACTATATCGATAAAAATGATAAATCGTGGTGGCCAGAAAGGAGAGGGCTTTCTTAAAACAGTCTTCAGTGTTATTCCAAGGGTGCCCCCTCCCCACTGTTCCACCAGTGGTCCCAAGGCCCATGGTCTGGTGTTGCTGAGGGAGAGGACGGCGAAGGTTGGGGGCACTGCAGCACTCACGCAGCATGTTTCTGGTGCAGGGGTGTCTTGTCCCGGTGCAGTGGTGTGGTGACCACCACCTTCTGGCTGCACACTGGGGTGGATGTCAGCGAGGGGCTCTCCAGCTCCAATGTGTCCTGTTTGTTCCAGAAGTTCAGAAACTGCCAAAGAAGAGAGAGGGAACAAGACAAAATGATGACCTGCATGAGTATCCCTGAGACCTCAGGGGATCATGGGGAGAGATCCTTGAGCCTCTCCCCCAAAACGTCTGCTCTGATACTGAGGTCCCCTCTTGACCCATCAGACACCCGAGAACAAGGACTGGGACAGATCGATGCCAGGAGCCCACCAAGCAGGTTCACACAGACCTCTGGGCTTCCGTCACCCTAATCCTAGCTTTTGCCATCTCTACTCGAGTGCTGACGACGCAGTTAAGGCACAGGAAGCCAACTGTGGGAGAGTGGCTCCTTCTCAGAAGAAATAAAACTAGCTCTGAACTGACCTGTGAAGGCAAAAGGCATGTGACAGTTGTAGTGTGCTGGTGGCGGTGGGGTTATCATTTAGAGGGCACCTTCTCTTGCCAGTGCTAAGCACTTCACACAAATAATTTCAATTAGTTACCACAAATCCTGAGACATAGGCACTATTACTATCCCCCTTTTACAGATAAGAAAACCAACGCTTAGAGAGGTTTTGAGTCTTGCACTGAGTGCTAGAAGTGAGAATGAAATCTAGATCTAAGCCAACATCCATCCTTTGAAGCACCCCGCTCTCTTCCCTCCCTGCCCTGAAGGTGCTATAATAGAGAGCCATCTGCAACCCTCAGGGTCACCACCCTAAATGGGGTCTCTGGAGTAGAGCGACCACGCTCCATCATCCTGAGCTTCCCAAATAGTAGCTGAGGGACCCGCTGCCTTCCTTCTCCAGCCAGCAGCCCTCACTTGCGGCATGTTACAGGCTGACCTGTGTCTCCCCCAAATTTACATCCTGAAGTCCCAACTCTCAGCACCTCAGAATGGGACTGTATTAATACTTGGAGATAGGGCCTTTAAAGTGGTTAGTTAGGCCAGGCGCGGTGGCTCACGCCTGTAATCCCAGCACTTTGGGAGGCCGAGGCAGGTGGATCACTTGAGGTCAAGAGTTCGAGACCAGTCTGGCCAACCTGGAGAAACCCTGTCTCTACTAAAAATACAAAAAAAATAGCCGGGCATGGTGGCTCATGCCTATAATCTCAGCTGCTCAGGAGCCTGAGGCAGGAAAATTCCTTGAACCTGGAAGGTGGAGATTGCAGTGAGCTGTGATCATGCCACTGCACTCCAGCCTCCAGCCTCCAGCCTGGGCAACAGAGCGACTCTCAAAAAATAAAGTCATTAGAGTGGGCCCTAATCCAATAACGGGTGTCCTTATAACATTATAAAATAAGAGGTTTTACAAGAAAAAATAATAGATTAGGACACAGGTGACCACGTGAAGACACAGGAGCCGCCAGCATCTACAAGCCAAGGAGAGAGGCCTCAGTAGAAACCAACACTGCTGAATTTCTTGTCAAATCCACCGAGCCTGTGGTACTCTGTTAAGCAGCCGGAGCAAACCGACACAGGGTCTCTCTCAAAATGCCACTAGCCATCCTGACCCGTGATGACAGGGTGGCCTCCTGCACCAGGCCACCTCAGGGCCTCGCTCTCTCCCACAGCCTCACAGGAAGAACAAACCTAATGAGAGCCAAAGCCCTAAGTTATACCTAGGCCCACCAAGGCCCTGCGCCACCCCCCACCACTCCACACATCCACTCTGTCCTTCCTTTTCTGTGCCTTTGGTCAAGGTGCTCAAGGAGACCCAGCCCAGACACCTCTCTGCAGGAAGGCCAGGTGCCCCCCATGACCTCTATCTCAGAGAGACCCTGGCACCCATCCCGGCTCCCGAGGCTCTGTGTGTTACTAACAGAGCACCCAGGGGCAACACCCAGAACAGTGAGTTCTCAGTGACTTCGCAATTGCTATCACATGGCACTTCCCACACTCTATTCTGGTTAATTCATTACAAGCCCATCCCCAGCACTGGCTATCCCAGGTCTTCCCAGGACCAGGCAGGGCCAGCCAGTGCTGGAGACAACCCATCATCTTCATCTTTGCTCCCCAGTGCTGGTAAGTCTGCTGTGAAATAGGTTCCATACGTGGACTGAACAAACACGACAGTTCTCTTCCTCTCCTTCATTACCCAGTTACCAGCATCCTCCTTCTCCTCCTGGCAGTCTTCCTGGACTTGCCCAGACTAGATACACATATGCAGCACCATAAGCCTTCTCTTTCATCCTGATTATCACATTTTCTGAGTCTTTTTTAGTTACCTGGTCTTCCTACCAGAGCATAAGCTGCATGAGGGCAGAGCCAGGTCTCGTTTTGCTCACCCTTGCCCCAGCACTGAACACTAGGTGTCTGTACCGACCCAATAAGCAGCCAGAGTGGGGTCCACGCACCTGGGAGGGCGAGAAGGGCAGGGTCTTAACAGGTGTGCTCTTGGGCGTGAGGCTGTTACAGGAATCCAGGAAGGACAGACTGGTGCTATTCTCAGTGACAGGGGACAGAGCCACACGCCTCTTCCTCTGCCGCTTGAGCACAGAGGGCGGTGTGCCAATGCCAGAGCCCCCGACTTCAGTGCTGGGGGAGATGGGGATCAGCTCGCCCCGGCTGCTCCGGCTCAGGTCTGAGATGGTGTGGCCATCCAGGCGGTACTCGGTCACACTGGGCACCAGGGCGGAAGGCTGGCGGGGTGGCAGGACTTGCTGCTGATGTGACGCTTGCAGCTGCACTAGGCTGTTGTTGATACTGTCCTCTGCAGATGGTTCCTCAGGGAGGTCAAATTTACTCAGGTCACACCAAGCATCAGGGTCCTGTCCAGGGAGGGAGGTTAGGAATTGCAATTACTATGCTCTTAATACAAGAGGACTCATTCATTACGGGAAATATTTAAGTGTCAAGTATGATCCCACAGCCCAGGACCAATCATTAATATTTCATGCATTTCCTCAAAGTTTTCTATGACTATACATCTATATTTTCATAGATTCTTCTTTTCTTTAAAGAGACAGGGTTTCACTCTGTTGCCTACGCTGGAGTACAGTAGCACAATCACAGCTCACTGCAGGCTTGAACTCCTGGGTTCAAGTGATCCTCCCGCCTCAGCCTCCCGAGTAGTTGGGACTACAGACATGTACCACCATTCTCGGCTAATTTTTTATTTTTTACTTTTTTTTGAGACAGAGACTTGCTCTGTCGCCCAGGCTGTAGTGCAGTGGTGCAACCTCGGCTCACTGCAACCTCCGCCTTCCGGGTTCAAGCAATTCTCCTGCCTCAGCCTCCTGAGTAGCTGGGACTACAGGCGTGTGCCACCACACCCATATTGGCCAGGCTGGTCTCGAACTCCTGACCTCAGGTGATCTGACCACCTTGGCCTCCAAAAGTGCTGGGATGACAGGTGTGAGCCACTGCACCCGGCTTCAGCTAATTTTTTAAAATATTTTTTATAGAGACTGTGTTTCACTGTGTTACCCAGGCTGGTCTCAAATTCCTGGGCTCACGTGATCCTCTCACCTCAGCCTCCCAAAGTGCTGGGATTACAGACATGAACCACAGTACCCAGCCTGCAGATATTTTTATAGAACGAAATATAGAGCAGTGAATGGGATGTCACTCATCATTGATGCCTCCTTGGGGCAGCTCACAAAAGTTATTTCCAATCCCCACAATTCTGCTAGGGAAGCATTACTTTCCCTTTCATACCAAGGAAGCTGAGCTAAGGGGATTCGGTCTTCCCAAAGTTACTCACTCAGCTTCTAGAACAAGCCCGTGAGTCACTACAGGTTTTCCCTCCTTTACCCAATAAATCACAACACAAACCAAAAGGCTTCTGGACACAGAGGCTTCCACTTTGGTCTTTGGGTTCTGGCTTCTGAGTGGACCCAGACACTAAAGCCGAGTTCTGGTTCCCTGGGGTAGTTCACTCCTAAGGGTGGAGGCCAGCTGGGGGGCAGGACCGACCTCAGGCCCACACCCCAATTCAGGGAGGACCCAGCACCGACAGTGTCTGGTAGACCAGAAGTACATCCTACAAGGACCACTGAAGTGGACGGAGCAGAGGAGGGAAGATGGGATTTCCACACACGCAGTAACTCCCCCAACAGGCGCTGAAGGTCATTGTGGAAAGAGCCTGAGCTCTGAGCCGGACAGCAAGGTTTAACTCCTGTTCCTGGAGGTCACCGGCTGTGTGAACCTGGCCAAGTCTCCTAACCTCTCTGAGCGTGGGGTGCTCTCACTGTTGATGAGTCCACTACCCACCTCACAGGCTGTTAAAGACCAACTAAGAGCCTACACATTAGGTAGCAAGTGATGGGCCTGGCACGCGGCAAGCACTCCAATGTTAGGTACTGTAATTACTCATTAAGCACTGGCTCCGGCAATCAGTGGGTGCTCAATACAAGCGAGCTGTGCCTGCCAAGCGATAGTAGCAGGAGCATAGCATGGCAGTCAAGACCACCAAGTATACTTGCTGTGCAACCTTGGGTACACTACTTGACCTCTCTGAGCCTCAGTTTCACCTAAAAAACAGAAATGACACACCTCACAGGATACCACGCAGACTGTATGTTAAGCTCAGACCCTGGCAGTTAGATGTTCTAGGATGGGAGACACCTGGGTGGAAAGGCGAACACGGACCCCCATACTGAACTCCCCACCCTAGTGACCAGGCCTCTGGTCTTTCACCTCCCAAAACCCGCTCTACACAGCAGGCCTGGCCGATGCAGCCAGGAGCCGGGGTGTCACACCAAGAAGCCCTCCTCAAAGGACACAACCACACAGCCAACACAGTAACCACAACACGGGCTCAATGGCTGCCCCACCCTGAGTAACCAGAACCCACTCACCACTCCAAGACCAGCACCAAGACTTGGCATTTCCTGGGCTCCTCTTCAGGGAGACCCAACCATGTGTGATGCCACAAATACCACGCTGTCCTGTGCTGTCACCTGCCAGTCAACCTTTAGGACTCAGTTCAGTGCCACCTCCTCTGGGCAGCCTTCCCACCCCGCCCTGTGCCATACATAGAGGTCAGATGCCACCACAAACTCCTGCTGCACACACCGGGAGCTCCCCAAGGATAGGGACTGCATGCTGACAACCCTGGTGTCCCCAGCCCTTGGGTCAGGGCTAGGCATTCAGCATCAAGTCAGTAACTGTTAGCAGGGCGATGGAATGAGCAAAAGGATGTGGGCCTGAGAGAGAAGCACTTCCTGCTGGGGGTGTTCTGTGCTCACTGTGAAGTGTTGTGACCAACATACCGACTCGATCAAGTCCAGGGCTTCAGAGAGGCTAGAACCCACAGCAGGGATGAGGAGGTTAGCTGCCTCCACCACCCACTTGTAAGGCAGGCTCGTTTCTGGTGGGGAGCCTTCCTGGTCCTCACGCTTCGGGAATTCCTCCAAGGGCTCTGGTGTTCGCACTGCGTCCAGATCTGTACCGATGGGCTCCTGTTCCTTCGATGTGGTGGCTGCTGCAAGTTCCTCCTCACTGTTTTCCTCCTCCTTTATGGTAGGAGGGACGGAGGGCCAGTTGGTCAGAAGACTTCCCTGTAAGACACAAGAATACACCATTTGCATTTCGCTGAGATATAGACTATATAGTAGTTTCCAGCTAAACCACACAACCTGAATCTAAGAAGGAAACTGTGATGAACCCAAATAGAGAAACATTCTACAGAATAATTAGCCATACCATATACTTCCAAAATGTCAACATCATGACACTAAGAAAGGCTGACTAAAGGGATAGGACAACTAAATGCAATGTCTGGTCTTAGACTGCATCATGGACAGGGAAAAATGGAATATAAACTGTAGATAAAGATCCTGAATTAGGCTTAAATTCCCTGGATTGAATATAACTTTATTGTGGTTATGTAAGCAAATGGCCTTATTCTTAGGAATCTATGCTACATAACTAACTCTCAAATGGCTCAGATGAAAGAAGTAATACACAGAGGTTGGGTGCAGAGGCTCACGCCTGTAATCCCAA
This sequence comes from Homo sapiens, assembly GCF_000001405.40. Classification (NCBI taxonomy): domain Eukaryota; kingdom Metazoa; phylum Chordata; class Mammalia; order Primates; family Hominidae; genus Homo; species Homo sapiens. Next base: position 43,699,311 of record NC_000020.11, on the reverse strand, counting down.
CACTTTGGGAGGTCGAGGCTGGTGGATCACCTGAGGTCAAGAGTTCGAGATCAGCCTGGCCAACATGGTGAAACCCTGTCTCTACTAAAAACAAAACAAAACAAAATTAGCCAGGTGTGGTGGCAGGCACCTGTAATCCTAGCTACTCGGGAGGCTGAGGCAGGAGAATTGCTTGAACCTGGGAGGCAGAGGTTGCAGTGAGCTGAGATCGCACCATTGCACTACAGCCTAGGTAACAAGAGCAAAACTCTGTCTCAAAAAAATTAAAAAATAAATTTTTAATGCTTAATAAACATTAAAAAATAAAAAGACCAGGTACAGTGGCTTATGCCTGTAACTCTAGCACTTTGGGAGGCTGAGGCAATTGGGTCCCTTGAGTTCCTGAATTCAAGGTTGCAATGGGCTATGATCACACCACTGCACTCCAGCCTGGGCAACACAACAAGACTCTAATAAAAAAAAAAGGGAGGGGGGAGGGGGCTGGGTGTGGCGGCTCACACCTGTAATCCCAGAACTCTGAAAAGCTCAGGCAAGAGGACCCCTTGAGTTCATGAGTTCAAGGTTGCAGTGAGCTATGATCACGCCACTGCACTACAGTCTGGGGTACAGAGCAAGACCCTGCTCATTTAAAAAAAAAAAAAAAAAAAAAATCACGCCTGTAATCCCAGCACATTGGGAGGCCGAGACGGGCGGATCACAAGGTCAGGAGGATCGAGACCATCCTGGCTAACACGGTGAAACCCCATCTCTACTAAAAATACAAAAAATTAGCCAGGTGTGGTGGCAGGCGCCTGTAGTTCCAGCTACTTGAGAGGCTGAGGCAGGAGAATGGTGTGAACCCGGAAGATGGAGCTTGCAGTGAGCCGAGACTGCGCCACTGCACTCCAGCCTGGGCTACAGAACGAGACTCTGTCTCAAAAAAAAAAAAAAAAAAAAAAAAAAAAAAAAAAAAAAAAAAAATATGCGGGGCGTGGTGGCTCACACCTGTAATCCCAACACTTTGGGAGGCCAAGGCAGACAGATCCCTTGAGCCCAGGAGTTCGAGACCAGCCTGGGCAAACCCCATCTCTATAAAACAAACGAACAAACAAAAAGTGAATTTTATTGTATGTAAATTATACCTTTATAAAATAAAGAAAAAAAGCTACCAAACTGGGAAAAAATAGTTACTACATGATAAAGGAGTAGCATCCTTAATATACAAATAAAATGTACAAACCAGTAACAAGATAAAAAAAAAAAAAAAAAAAGACAACCAAGCCAAATAACAAATTAACAAATTAAGGGGTAATTTGTTACTCACCCTCATTAATAGTAAAAGAAATGAAAACCAAAACAATGAATCAAAACATCACATTGCACACCATAAATACACGCAATTTTTTTTTTTTTTTTTTGAGATGGAGTCTCACTCTGTTGCCCAGGCTGAAATGCAGTGGCGCGATCTCGGCTCACTGCAAGCTCCACCTCCCAGGTTCACGCCATTCTCCTGCCTCAGCCTCCCTAGTAGCTGGGACTACAGGTGCCCGCCACCATGACCGGTTAATTTTTTGGGTTCTTTTTTGTATTTTTAGTAGAGATGGGGTTTCACCATGCTAGCCAGGATGGTCTCCATCTCCTGACCTCGTGATCCGCCTGCCTCAGCCTCCCAAAGTGCTGGGATTACAGGCGTGAGCCATTGCGCCCAGCCCTTGTTGTTTTTTGAGACAGAGTCTTGCTGTTACCCAGGCTGGCGTGCAGAGGCACACTCTCAGCTCACTGCAACCTCCACCTCCCAGGTTCAGGTGATTCTCATGCCTCAGCCTCCTGAGCAGCTGGGACTACAGGCGTGCACCACCACACCCGGTTAATTTTTTATATTTTTAGTAGAGATGGGGTTTCACCGTATTGGCCAGGCTGGCCTCAAACTCCTAGCCTCAAGTGATCCGCCCACTTCAGCCTCCCAAAGTGCTGGGAATACAGGCATGAGCCACCGCCCCTGGTCAATATATGCAATTTATTTGTCAATTATATTTTAATAAAGCTGAAAAAAAAAAGATCAACTCCAAAGTAATTCAATCAAAATAAGAACATGATAATGCATTTGTTGCTCATTAAAACTGGCAAAGATTTTTTTTCATATAACCATAGCCGGTATTGACAATAAGGCTGGAAACAAGCAGTCCTATATACCACCTATAGCAGGATTAAACAGTACAATCCCTTTGGCAGCAATTCGGCAATGCTTATGAAAACTTCAAATGTCCACACTATTTTACCCAATCATTCCACATCTATAAAATCAACCGGCCGGGCGCAGTGGCTCACGCCTGTAATCCCAGCACTTTGGGAGACTGAGGCGGGGAGATCACGAGGTCAAGAAATCGAGACCATCCTGGCCAACATGGTGAAACCCCATCTCTACTAAAAATACAAAAATTAGCTGGGCATGGTGCTGCATGCCTGTAATCCCAGCTACTCAGGAGGCTGAGGCAGGAGAATCACTTCAACCCGGGAGGCGGAGGTTGCAGTGAGCCAAGGTCACACCACTGCACTCCAGCCTGGCAACAGAGTGAGACCCCATCTAAAAACAAAAAAATCAACCACACAGTTCAGCAAATGTACAAAGAAACTGAACAATGATGATCATTATAGCATTGATGGAAATAGTAACAGATGTTTGACAATATAATGGTTAAATAAGATACGGCAAATTCAGGAATGTTGGAGATCTGAATACACATAACAACATGGAACGATATGTTAAATAGAAAAAGAAAGTTGTAAAAGAGTAAGACATCGTCTAATTTTAAGCCTGGTGTGGTGGCTCACGCCTGTAATCCCAGTATTTTGGGAGGCCAAGGTGGGCAGATCACCTGAGGTCAGGAGTTTGAGACCAGCCTGACCAACATGGAGAAACCCCAATTAGCCAGGCATGGTGGCACATGCTTGTAATCCCAGCTACTCGGCAGGCTGAGGCAGGAGAATCGCTTGAACCCGGGAGGCGGAGGTTGCGGTGAGCCAAGATCATACCACTGCACTCCAGCCTGGGCAACAAGAGCAAAACTCCGTCTCAAAAAAAAAAAAAAGTTGAGATGAGCAGGCTCAACCTTCTGCATTGCCCAATTCTATAAAGTTGTTAAGTTTTTGCAATGATCACGCATTACTTCTGAAGCAGAGGAAACAATTTTATAATAGCAAGCACTGACCAGTGAGTGGAGAAGTTGGGAGTGGTCCCATACACGAATTAACATGCAAAATTCTTCTGGCAGCAATCTAACAAAATGTATTAAGAGGTTTTTTTTCTTTTCTTTTTAAGACAGAGTCTTGCTGTCACCCAAGGCTGGAGTGCAGCAGTGCGAACTCGGCTCACTGCAACCTCCGCCACGCCAGTTCAAGTGGATTCTCAATTATCGTGCCTCAGCCTCCCGAGTAGCTGGGATTACAAGCCTGTGTCACCACGCCCACCTCAGCCTCCCAAAGTGCTGAGATTACAGGTGTAAGCCATGACGCCTGGCCTGTTTGCTTTTTCAAAGACAGAGTCTCACTCTGTTGAAATACTGGGCTCAAGTGAACTTCCTGCCCCAGGCTCCAAAGTAGTTGGAACTACAGGTGTGTGCCACCGCACCAGCTTTTTTTTTTTTTTGTAAAGACAGTCTCCCTATGTTGCCCAGACTGGTCACAAACTCCTGGCCTCAAGGAATCCTCCCAACTTGGCCTCACAAAGTGCTGGGATTACAGGAATGAGCCACCATACTCAGCCAAAAGGGTTCCCCCCACCACCAAATATATTTGTCCATCTCTAGGAATTTCTCAAGAAATAACTGCACAAAGAAGCAGTCATTTGGCCACAAGGGTGACTGTTAAGAGTTTTATCTCTAATAACAAAAAACCAGTAATACCCTTATCTACATCAGTAAGAAACTAGTTAAATAAATAGCACACCAGAAAGACCACATTGGAGAGACACGGGTAAGGCTGAAATCAACACAGGCCCGGCATGGTGGCTCATGCCTGCAATCCTAGCACTTTGAGAGGCTGAGGCAGGTGGATCACCTGAGGTCAGGAGTTCAAGACCAGCCTGGCCAAAATGGCAAAACCCCATCTCTACTAAAAATACAAAAATTTGCCAGGATGGTGGCGAATGCCTATAATCCCAGTTTCCCAGCTACTCAGGAGGCTGAGGCAGGAGAACCACTTGAACTTGGGAGGTGGAGGTTGCAGCAAGCAGAGATGGCACCACTGCACTCCAGCCTGGGCAAGAGCAAGACTCTGTCTCCAAAAAAAAAAAAAAATTGACCTCCTGTGCTCAGGGTCATGGTCTGGGGCTTGGTCCCAGCCCAGCACAGCCAGCACTCCAGACACTCAAAGTGTCAGGGGACAAAAGCCAAGTCAATAACTGGCTTTCAGCACAGTAGAGTTTTTAAGAGACTAGAGATCTGTTCACTCTGTCCTATGCTGAAAGTCTTCTATGAGTCGGCTGATGCCCGCTGTTTCTCTTTGTGGAACGGAGACCTTTTCTTCAATCAGAAGTAAAAGATCAAACACATACTACTTAGATGTACAAGAAATTGTCAGAAGTAGACTCCTCCGGTTAAGAGATGCACAGGGAGTTGAAACCAGAAAAAGAAGTCGTTTTACTTTTCATTTGATACATTTCTCTGCCCTTTGAAAGTTACCCCATAGGTGCATTCATATTGGGCAATCGAGAGATATTCTCTAAAATTGAAAATTCAAGAAATAGAGGCAAAAACATAATATATCGCTCTAGCAGGGCATTGTGGAAGAATTGTAACTGTCAACAAGTTATCTCTACCCAGTAAGAAGAGGGAAAAAGATTTTTTAAAATTATTAAATAGTTCACACCATGACAGAAAAGATTAGAAAATAACAAAGGACAATTGTTACCTACCACACAGCCGGCATCATCAAATCTATTTTTTGTCATGCTTGCTTCAAATTTTTATTTATTTATTTAATTTTCTTTAGTTTTATTTTTTTGTGACAGAGTCTCACTCTGTCACCCAGGCTGGAGTGCAGTGGCGTGATCTCGGCTCACTGCAAGCTCTGCCTCCCGGGTTCACGCCATTCTCCTGCCTCAGCCTCCTGGGTAGCTGGGACTACAGGCACCCGCCACCACGCCCAGCTAATTTTTTGTACTTTTAGTAGAGACGGGGTTTCACCGTGTTAGCCAGGATGGTCTCAATCTCCTGTCCTCGTGATCCACCCGCCTCGGCCTCCCAAAATGCTGCAATTACAGGCGTGAGCCACCGTGCCCGGCCTTCAAATTTTTATTTTATTTATAAATAAAAGCTGGAGTGCAGTGGCGGGATCTCAACTCACTGCAACTTCCACCTCCCAGGCTCAAATAATCCTTCCACCTCAGCCTCCCAAGTAGCTGGGACTACAGGTGCACAAAATCACACACAGCTAATTTTCCTTTTTATAGAAATGGGGTTTCACCATGTTGCCCAAGCTGGTCTTAAACTCCTGGGCTCAAGAGATCCAAAAGCCTTGGCCTCCCAAAGTGCTGGGATTACAGATGTTAGCCACCACGCCCTACCCAAATTTTTATTTTGAAAAATAACCTTTAGAGATATAGCTAAAAAATATAAATAAAAACTTTGCTCTGGTATATAGGACAGTGGATGTTAACATAAGTATATACTGATTTCATTTTTAAAACTGCAAATGTAGCTGGGGCATGCTGGCTCACGTCTGTAATGCCAGCACTTTGGGAGGCTCAGGTGGGTGGATCATTTGAAGTCAGGAGTTTGAGACCAGTTTGACCAACATGGTGAGACCCCCATCTCTAAGAATACAAAAATTAGCCAGGCATGGTGGTGTGCACCTGTAATCCCAGCTACTCGGGATGCTGAGTTAGCAGAATCGCTTTAACCTGGGAGGCGGAGGTTGCAGTGAGCTATCATATAACTGCACTCCAGCCTGAGCGACAGAGACTCCATCTCAAAAAATAAATAAATAAAAACTGCAAATGTAGTGCCAGACATGGTGGCTCACATCTGTAATCCCAACACTTTGGGAGGCCAAGGCAGGCGGATCTCTTCAGGCTAGGAATTCAAACCCAGCCTGGCCAACGTGGTGAAACCCCATCTCTACTAAAAATGCAAAAATTAGTCAGGCGTGGTGGTGCATGCCTGTAATCTCAGCTACTCAGGTTGCTGAGGCATGAGATCGCTTGATCCCAGGAGGCAGAGGTTACAGTGAGCCAAGATCACACCCTGCAACTCCAGCCTGGGCATCAGAGCAAAACTCTGTCTCAAAAAAAACAGCCTGCAAATGTAATACTATAGGATTTTAATTGTTAATTTCTAGAAAAGTCAAAATTATAGAGACAGAAAACAGATCACAGTGCAAGGAGCTAAGGGCCGAAAAAAGGCTAAGAAAAGGAGCACGAGGGAATTCTGGGGTGATGGGACTGTTGTATACCTTGACTGTGACAGTGGTTACATGGCTGTATGCTTTGTCATAACTCAAAACTGTTTATTAGAGTACGTAAATTACAACTCAATACATTTTTTAATTTTTTTTAATTAAAAAGATAGAGACAAGGTTTCACCATGTTGCCTGAACTGGCCTCCAACTCCTGGGCTTGAGCAATCCGCCCGCTTCAGCCTCTCAACTTGCTGGGATTACAGGTGTGAACCAACGCACCCAGCCACCTCTGATTTTTTTATTGCAAACATGCTTTCAGTTTTAAAAAATTAAAATGAGCAACAGGTAAGAAGGTGGCCACCAGCAAGGAGAGATGGAGGCTGAGGATCTCCTTAACTAATTCACAGTTTTATATAATCAGCTTGCTCTGCTATCCTTCATCTGCAGGCAGACAAGTGCCAGTTATGTGCAGAAGTCTCACAAGGCCCCAGAAGCACAGAGCCCACTTTTAGACTCTGTGGCAGAAACTGACCAATAGCTGTGGACAAGGTGTTCAATGAGATGGTGTCAGATGAATGTGAAATCAAACCAAGCCAAAGGCTGAGCAGCTGTCTCACCTGGCCTTCCGTGGGCTGGGCACTCTGGAGGCCGTCCTTGTCCTCGAGCTCCAGCAGCAAGTACACTGGGGGCTTGCAGTCTTTGGACTCGCTCAAGAAGCCTCCTGTGTCCACCTTCCTTTTGATGGTAGAGTTCCAGTGATTCTTCACAGCATTGTCTGTCCTGCAGGGGGCAGCAGGGGGCCTTTGAACCCCAGCTCTGTGGGTGGGGTGCCATCAGGCACATCACTAACCTCCCTAAGCCAAGTTCCTGCTCCTGTAAATGAATCTTCCACTAGATGAACTCTAAGGTCTCTTTCAGTTCCAAGATGAAGTCTCACAAGTCTCTAGCCCTAATAATTTACAGAGCATTTCCACGAAGCTCTGTGAAATAAGCAACTGAATCATTCAGGCTATGGCAAAAATTATAAAATGGCACCAGCTACTGTCAGGTTCAGGTAAAAAACAAAATTTTTTTTAATTAAAAAAAAAAAAAAATTGCCGAGTGCGGTGGCTCACCACACCTGTGATCCCAGCACTCTGGGCGGCCTAGGCGAGCAGATCACCTGAGATCGGGAGTTCGAGACCAGCCTGACCAACACAGAGAAACCCTGTCTCTACTAAAAATACAAAATTAGCCAGGCATGGTGGCACATGCCTGTAATCCCAGCTACTTGGGAGTCTGAGGAAGGAGAATCGCTTGAACCCAGGAGGTAGAGGTTGTGGTTAGCCAAGATGATGCCATTGCACTCCAGCCTGGGAACAAAAGTAAAATTCCACCTCAAAAAAAAAAAAAATGTATATATAAGACCAGGAACAGTGGCTCACGCCTGTAATCCTGGCACTTTGGGAGGTGCTGGGCGTGATGCCAGGCACCTGTAATCCCAGCTACTTGGGAGTCTGAGGCATGAGAATCGCTTAAACCCGGGAGGTGGAGGTTGTGATGAGCCGAGATTGCGCCACTGCACTACAGCCTGGGCAACAGAGTGAGACTCCATCTCAAAAATAAATAAAAATGAAAAAAAAAATTTTAAATTTTTTAAAAATTATAAAACTGAAGATATGTGCTTGGAACTCTCACCCCCTTCCCTGCCCACTTCGAATGTGTAGAAGCCATAAGCAACACTGTCTGCTCATTTCCACTGAGTCTCACGCTGACCTCAGATGCAAGGCCTGTTCACCTCCCACAGACTGATAAGTGGCCAAAGAGGGCAGAAGGCCCAGAACTGTTCACCTCCCTAAGCCTTGGTTTCTTTATCTGGAAGGTCAGAAGACTACGTCATACTCCATCACTCACTGAAGATTCAGGGAGGAGACACATCTACAGTAGAACAGTAGCATAAAGCACAGAGTAGAGTAGCAGAGAAACATGTAGTAATAAAGGCATAGAGTAATACAGAAGGACGGGATAGTACCACAAAAGTGTATAGAAGTATAGTGGTGAGAAGCAAGCGGCAGGTCAGGCGCGGTGGCTCACGCCTGTAATCCCAGCACTTTGGGAGGCTGAGGCAGGTGGATCACCTGAGGTCAGGAGTTCAAGACCAGCCTGGCCAACATAGTGAAACCCCATCTCTACTAAAAATACAAAGGTACTGTGCTGACACATAGTAGTCACCACCTTCTTTGGAGTGCCAAGCAGAATACTCTTTCCTTGAAAAGTGAACAGAGAGTAACAGCTTAACTGAGCACCCAGTCTAAGAGAATATCCTCGGATCATTTGCACTCTAAGCCTTCAGGGACACAATGCTCACTGGGCAAAGGTGTAGGGTAAGGGGTGCTCCTGGTGCTTTGCCCAGATCCTCTGTCCCTACAGCGAATCCAATCCCCCAGCTGCCGGGCATGCTGCCGACGGCTTCTACTATGACTTTATCTGCATAAGAGCCCTTGGAAGCAGATCACCTAAGGTCAGGAGTTCAACACCAGCCTGGCCAACATGGTGAAATCCCGTCTCTACCAAAAATACAAAAATTAGCCAGGCGTGGTGGTGCATACCTGTAATCCCAGCTACTCAGGAGGCTGAGGCAGGAGAATCGCTTGAACCTGGGACGCGGAGGTTGCAGTGAGCTGAGGTCACGCCACTGCACTCCAGCCTGGGCGACAGAGCAAGACTCCGTCTCAAAAAACAAAAAACAAACAAAAAAAAAAAAACAAAAAACAGCTCTTGGAAGGCACAACCGAAGATGCCCCAGGAGTTCCCCAACCCATGTACACATGCGCCCTCCTCATATGTACATACCTCGCATGCATACATGTGAACACACACACTCCTTGGCCTTATAGCAGGCCAAAGCTCTATTTTCCAAGACCCCATCCCTTGCTTGGCCCCTTCCCTTCTTTTCTCCACTCCTTCCCTCACAGGTGAGAACCTTTCCAAGAGATCCCATGTACCTGAAACTCTTGAGTCACAGGTTCCGCTTCCAGGGAACCTGACCCAAAACACCTCCCCAGCCCTCCCACTCCCCAAGACCAGAGTCTGGGGTGCCCCAAGCTATAGTGAGACTCCTTCTTTTGCTCGCATATAAAAAGCACCCACTGTGTGCCAGGCATTATTGTAGGCACTGGGGATCCATCTGGTAAATAAGACAAGTGGCTGCCATTGACAGTTAAATCTAGCAGGGGAGATGAATGTTATCTTCAGCTACAACTGGGGTACACACTACTCTGCAGACAGGTGTGGGCACAACACAGAGGTCACCAGAGACCAACCACAGTCTGGGAGAACAGAGAAAACTTCTCTGAAGAAATAGCACCCCCACTGAGAACTGAAGGATGAGAACACATTAGCTACACAATAGGCACAAGCGGGAGTGCACTGCAGGCCGACAGAGGAGCACTAGGAGCTCTGAGAAGAGCTCAGGGTTCGAGGGACTGAAAGGAGGCAAAGCAGCTAACACCGAGTAAGCACAAGTGACAGTGGATCAAGGTGAGGCTGGTGGCACCTGTGAGCCAAACAGGCCATGGGGGGAAAGAAGCCAGAGTTTCCAACCCAAGTGTCAGGGGAAGCCCCAGAAAGATGACACATTCAGGTTTGAGCTTTGAAAAGGGATCATTTCAGACTTTGGGGAAAACACACCATCTGGCATTTTCTCTCCCTGCCAGGACCACACTGCCATGACAAAAAAAGGGATTCAAAATAAAGCAAGGCAAAAATTCACAAGGACAAAGAGAAACAGGTAGAAGACAGCCACTAGTAAGAGATTTTTTACAAGTTTTCATAAGATGGAAAACAGGGGAACAATATCCAGCTTAGGGCCAGGTGCGGTGGCTCACACCTGTAATCTCAGCACTTCGGGAGGCCCAAGGCAGGCAGATCACCTGAGGTCAGGAGTTCAAGACTAGCCTGGCCAAGATGGCAAAACCCCATCTCTACTAAAAATACAAAAATTAGTCAGGTGTGGTGGCGGGCGCCTATAATCCCAGCTACTCAGGAGGCTGAGGCAGGAGAATCACTTGAACCCAGGAGGCAGAGGTTGCAGTGAGCCGAGATCATGCCACTACACTCCAGCCTGGGTGATAAGAGCGAAATTCGGTCTTAAAAAAAATATAATATTGACAGAGAAGTAAGCTATTGAAACCACAAAATAAGAATAGGGTGCCAGGCCAGGTGTGGTGGCTCATGCCTGTAATCCCAGCACTTTGGGACCAGCCTGGGCAACATAGGGAGACCCTGCCCCTACAAAAAATTTTAAAACTAGCTGGGTATGCTGGCATGAGCTTGTAGTCCCAGGTCCTTGGAAGGCTGAGGCAGAAGGATTGCTTGAGTTCAGGAGGGTGAAGCTGCAATGAGCCATGATTATGCCCCTGCACTCCAGCTTAGGTGACAGAGTGAGAACCCTGTTTTAAAGAGTCTGGGCATAGTGGCTCATGCCTGTAATCCCAACACTTTGTGAGGCTGAGGTGGGCAGGAGGTCAAGAGTTCGAGACCAGCCTGGCCAACATGGTGAAATTCCATCTCTACTAAAAATACAAAAATTAGCCAGGCATGGTGGCACAGACCTGTAGTCCCAGCTACTTGGGAGGCTGAACCAGGAGAATCGTTTCAACCTGGGAGGCAGAGGTTGCAGTGAGCCCGGATCACGCCACTGCACTCCAGCCTGGATGACAGAGCGAGACTCTGGTCTCCCAAAAAAAAGAATAAATAAAAAATAAAAAAAGAGTGCCAGAAAAGGGAGGAGCCCTTAGAAAGTAAAATTTTTAGGGAAAATAATTTCAAAAAAAGAGAAGATAAGAAGTCTCCTAGAAAATGAAGCAAAACAGATGAAAAATAGGAGAAAAGATCATGGAATGCTTTCAGTATTTAGGGGAAAAAAAAATTTTTTTTTTTTTTTTTGGAGACAGTCTCGCTCTGTCGCCCAGGCTGGAGTGCAGTGATATGATCTCGGCTCACTGCAACCTCTGCCTCCTGGGTTCAAGCAATTCTGCCTCAGCCTCCCAAGTAGCTGGGATTACAGGCTCACCAACACATCCCGCTAATTTTTTGTATTTTTAGTAGAGATGAGGCTTCACTGTGTTGGCCAGGCTGGTCTCGAACTCCTGACCTCAAGTGATCCACCCACCTCAGCCACCCAACGTGCTAGGATTACAGGCATGAGCCACCATGCCCGTCCATAAACATTATTATTTTAATAACTATCATACATTATTGGAGCAATAGGGACATATGGGGAGTGGGAAAGCCTAAGAAAGCTAATCTCCCATAGCAGAGGATCAATATGAAAAATGGCACATCACTTAAAGAGATAAAGAACTCAAAAAGATGAGTCTGTTTTAGTAGAGTCATTTAACAGAGTGGTGACAAAGACTGATGTTTTTCATTATTAAACCTTTTAAGAAAAAGAAAAACAAAAAACACCTTTTAGCAGATTATAGTACTACCTGATTTTTGATCATTTTCTTCTTAAAGAAAGCCCATCTATCCCACATCTCAAGCCTATTCTGTGTTAGAAGAAACTGAAGTCGAAGAGAAGAGGCTAACCAAGAAGACACAGTGAGCTGGGAACAGGATGAGAACTAGACTCCAGGGTTCCCGATTTCTTGCTGAGGCCTCCCTTATCACCATCTGTTCTTTTAAGCTGACAGAAGACAGGGCCTTCCCTGGGGAACCACCCTTCCTCCTGACTATGCATGCCTCTGGGAGCCCTGGAGCCGAGGCTGGGTGTTACAGAACAAGAGCACAGGACCACAATACCCACCCAGGAACCCTCCTCCATCAGAAACACGGGCCTGGCCTCCCGGGAACCTGTCCCAACCCCCAAGAAGACAGCTTACCTCCCTGGCAACATCTTGGCGATCTCGGCCCAGCGGTTGCCCAGCACCTTGTGGGCCTCGCAGATGATGCGGTCCTCCTCCTCGGTCCAGCAAGACTTCTTCACCTCAGGGTTGAGGTGGTTGTGCCAGCGTTCACGGCACTGCTTCCCCAGCCGGCCCTTCAGGTGCTTGGCAATCAGTGTCCACTGCTTTGTGCCATACTTCTTAACCAGCTCGATGACCTTAGAGAAAAGTCTCTGGGTAGCCACTTGCACCGGCCCCTCTCTCGCCCCCACCATAGCCCTTCACATCCACCTGAGCCTTGCCATGGCCCTGAGAGGTGCCACCTACCACATCCCCTCAGGCAACACTGAGCGAGCTGCAGGGGATGCCACCCAGGATGACTTTGTGTAGCCCACAGGGCCTACCTGAGGATCTGACCGCATCCCTCTCATTTATTGCCTGGAATAAATCTAGGCCAAGAATACCAGAGACCCTTTCTAGAGTAGAGATCAAGTGGGGGTAAACAAAGGCGCCAGAGTCCTGCTTCCCTCTCCAGGGCTCAACCCAATAAGCTAAGTAGAAAAGAGCAGAGGGATGAGGAGGAACAACACACACGGAGTCCAAACTAAAGGTGGGAAACAGACTTTCCCACACCAGCCAGGCCCCAGGCTGCCACAAGACCCTCCAGCACTTCCATGGAAATTGGGAGGGCACAGGCTGAGCCATGGTAGCAGGCATCGCGGGCTGACCTAGCCAGACCTGAGTCCCCACCTGCCCTCAGTCAGGCTTCCTAGCTCAGGACACAAACCACAACATACGCAGCCACAAGAGCCAGGCCAGGCCCCACCTACACAACAGACACACGCGTTCTCATGTGCACACAGGCCACAAGAAACTGGGAAGAGTGGATGCTTCTTTTGGCAAAGATTTTGGTGAAGAAATATTTGACTTCACTTCTGTATGGTTTAAATTTTTATAGCAACCACATATCACTTTGATTTTTTTTTTTAAAGATTTTATGTTTTCACTTTTTATTTTTTATTTATTTTTTTTGAGACGAAGTTTTGCTCTTGTTGCCCAGGCTGGAGTGCAATGGCACGATCTTGGCTCACCACAACCTCCGCCTTCCGGGTTCAAGTGATTCTCCTGCCTCAGCCTCCCAAGTAGCTGAGATTACAGGCATGCACCACCATGCCCGGCTAATTTTGTATTTTTAGTAGAGACGGGGTTTCTCCATGTTGATAAGGCTGGTCTTGAACTCCCGACCTCAGGTGATCCGCCCGACTTGGCCTCCCAAAGTGCTGGGATTATAGGCGTGAGCCACCGCCATTTTTTTGAGACAGTGTCTCACTCTGTCGCCCAGGCTGGGGTGCAGTGGGGCGATCTCAGCTCACTGCAACCTCCGTCTCCTGGGTTCAAGCGATTCTCCCGCCTCAGCCTCCTGAGTAGCTGGGATTACAGGCACACCAAGACACCTGGCTAATTTTTGTATTTTTTGGTAGACAGGGTTTCACCATGTTGGCCAGGCTGTTCTCAAATTCCTGGCCACACCCAGCCAAAAAAGTATTTTCAAACTAAATTTTATTTTATTCTTAAGAGACAAGGTCTCAGGCCAGGCCCGGTGGCTCACACCTGTAATCCAAGCACTTTGGGAGGTCGAGGCAGGTGGATCACCTGAGGTCAGGAGTTCAAGACCAGCCTGACCAACATGGCAAAACCCCGTCTCTACTAAAAATGCAAAAATCAGCCAGGCGTGGTAGCATGCACCTGTAATCTCAGCTGCTCCGGAGGCTGAGGCAGGAAAATCGCTTGTCCCTAGGAGGAGGAGGTTGCAATGAGCTGAGATCATGCCACTGCACTCCAGCCTGGGCAACAAGAGCGAAACTCCATCTCAAAAATAAATAAATAAATAAATTTTATTTCATTCTTTTTTTTTTTTTTTTGAGACAGAGTTTCGCTCCTGCTGCCCAGGCTGGAGTACAATGGCGCCATCTCGGCTCACTGCAACCTCCGCCTCCCCACTTCAGGTGATTCTCCTGCCTCAGCCTCCCAAGTAGCTGGGATTACAGGTATGGGTTACCACACCCAGCTCATCTTTGCATTTTTAGTAGAGACGGGGTTTCGCCATGTTGGTCAGGCTGGTCTCAAACTCCTGACATCAGGTGATCCACCCACCCCAGGCTCCCAAAATGCTGGGATTACAGGTGTGAGCCACCACGCCCAGGTGTTTTCTTTTGTGTTTTTTTTTTTTTAAGAGACAGGGTCTCACTCTGTCACCCAGACTGGAGTACAGTGGTGTGATCGTAGCTCACTGTAACCTCGAACTCCTGGGCTCAAGCAATCCTCCCAACTCAGCCTCCCAACTACAGGCACCCCACCACCACGCCGAGTTACTTAAAAATTAATTTTAAGGCGAAGTGCCAGCCATGGCTCATGACTGTAATCCCAGAACTTTGGGAGGCCAAGGCGAGAAGATAGCTTGAGCCCTGTAGTTCAAGACCAGCCTGGAAAACATAGGAAGACCCTGTCTCTACAAATTAAAAAAAAAAAAAAAAAGGCCGGGCACAGTGGCTCACGCTTGTAATCCCAGCACTTTGGGAGGCTGAGGTGGGTAGATCACAAGGTCAGGAGTTCAAGACCAGTCAGGCCAACATGGTGAAACCCTGTCTCTACTAAAAATACAAAAATTAGCCGGGCGTGGTGGCAGGCGCCTGTAATCCCAGCTCCTCAGGAGGCTGAGGCAGAGAATTGCTGGAACCCAGGAGGCGAAGGTTGCAGTAAGCCAAGATCACGCCATTGCACTCCAGCCTGGACGACAGAGCAAGACTCAGTCTCAAAAAAATTAACAAGGAAAAAAAAAAAAAGAACAGGAATGGTGGCTCATACCTACAATCCCAGCACTTTGAGAGGCTGACGTGGGAGGATCATTTGAGCCCAGAAGTTCAACCAGCCTGGGCAGCATAGTGAGATACTCTCTCTACAAAAATTTTTCAAAAAGATTAGCCAGACATGGTGGCACATGTGGCACCAGCTACTTTAGAAGCTGAGGTGGGAGGATTGCTTGGGCCTGGGAGGTCGAGGCTGCAATGAGCCGTGATTATGTCACTGTACCCCAGCCTGGGTGACAGAGCGAACCCCCGCCTCAATCAATCAAAAAAATTAGCCAACACTCTCCAGCCAGTGCAACAGAGTAAGACTCGTCTCAAAAAAAAATTAATTTAAAAACGCCTAGTTCCAGGCCAGGCACGGTGGCTCACGTCTGTAATTCCAGCACTTTGGGAGGCTGAGGCGGGTAGATCACGAGGTCAGGAGTTCAAGACCAGCCTGACCAACATGGTGAAACCCCATCTCTATTAAAAATACAAAAAAATTAGCCAGGTGTGGTAGCACGTGCCTGTAATCCCAGCTAATCAAGAGGCTAAGACACGAGAATCGCTTGAACCCGGGAGGCGGAGGATGCAGTGAGCTGAGATCGCGCCACTGCACTCTAACCTGAGCGACAAAGCAAGACTCCGTCTCAAAAAAAAAAAAAAAAAAAATGCCTAGTTCCCTTCATCTCCCTCTTTCTCATAAGCCATGCCTGCCTCAGTGGAATGGCATCCTCTGGGCTGGTATCGAGGAGAAGAGATGAGGGAACTCCCAAGGTAGCCCCAGGCAGTCATGGCACTTATTGCCTCTTCTAGGTTGGGGACATCCCCAACCTCTCTGAGCCTTGCTCTCTCCATCTATAAAATGGGACTAACAACTTCTGCCCACCTCACAGGACTGCTGTGGCGATCAAAAGAAGGCATCTGTGCCCTGTGAAGGTCACAGGGTGCAATCATCATTAAATCAGGGATAGCAGCAGCTGCCATTTGCTGAGAGCAAATGTACAGAACCTGCAAGCCCCCTACAAGCATCACCTGCTTAATTCTCATGACAACGCTGCACTGCTACTGCTCCCCTCCATGGGTGGAACAAGAGAAGCCGAGTAATCAGCCCAATAGCCCTCAGACCATGAGTGAGGAAGCCTGGAGACACTCTGAAACTTGGAATCTCAGGGCTGGAGCCAGGGCAGCATAAGAGTGTCCAGACTGGCTGGTAGACAACTCACACCCAATGCTCAGCTTGACACCCCCAACCCCAACACAAGGCAATCTCACAGTCCCCAGGTACACTGGTGGGTGAAGACCCACTGTGTGCAAGGCACTGTCCCAGCAGTTACTTTTTGGTCTTCCTCTTTGGTCCATGGCCCCTTGACAAGGTCTGGATTCAAAACTCTCAGCCACCTGTACTGGCATTGCTGGTCAGTGCGGTTCTGGGAAAAGAACAGAAGAACAAACCAATCTGTGAGAACTTCTGGGACCTCGGGCTGGGGGCCTGGTTAAGTACTAGGCTCAGGGGCCTATGGCCTGGGACTAGGCACACCTTGGGTAGGTGTGTCCTGTTCCATGCAGCCACCACTCACTGCAAGCCCACATGCCGGAACATGGGCGGTTTCCCTTTGCTACACGAGAGGGCAAACTCGGTCCCCTGTGGGAAGCCGCTCCCTACCAACCGAACACAAGGGGCCACCATCACAAGTCTTTAATTCCTTGTACGTCAGGGACCCCTGCTTTTTTCTAGGAGAGCATTTTTATTCCCTGAAGAGTTCAGATTACACAGAAGAGGGGGAGATGAGGAAATGGGGCAGGAAAGGATCTGGTGACATGCTTTCTGAGCAGCCCAGGCAGTAAGACATATGGCAGCTCCTGCCACACCCCCTCCCTCCCAGACACCTGTGGGTCAGGGGTGGGAGGGCCTGAGAAGGAGGTCCTGAGGGGAACCCCCTCACCATCAGGAGGCTCTAAATACTCGAATGTGGTAGCACCTGCCAGCCCTGCAGGGGCCTCACCATGAAGCCTGCTGAAAGCATCACTTCCCCTCAGTTTCAGTCTCACTGTTGAGAAACCGAACACCTGTTCACTCCTGACTTACAGGAAGAAATGCAAATATGCACCACATGCTGCAAATGTCTCAGAGCCTGAAGACCACCAGGCATGCTGAGGAGCTGGAAGATGTTTACAGCAGTGTACCCTGAATGCCAGCTTGGGAAGAGAGATCCTACAAAGGTCCATTTGCCCTGTTTTATTTGGTTTTGTTTTCAGGGGCTGAGTAAGGAACTCCCTTTTCCCCTCCTTGGCAAAGTCTGTCCCAGGCACACTGTTCTCCCAGAGCCCTTGCCCCGAGGGAGGGCCACAGCAGGACTGTACTCACAGGGAAGTGGCTGGCCAGGAACTTCCAGTCCTGCTGTCCAAACTGCCTCACCAGGGCCCTCAGCTGCTCGTCCTGCCAACACCAGAAAGACAGGGGCTCAGCACACATACGTGCAGAAAACCTCAGGGCTGCCCGTGACAGAGCCCAATCTAAAAGAACAGCCTCGTTCATCCATTCCGTCATGAAGTGAATACGTACAAGGTGCCAGGCACTACAGCTGCAGCAGCAGGCAGCAAAAGAGCTGCCCCTGATCTCATGGGAGGGAGCCAGCTGCCAATGGAAGGCTCACAGGAACAAAAGTAAAGCCACCCCCTGCTGGGAGATATGGAGAGGTACGTGGTGACTGCCTACTCAGGGACACTAAGGGACAGGTTCCAAGGAAATGCAGAATAGCTAAAATGGAGGAAGCAAAACAGATCCAAGATGATTTTGGAGGGAACCATAGGGGCCAGACCATTCGCAGCATCAGTTCAACCATCTATCATGCAAAACCACTGATGTGTTTGAAGAGTGGGTGGTCACAGTCAAACGTTCTATGAAGAGAACTTTGTAAAGTTCTCTTTGCCTGCTACAGGGTGGGAAAGGGGCTGGAAGGGAGCCGAGCGGACATAAGGAGGTCATTACTGAACTCAGGCCAGAGCTGACAGTGATTCAGCACTAGAAGCTGGAGGTCTGGGCAAAAACAAGAGTAGTTAGAAGACAGGCTAGTATCTATCAAAATAGCCTCCCGAAATGAACTACCAATTCACGCGATAACATGAATCTCAGTGTCACTATGATGTGTGAAAGAAGCCAGACACAGGAGGGTACATGCCGTATGATTCCATGCACATGAAGTTCTAGAAAATGTAAACTAAGCTATAGGGACAAAAAGTGGTTGTCTGAGGCCAGTGGTGGAAAGGGATGAACAGCAAAGGGGGGCAAGGAATGTCTTGGGGACAATGGAAATGTCCTATAGCCCGGCTGTGCTGGTGGTTCTACTGAATTGTACTACAAATGGTTGTAGTTAATTATATATAAAGTTTTCCTCAGTCAAATCAATTAATATATAAAGAAAATGTCAAGCCAGGCGCAGTGGCTCACACCTGTAATCCCAGCACTTTGGGAGGCCGTGGTGGGCAGATCACGAGGTCAGGGGTTCGAGACCAGCCTGGCCAATATGGCGAAACCCCATCTCTATTAAAAATACAAAAATTAGCCAGGTGTGGTGGTGGGTGCCTGTAATCCCAGCTACTCGGGAGGATGAGGAAGAATTGCTTGAACCTGGGAGGCGGAGGTTGCAGTGAGCCGAGATCATGCCACTGCACTCCAGCCTCGGCAACAGAGCAAGAGTGAGACTCCATCTCAAACAAAAGAAAAAAGAAAGAAAATGTCATGCATATAAACAATGGATATTACTCAGTCGAGAGAATTCTGACACATGCTACAGCATGGATGAAAGCTGAGGACACTATGCTAAGTCAAATAGCCAGACAGGGCAAATACTCAGGATTCCACTCACAGGAAGCATCTAAAATAGTCAAAATCAGGCAGGGAGCAGTGGCTCATGCCTTTAACCCCAACACTTCAGGAGGCCGAGGCAGGTGGATCACCTGAGGTCAGGAGTTTGAGACCAGCCTGGCCAACATGGTGAAAGTTCGTCTCTACTAATACAAAAATTAGCCCAGCGTGGTGGCAGGCGCCTGTGATCCCAGCTACTCGGGAGGCTGCAGCAGAAGATTCACTTGAACCCGGGAAGTAGAGGTTGCAGTGAGCTAAGATCATGCCATTGCACTGCAGCATGGGCAACAGAGCAAGACTCTGTCTTGAAAAAATAAAATAAATAAATAAAATAGTCAAAATCACAGAAACAGAGTAGAAAGATAGCTGCCAAGGGCTGGAGGGTGGGAGGAGAGTGAATTCATGTTTAATTA
Source organism: Homo sapiens (assembly GCF_000001405.40). Classification (NCBI taxonomy): domain Eukaryota; kingdom Metazoa; phylum Chordata; class Mammalia; order Primates; family Hominidae; genus Homo; species Homo sapiens. Next base: position 43,679,942 of record NC_000020.11, on the reverse strand, counting down.
GTTTCAGTTTTCCATCCTTTTTTTTTTTTTGAGATAGGGTCTCTCTTGGTCACCCAAGCTAGAGTGCAGTGGTGCAAACACAGCCCACCCCGCATCCTCAACCTCATGGGCTCAAGTGATCCTTCCACCTCAGCCTCCCAAGTAGGTGGGACCACAGACACACACCACCAGGCCTGGCTAATTTTCATTTTTTTGTTGTAGAGACAGGATCTCACATGTTCTTCAGGCTGGTCTAGACTGCCTCAAGCAATCTCCTGCCTCGGCCTCCCAAAGTGCTGGGATTACAGGCCTGAGCCACCGTGACCCACCAAGTTGGTGGGTATTTTTTGTTTTGTTTTTAATGATAGGGTCTTGCTATGTTTTCCAAGCTGGTCTAGGACTCTTACACTCAGGCAATCCTCCCGCTTCGGCCTCCCACAGTACTCGGTTTACAGGCATAAACCACCACACTCAGCCTCGTTTCCAATTTCAAAGATGAAAAAGTTTTAGAGATCTTTTGCAAAACAATCTGAAAATACTTAACACCACTGAACTACAAAGTTAAAGATGGTTAAGGGGTAGATTTAAGGGGGAGGAAAAGGGGATAAATTTAAAGTGAGGTGGTTTTGTCACACATACAAATTTATATGTGTATATATGTATACATGCTCCTAGACAGAAAAATTGGTCACAACGTGGCCCACGACAGGTATCAAAGCCCTCAACTACAGCTTGGCCAGAACCAGCACAGGCTGGGCAAAGTCACCATAAATTCTCTGGGTGAGCCAGCCCAGGACACCCTTCCCTACCTATACCATGTCCCCTCCCTGCCCTGGCCAGGCTCTTACCTGCTTCCTTCTGTGTTCCCCAGTCCATCTCTGGCACCACCACTCTCCCTGACAACTGACCTGGATACTATCATTTCCAAACTTACATTCTTCCCACCCACCCTGGGACTCCCCAACGTGGTCAGCTCCATCCCCGCACTGCCCTCTCCACAGCCACCTCTTGCTTGCCTGGCACAGCGCCCTCTCCCACTCCCTCAGCACTGGTCTCTCAGCCCCAGCCTGTGCTCTATATGTTTTTTTCTTTTTTTTTTTTTTTTTGAGACGGAGTTTTGCTCTTGTTGTCCAGGCTGGAGTGCAATGGTGCGATCTCAGCTCACTGCAACTTCCGCCTCTGGGTTCAAGTGATTCTCCTGCCTCAGCCTCCCAAATTGCTGGGATTACAGGTGCCCACAACCACACCCAGCTAATTTTTTGTATTTTTAGTAGAGACAGGATTCAGCCATGTTGGCCAGGCTGGTCTGGAACTCCTAATCTCAGGTGATCCACCCATCTCAGCCTCCCAAAGTGCTGGGATTACAGGCGTGAGCCACCGCGCCAGGCCACCCATCTCTCTTATCGATCCCCCACACAGCAGATGAACTCCCCTGAAGCCCGGCTACATTCACATCACTCCCTGCATTAAAAACCTTCCATCTTTGTCCAGTTCAGAGTTAGAAAAAACAATCCAAAAACCAAGCTAACCTGGCTCTGCATTGAGAGCTGAACAATCCTACAGCTTCTAAGCCCAACATTCAAGGCCCTCGAGGAATCAGCCCCAGTGTATCCTTTCTTTTTTTTTTTTTTTCTTTCTTTCTTTCTTTCTTTATTTATTTTTTTATTGATCATTCTTGGGTGTTTCTCGCAGAGGGGGATTTGGCAGGGTCACAGGACAATAGTGGAGGGAAGGTCAGCAGATAAACAAGTAAACAAAGGTCTCTGGTTTTCCTAGGCAGAGGACCCTGCGGCCTTCCGCAGTGTTTGTGTCCCTGGGTACTTGAGATTAGGGAGTGGTGATGACTCTTAACGAGCATGCTGCCTTCAAGCGTCTGTTTAACAAAGCACATCTTGCACCGCCCTTAATCCATTTAACCCTGAGTGGACACAGCACGTTTCAGAGAGCACAGGGTTGGGGGTAAGATCATAGATCAACAGGATCCCAAGGCAGAAGAATTTTTCTTAGTACAGAACAAAATGAAAAGTCTCCCATGTCTACCTCTTTCTACACAGACACGGCAACCATCCGATTTCTCAATCTTTTCCCCACCTTTCCCCTCTTTCTATTCCACAAAACTGCCATTGTCATCATGGCCCGTTCTCAATGAGCTGTTGGGTACACCTCCCAGACGGGGTGGTGGCCGGGCAGAGGGGCTCCTCACTTCCCAGTAGGGGCGGCCGGGCAGAGGCGCCCCTCACCTCCCGGACGGGGTGGCTGGCCAGGCAGGGGGCTGACCCCCCCACCTCCCTCCCAGTCGGGGCGGCTGGCCAGGCAGAGGGGCTCCTCACTTCCCAGTAGGGGTGGCCGGGCGGCCATCTCCGTCAACCATTTCTCCCCTTCAAGGACCCTTCCCTCCCACCAAACTGGCCTCCTGTACTGGCTTTTCTCCACCTATAGCCCCTTTCCTGATCTGACTTACCCACTTTTTGCACACTGTAGGTCTTCCCTCACTGCTAAATTTCCAAATCCTCATCCTTAGCTCAAAGGTCACTTTCTCCACATAAGTTTCCTTAACCTCTTCAGGCAGCAGTAATCTCTCCTTCTAAAGGTACTTGCCATCCACTCATCTTACAATTAGCAGGTGCCCAGAGCTACAACAGTGAGCACCAACAGACACTGATCCTACCGGTGCCGCGGATGACCACAGCACATTCCAGGGACCTGCACACGGTCTTATCTCTCCATTCCAGAGAGAAATCTGCTCTGGGGTAGGAACTTGGTCTTGTTTATTCTTCTAAGCCCACAAGAGCCAAATATAGTCCCTGGTCCACAACAGGATGAGCAGAAAAGGTTTGCTTAGCACGCATCTGGAAAAACATCTTTCATGATTTAAAAGGAGTTTACCACTCACACAGCAAGTTTTAGAAAAAACAAAACAAGCTAGTCATGGTGGCTTCTGCCTGTAATCCCAACACTTTGGGAGGCCAAGGCAGGAAGATTGCTTGAGCCCAGGAGACCAGCCTGGGCAACATAGCAAGACCCTCTTCTCTATTTAAAAACAAAAAACAAAAGCAATACAAATAATACAATACAAAAAAAAAAACCCAATCCTAAAATTAAAGACATCTATGATGTTAACTATGGGTTGAAAACAAAACAAAACAAAAAACACTGAAGAACTGAAGACACTAAGAAAAACTGAGGTAAAATAAAAAGGCCAGTAGAAGTCTAAAATGGTACAATCCATTAAGAAAAAGGCAGTTTCTGTAAAACTAAACATACACCTACCCCATGACCATACCTATCTTCCCAAAAGAAAGGGAAACATGTATTTGCAAAAAGACTTATGCAAGAATCTTCAAGGTAGCGCTATACACGATAGCCAAAAACTGCAAACAGTCCAAACATCCATCAACAGGTGAAACGCTGTGTGGTATACCCATACAATGGACTACTATCCAGTGATAGAAAAGGACAAGTTACTGAATCACCCAACACAATGCTGAGCAAAAGCCAGACGCAAAGAATGTAACCGTATGATTTCATTTATAGAAGATTCAAGAACAGGCAAAACATATTATCCTAAGCAAACACAGGAACAGAAAACCAAATACCGCATATTCTCATCTATAAGTAAGAGCCAAACACTGAATACACATGGACACGAAGAAGGGAACAAGGAGACCAGGGCCTACTTGAGGGTGGAGGGTGGGAGGAGGGTGGAGGGTGGGAGGAGGATGAGGATCAAAAAACTACCTATTGGGGCTGGGTGCAGTGGCTCACGCCTGTAATCCCAGCACTTCAGGAGGCTGAAGTGGGAAGATCACCTGAGGTCAGGAGTTCAAGATCAGCCTGGTGAACATTTTAGTAGAGACAAGTAGAAACCTTGTCTCTACTAAAAATACAAAAATTTACCAGGCGTGGTGGCACGTGCCTGTAATCCCAGCTACTTGAGAGGCTGAGGTAGGAGAATCGCTTGAACCCAGGAGGCAGAGGTTGCAGTGAGCTGAGATCACACCACTGCACTACAGCCTGGGCAACAGAGAGAGACTGCCTTAAAAAAAAAAAAACTACCTATTGGGTACCACGCTTATTACCTAGGTAACAAAATAACCTGTACATCAAACTCCCACGACATGCAATTTACCTATATAATAAACCTGCACATATACCCCTGAACCTAAAGTTAAAAACAACACACACACACACACACACACACAAAGCCCCCAAAAAGAAAAAGGCAAAACAAATCAAATCAGCAATTTCCTGGAGCTGGGGAAGCCTGACCACAAAGGACCACAGAAAACTTCTTGGGATAATCAGGGTGGTGCTTACATTGGTATATGCATTTGTCAAAAGTGATCAAACCGGCTCACCGTAGTGGCTCATGCCTGTAATCCCAGCACTTTGGGAGGCCAAGGTGGGTGGATTGCTTGAGGTCAGGAGTTCAAGACTAGCCTGGCCAACATGGTGAAACCCCATCTCTACAAAAATACAAGAATTAGCTGGGCATGATGGCGGGTGCCTGTAATCCTAGCTACTCAGGAGGCTCAGGCAGGAGAATCGCTTGAACCCAGGAGGCGGAAGTTGCAGTGAGTGGAGATCACGCCATTGCACTTCAGCCTGGGAGACAGAGACTCCATCTCAAAAAAAAAAAAAGAAAAAAAACTGATCAAACTGTTCACCATAAAAAGGGGCATTTGGCCAGGGACAGTGGCTCATACCTATAATCCTAGCACTTTGGAAGGCTGAGGTGGGAGAAATGCTTGAGCCTAGAAGTTTGAGACCAGCCTGGGCAACATGGCGAGACCCTGTCTCTACAAAAAATACAAAAATTAGCCAGGCGTGGTGGCGCATGCCTGTGGTTCCAGCTACTCAGGAGGCTGACGGGGGAGGATTGCTTGAGCCCAGAAAGTTGAGGCTACAGTGAGCCATGCTAGCACGGCACTCCAGCCTGGGTGACAGAGCAAAAACCCTGTCTCAAAAAGGAATTAAAAAAAGGGCATTTGATTGCATATGATTACATATAAATTATATTTCAATCACATTTATTATAAAATAAAAAGATGGAGCTAGAAGGAAACCAATTCAGGGCTTGATGTCAGAAGGTTCAATACAGTTAATTATTTTAGAAAAAGAAAGTGGGAGTTGGCAGGGTGCGGTTACTCATGCCTGTAATCCCAGCACTTTGGGAGGCCGAGGCAGGTGGATCACCTGGGGTCAGGAGTTCGAGATTAGCCTGGCCAACATGGTGAAACTCCGTCTCTACTAAAAAATACAAAAATTAAGGCCGGGTGCAGTGGCTCACGCCTGTAATCCCAGCACTATGGGAGGCCGAGGCGGGCAGATCATGAGGTCAGGAGTTCGAGACCAGCCTGGCCAGCATGGTGAAGCCCCCGTATCTACTAAAAATACAAAAAAAAAAAATTAGCTGGGCATGGTGGCGCATGCCTGCAATCCCAGCTACTCGGGAGGCTGAGGCAGGAGAATTGCTTGGAACCTGGGAGGCAGAGGTTGCAGTGAGCCAAGATCATGCCACTATACTCCAGCCTGGGTGACAAAGCGAGACTGTCTCAAAAAAAAAAAAAAATTAGCTGGATGTGGTGGCTCACGCCTGTAATCGCACCTGAGGCAGGAGAATCGCTTGAACCCAGGAGGCAGAGGTTGCAGTGAGCTGAGATTATGCCATTGCCCTCTAGCCTGGGTGACAAGAGCGAAACTCTGTCTCAAAAAAAAAAAAAAAAAAAGGGTGGGGGGAGTTACAGATTTGGCCAAACCTCCTAGCAGTCAAAAGGCAAAAAGCACAATCAATGTCCATGACATAGAACATGGCAGCTGCTCAGGAGACACAATGGGCCCTGAGGTCTAGGACACACATCCCCTTCCCACCCACTGAGTCCTCAAAATTGAGAATCCCCCAGAATGCTCTGAGAAGAGGCATGAGGACAATCAGAGGACCCATCCCTTCCTTCACCGGCTCCTCCTCTTCATCCCATCTGATGAGACATCAAATACACTCCAGGCTCAGTTCCTCTGGACAGCCCCCAGCTGCCATCAACCCTCTCTTCCCCATGGCACTCACCTCCTCATGGGTCCATTTGACCTTGCACTTGCTATCCCTCTGCTCCGGCACATCTGAATCTGTGTCCTGGTAGTGCAGCTCATCCAGATCCTCGCTATGGGGAAAGCAGGCCAAGGGTCAAGGATGGTGTGTCCATATGTTTTACATAATGGAGAACGTGTAGGCAGCGGCCAGCCCACCCTAGGGAAAGGTCTGGGGGAGAGAGGCTCTTACTTTTTCTTCTTTTTAAGACATAGGCACTTCTGCTTCACTTATTTTTATTGAGACAGGGTCTCACTCTGTCACTGGGCTGGAATTCAGTGTGGCATGATCGTAGCTCACTGCAGCCTTGAACTCCTGGACTCAAATGATCGTCCCGCCCCAGCCTCCTAAGTAGCTGTGACTACAGGGGTATGCCACCACGCCCGGCTAACTTTTGTATTTTTTGTAGAGACGGGGTCTCACCATATTGCCCAGGGTGGTTTTGAACTCCTGGGCTCAAGCAATCCTCCCACCACGGCCTCCCAAAGTGTTGGGACTATAGGCATGAGCCACCACACCCGACCTCACCTCTTTTTAAATTTTTTAATGAAATAGGGTTAAGAGCTACTTTCTTCTTTTTTATTTTCAGGAATGCCCTAGTGATTTCAAAAGCTGTAAAAAAAAAAAAAAAAGAGGCCAGGCACAGTGGCTCAAACCTGTAATCCCAGCACTTTGGGAGGCCGAGGTGGGTGGATTGCTTGAGGTCAGGAGTTCAAGACCAGCCTGATCAAACACAGTGAAACCCCATCTCTACTAAAAATACAAATATTAGCTGGGTGCGGTGGCGCATGCCTGTAATCTCAGCTACTCAGGAGGCTGAGGCAGAAGAATTGCTTGAACCCGGGAGGTGAAGGTTGCAATGAGCCGAGATCATGTCACTGCACTCCAGCCTGGGTGACAAAGCAAGACTGTCTCAAAAAAAGAAAAGGAAAAAGAAAGTTAAGATTTCACCAAGAATATTATGTTCAAAATCAGACTATCGCTTTTTCCTTTCAGTAACAAACCTGCATGGATATTTTAAGGAATAAAGTTGATGAAGTTAACAGGCATCAAGATTTTAAGAGATATTAGTTATTTGGAAAAAAAATTCTGAATATATTCTCTATGTCCATTTGTTGTTTTTCTTCTTTTAGGGACAGAGTCTGGCTCTGTTACCCAGACTGGAATGTAGTGGCATAATCACAGCTCACTGCAGCCTCCAACTCCTAGGCTCAAGCAATCCAATTCTCCCACCTCAGCCTCCCAAGTACCTGGAACAACTTGCATATGACACTATGCCTGGCTATTTTGTATTTTTTTGTAGAAACATCTCACTATTTTGCCTAGGCTCATCTGGAACTCCTGGCCTTAAACAATCCTCCCACCTTGGCCTCCCAAAGTGCTGGTATTACGGGCCTGAGCCACTGTGACTGGCCAAGTTGTTTTTTCGTGTGTTGATTTTTTTTTTTTTTGTAATGACAGGGTCTCAGTATGCTACCCAGACTGGTCTTGAACTCCTGGGCTCAAGGGATCCTCCTGCCTCAGCCTTCCAAAGTAACTTGGATTACAGGTGTGCACCACCGTGTCTGGCTTATGTCCATTTTTGCAAATCCCTTTTCAATCCTTGCCTACACACAGGCATAATTAATGGAGAGAAAAATCAGTGTACAGTATCTATTTTTTTTTTTTGAGACGGAGTTTCACTCTGTCACCCAGGCTAGAGTGAAGTGGCGACATCTCAGCTCACTGTAACCTCTGCCCCCCAGGTTCAGGCGATTCTCCTGCCTCAGCCTCCTGAGTAGCTGAGATTACAGACGCCTGCCACCGCGCCCGGCTAATTTTTTTTGTATTTTTAGCAGATACAGGGTTTCACCATCTTGGCCAGGCTGGTCTTGAACTCCTGACCTCGTGATCCACCCGCCTTGGCCTCCCAACGGGCTGGGATTACAGGCGTGAGCCACCGCGCCCGGCCCAGTGTACAATATCTTCTAACGCCGCTGTAGGGGAAAAAAAAAAAACAGTACGAGCTGCTTTGAATTCTGGGTGTTTTTACTCTACAAGGCAATCTTCCAAGTTGCTCCAAAAAATCCTCGTATTTATCCAGTTTAATAGTTACAAAAATGGAAATCGGGCCAGGTGTGGTGGCTCACACCTGTAATCCCAGCACTTTGGGGCCAAGGCAGGCAGATCACCTGAGGTCGGGAGTTCGAGACTAGCCTGACCAACATGGAGAAACCCCGTCTCTACTAAAAATACAAAATTAGCCGGGTGTGATGGTGCATGCCTGTAATCCCAGCTACTCAGGAGGCTGAGGCAGGAGAATCGCTTGAACCTGGGAGGCGGAGGTTGCGGTGAGCCAAGATCAAGCCATTGCACTCTAGCCTGGGCAACAAGAGCGAAACTCCATCTCACAAAAAAAAAAAAAAAAAAAAAAAATGGAAATCAGCCGGGCGCGGTGACTCATACCTGTAATCCCAGCACTTTGGGAGGCCGAGGTGGGTGGATCACAAGGTCAGGAGTTCGAGACCAGCCTGGTCAACATGGTGAAATGATGTCTCTACTAAAAATACAAAAAAATTAGCTGGGTGTGGTGGCATGCGCCTGTAATCCCAGCTACTCGAGAGGATGAGGCAGAAAAACTGCTTGAACCCAGGAGGCGGAGGTTGCAGTGAGCAGAGATCAGAGATTGTGCCACTGCACTCCAGCCTGGGCGACAGACGAGACTCCATCTCAAAAAAAATAAATAAATAAAAACCCACAAAAATTAGCTGGGCATGGTGGCATGTACCTGTAGTCCTAGCTACTCGGGAAACTGAGGCAGGAGAATTGCTTGAACCCAGGAGGCAGAGGTTGCAGTGAGTCAAGATCGTGCCACTGCACTGCAGCCTGGGCAACAGAGGGAGACTCCGTCTCAAAAAAAAAAAAAAAAAGAAAAAAAAGAAATCATAGGATCCACCTCCAGAGATGTCAGGTGCTTGAGGAAAGTTAGTAATCTTTCCCCAACTCCACCCGACAGGACCTGCATCAGGTCACGTTGGTCAGGTAAGTTGCTAGGTCAGACATTTGTAAACTGGAAAAAGCTTACAGGTTTCCAAACAAGGCAAGTCTTGTTTGGAAATGAAACAAATGAAAGAAGGCTTACTGTGCTATCCACATTACCTTCTCCTTGTTCTCCAAAGCTCACCGTTGCTTCCTAGAGTCACTCCTATACTTCCATAGCACATGGGAAACCCTCCTGTCTCGGGCCCTTACACTGCAACTGCCTGTCTCCTCCACATCATCTACAAAGGTCAGCTCCACCTTGGCATCCCAGGGTTTATCACCAAAAGGGCTTAAGAAATGTTTGCCCAGGGACTGACTGAATATACAAATAAATGAAAAAATGTGCAAAGCTGCTGCCTATTAGTCAATAAGAAATACTAATTAAATTTTTTAGGCCAGGCAAGACCCAATTTCAAAAGAAAAAAATTTTCAGAAATAGGAAAGGAGGGACGGTGTCTACAGTCAGCAATACAGAAGGATCTGGAATTCATTCCTGACCCAGTTCATGGGTCCTCCACCACTTCAATATAGAAGGCAAAAATCCAGAAGATACTAATAACAGAATGAAGTTGGCTTTAAAATCAACTGCCCCCAGACAGCTCGTGACAGAAACCATCTTTGCTTCTCCAGCATCCAGCACAAAGGCCTGGCTTCTAACAGAAGGTCAGCAAATATTCTTTCAAGGATGAAATGATGTCTGCATGGACACTCCCTGGTGCTCCAATGCTGTTTGTTTGTTTGTTTGTTTATTTTGAGATAGAGTCTCGCTTTGTCACCCAGGCTGAAGTGCAGTGGCATGATCTCGACTCACAGCAACCTCTGCCTCCTGGGTTCAAGTGAATTCTCCTGCCTCAGCCTCCCGAATAGCCGCGCTTACAGGCGCCTACCACCACGCCCGGCTAATTTTTGTATTTTTGGTAGAGACGAGGAGTTTCACCATATTGGTCAAGCTGGTCTTGAACTCTTGGCCTCCCAAAGTGCTGGGATTACAGGCATGAGCTACCACACCCAGCCTCCAATGCTGTTTGATAGGGTCAGCATCTCAGACAGCTGGGGCATTTCTGTGAGATGATATACTTTACCATATGTGCTGGCCATCAACTTCACCCACATTCTCATTATCCCCCTTAACAGATGCGGAAATTGAGGCTCAGAGGGGTGAGGCCACCTGCCAAGTTCATAGAGCCAGGCTCTGAACCTTCCTAACTCCAGACACCTGCAAGTCCTCATATCCTAATCCCAGCTGAAAAAGCAGAGTCCAGTTAGTGGTGGCAACCACATTGTGGTCCAACATACCCTACCTTTTGCCCTTCAACGTGCTGGGCTCTGCTCCAGGACAGGGGTGAGTCAGAGACAAAGCGGGAAGTGGGGCACTAGGGCAGAGGAGAGTTACAGCAAGTGGCCAGGAAATGGGCTGAGGGCTGTGGAGCTGCCATCCTTCACACAGGAGGGGTTCCTCCACTGAGCCCCTCATGGGAGAAGTAGCCCAGGACCTGGGGTGGTCTAGAGGCAGTCACTCCTGGAATAACTCTTCCTGAACAAAAAATCAGGATGGCGCCAGGCAAGGTGGCTCACACCTGTAATCCCGACACTTTGGGAGGCCAAGTGGGGGAGAATCCCTGGAAGCCAGGAGTTCGAGACCAGCCTGGGTAACATAGTGAGGTGAGACACAACGCGAGGCCACTCCCGCCCCCTTCCATCTCTACACAAAATAAAACACGCCAGACGCGGTGGCTCACGCCTGTAATCCTAGCACTCTGTGAGGCCAAGGCAGGCGGATTGCCTGAGCAACACAGTGAAACCCATCTCTACTAAAAATCCAAAAAATTAGCCAGGCGTGGCGGCGTGTGCCCATAGTCCCAGGTACTTGGGAGGCTGAGACAGAATTCCTTGAACCCGGGAGGCAGAGGCTGCAGTGAGCCGAGATTGTGCCACTGCACTCCAGCCTGGGCAACACAGAGTGGCTCTGTCTCCTAAATAATTAAATAAATTAGCCAGTTGTGGCGGCCCGTGCCCATAGTCCCAGCTACTCAGCCTGCAGTCCCAGCGGGCTGAGTTGGGAAGATCACTTGAACCTGGGAGGTTGGGGCTACAGTGAGCTATGACAGCACCACAGCACTCCGGCCTGGACTGCAGACGGAGACCCTGCCTCAAAAAAAAAAAAAAAAAAAACCAGGGCAGGGTCTGATAGGCGCCTGAACAGAAAACTCTTCCTGGACATTGGCCTGGGAAAGTGGGGCCTGAGGAACACAGTCCCTGTGCTCAGATCCCTATCCTCAGCCTGAAAGGGCAAAAATCTAGAGGGATGGAAGGCTTCATCTTTAGATGAGGCTATCGTCTAAAGAGGGACCGAAGTTTGGCCGGGCAAGGTGGCTCACGCCTGTAATCCCAGCACTTTGGGAGGCCGAGTCGGGCGGAACACAAGGTCAGGAGATCGAGACCATCCTGGCTAACATGGTGAAACCCTGTCTCTACTAAACATACAAAAAATTAGCCCGACGTGGTGACACGTGCCTGAAGTCCCAGCTACTCGGGAAGCTGAGGCAGGAGAATCGCTTGAACCTGGGAGGCGGAGGTTGCAGTGAGCCAAGATCGCGCCACTGCACTCCAGCCTGGGCATCAGAGCGAGACTCCTTCTCAAAAAAAAAAAAAAAAAAAAAAAAGAGGGAACGAAGGTTATCTGAGCTGCAGCGATCCAGGCAGGGAAGAGGTCAGGACCCCACTGTCCTGTCTCCCAGGCAGGCTGAAAAGCTTGGAGCTCAGGCCCCAGGCGCACAGGTGTAAGACAGGGATCTGGAGCCACAGACCTGGCTCCGGGCTCAGCTCTGCCACTTAAGTCTCTGGGGAAATAAGTAAAATGGAGACCGCAGTTCCTGCCTTTGCCCCAGGGACTCTCTCTCTCCCCCGCACCTTCAACCCCAGCTGCCCAAAACTCCTCGTGGGAACAGGAAGAGAGGTCTCAAACCGAACCAAGCTGGGGCGCGGAACCCAGGTGGGAGAGACAAAAGAGCCCCCAACTCAGCACCCTTCTCAGTCCAGGGGAGAGGGCTTGGGGGACTCTGTGCTCCCCGGAATGTTAAGGAGCAAAGCCCACCCACCAAGTTGACCCAAAACTAGGCTGCAACAAGTGCCTCCCAGGCTCGGTCTCCCACTGGCTGGGACTTGAAGACTCCCTCTCGCTCCCAGGGGTCGCCTCCCTCGCCGGCGAAGGCCCTGCCAGCTGACACCGGCCGGCCCACCCCCATCCCGCAATTAGGCGGGAGACAAAATGACATCATGCACGGCTTGGCCCGGGTCCCAAGAGACCCGCCCGTCCCAGCTCCGAGGCCCAACAGGCCTGGGGAGCCGCGAGGGACGCCCAAGAGCCCCCCAGCTTTACGCGCGCCCCTGCCTCAGAGGGCCCAGGACGCAGCATTTCCGCGGAAACACCCCACCCCCAACACACACACACACCCCAGCTTGGTGGGAGCCTGGGGAGGGTCGGGGGTATCTGGGTGGGGGAGGGGTGAGTTAAAGGGAGGGGGAGGGGCCCAAGCCCTCCCGGCTCGTCTCACCAGCGCGTCCGCCGAGACATCCCCCCGGCCCGGACCGCGCCGCGCTCGCCCGCCCGCCGGCAGAGCCCGGAGCGGGAGCCGGGCCGGGGTCAGGACCCGGGCTGCTCCGGCCGCTCCGGGCCCCGGGCCGCGCTCGAAGGCGTCAGCGTGTCAGCAGGTCCCGCGCTCCTCGCTCGCAGGAACTGCAGTCGCCGCCGGCGCGGGTTGAAGCACTTTTCTATCTCCCGCCAAGCGCGTCGGCGCCGCCCAGTCCTGGCGCGCGGGCGCCGGGGGAGGGGCCTGAGTGAGGGGCGGAGCCAGGGGGCGGGGCGGGGCGGGGCCTGCGGGGCGGCACCTGCCCAGACCCTCCAGGGCCGGCTGCAGGACAGGGGCGGCGGCCGCTACTTCGGAGTTGTGGAGCGGGCCGGGATGTGACCGAGGCCTGGCTCACGTGTCAGTCCGGGGCGGCCCAGGAGTATCCCACATAGCGAAGACCGAGGAAGGGGAGCGAGGCGCGAGCATGGGAGAGCCAGCCAGGGAAAGCGCCAGGGCGGAATCCCCCACGCTAGTCCAAGCCACTACTGGGTCCCTAGAGCCGCACCCTAAAGCGGCTCCTCACCCTACCTGTGCCTCTCCCTGCTTCCTCTCCTGCCTCCAAGAGACCCTCCTTAATAGACTTTATTTTTTGTTGTTCATTTTTCTTAGAGGCAGGGTCTTGCTCTGTCGCCCAGGCTGGAGTGCAGTTTCGCGATCATAGCTCACTGCAACCTCCACCTCCTAGGCTCAAGCGATCCTCCTACCTCAACTCACGGGTAGCTAAGACCAGGCACTCGCCACTACACCCGGCTGATTTTTTTTTTTTTTTTTTTTGAGACGGTGTCTCGCTTTGTCGCCAGGCTGGAGTGCAGTGGCGCGATCTTGACTCACTGCAACCTCCACCTCCCGGGTTCAAGCGACTCCCCCGCCTCAGCCTCCCAAGTAGCTGGAACTACAGGCGCACACCACCACGCCCGGCAATTTTTTTTTTTTTTTTTTTTTTTTTTTAGTATTTTAGTAGAGACGAGGTTTCACCATGTTGGCCAGGATGGTATAGGTCTCCTGACCTCGTGATCCGCCCGCCTCGGCCTCCCAAAGTGCTGGAATTACAGGAGTGAGCCACTGCGCTTTTTTTTTTTTTTTTAAGAGAAGGGGGTGTCTTGCTATGTTGCTGTTGCCTAGACTGGTCTAGAAACTCCTGGGCTCAAGAGATCCTGCCGCTTTGTCCTCCCAAAGTGCTGGGATTGCAGGCGTGAGCTCTTTCCAGAATTTAAAACCATCCTCCTCTCCCTCAGGGTAAATTCCTTACTCCACAATCACATTTATCTGATCTTCCAGACCACCACCCAGCCCTGGCCAAAAGAAACGGCCTCTTTGCCTTTGCCTGAGCCATTACCCAGGGCAGGAACACTTCCTGCCCCTCCCACGTGGCTGATTCCTATTTAATTTGGGGTCCACTGCCCACAATCTGCCTGTAGACTTCTGCATTTCCCCCTTTGAACTGGGAGCATCCTGAGGTCCAGGTGGCCTCTCAATGCACACCAGTATCTCCAGGGCCCAGTAGAAGACCTGACATAAGAAGCCCCAGGCAAAGGTTTGTTGCATTGAATTGTTTACCTTGGGTTTAAACTCCCAGAGATTAGCCCAGATTTAGTGGCTCATGCCAGTAATCCTAGCAGTTTGGGAGGCCGAGGTGGGAGAACTGATTCAGTCCAAAAGTTTGAGACCAGCCTGGGGATCAGAGTGAGACCCTGTCTTTACAAAAAATTAAGAAATTACCTGGCTGTGGTGGTGAATGCCTGTAATCCCAGCTACTTGGGAAGCAGAGGCAGGAGGATTGCTTGAGCCCAGGAGTTCGAGGGGCTCAAGCCCTTGTCATCCCGCCACTGCACTCCAGCCTGGGCGACAGACAGTGAGACTGTCTTTCCTTGAGATTTAGCAAAGGTTTTCTATATTAGATTGACATTTACCAAGTACCAAGGATCAAGTCACACTGGACTTCCTGGGAGCAGTGCTGAGAGGAAGATAAATGAGCTCTGAGACAGGACGCTGAAGAAACCAAATCAAACCCCAGCCTTTTAGCCCCTGTTCAGGCCTCAGAGCCCCCTTCCAGAAGCTGCTGGCCACCTGGGGACAGTCCAGCCACCAGCTGCTGCAAACTTCACTTACCACAGAAGGAAGACTAACTCACATCTTAAGTGCTAGAAGCTTCCACATCACTTAATTCAGGGTTTCTCCCGCCCACTCCCCTTATAAAGTAATTAATGTGGACATGCCCACTTCATTGAAAGCACAGCCTCCACAGCCAAACTTCCTGGGGTTTGAGTCCCAGCTCCACCATTCAGTTGCGGTATCTTAGGCAAATTACTTAACTTTTTTTTTTTTTTTAGACCAAGTCTTGCTTTATTGCCCAGACTGGAGTGCAGTGGTGTGATCTTGGCTCACTGCAACCCCCACTTCCCGGATTCAAATGATTCTCCCACCTCAGCCTCTCGAGTAGCTAGGACTACAGGAATGCGCCAGCATGCCTGGCTATTTTTTGTATTTTTGTAGAGATGGGTTTTCATCATGTTGGCCAGGCTGGTCTTGAACTTCTGACCTCAGGTGATCTACCCGACTCAGACTCCCAAAGTGCTGGGATTACAGGCATGAGCCATCATGCCCAGCCAATTACCTAACTCTTCTGTGCCTCAGTTTTCTCACCTGGAAAAATGGGATTTATCAAAATTTTAGATAGTTTTTAAACTATCAGCCTCCCAAGTAACTGGGGTTACAGGAGCACGCCGCCATGCCCAGCTAATATTTCCAGCCAGCATTCTGTTTATAAATTGTAACTCATTTAATCCTTGTAACAACTCTATGAGGTAGATACTGGGATTATCCTCTTTTAGCAGATGGGAAAACTGAGGCACAGACTTCCCCAAGGTCACAGTGCTAGTAAATGGCAGAGCAGGGATTCAAACCTGGCCTGTCTAGTTCTAGAGTCTATGCTCTTAATCACTATACTTTGTAGGTAATTATAGGATTAAATAAATTAATATGTGTAAAGCACCAAAAACAGTTCCTGGCACATAATGAGAGCTATATTGGCCGGGCACAGTGGCTCATGCCTGTAATCCCAGCAGTTTGGGAAGCTGAGGCGAGTGAGTCACCTAAGGTCAGGAGTTTGAGACCAGCTTGGCCAACATGGTGAAACCCCATCTCTACTAAAAATATAAAATATTAGCCGGGCGTGGCGGCATGCACCTGTAACTCCAGCTACTCAGGAGGCTGAGGCAGGAGAATCACTTGAACCTGGAGGCGGAGGTTGCAGTGAGCTGAGATCGTGCCACTGCACTCCAGCCTTGGCAACAGAGCAAGACTCCGTCTCAATAACCCCAGCCTCCCGAGTAGCTGGGGTTACAGAAGCACTCCGCCACGCCTGGCTAATTTTTTGTATTTTAATAGAGATCGGGGTTTCACCATGTTCCCCAGGCTGGTCTCAAACTCCTGATCTCAGGCAATCCACCCACCTCGGCCTCCCAAAGTGCTAGGATTACAGGCGTGAGCCACCGCGCCCAGCAAAAAAAGAACTATATTACTGTTAGCTATTATTACTACTGTAATTCTTCAGCTGCCCTCACTCTTATCCTTTGAGGTCCACACATTAGTCATCCCATTTCAGGGAGAGGCAGGACCTGACAGCTTGGGCAAGGTATCTGCCCAAAGCAAGAGGCAGGGAACAGCTGCAGAGTGCACTTGCAACCTGGAACTGGGGCCAGTTAACCAATGCCCCAGAGCCAAAGAAGCCTGGAGTCAGTGCTGTGAGTCAGGCAGCAGGGAGATCACCCTAGTGCCAGATGGAATCTGATGATCTCCACACATTTCCTCTCCAGTTATCATCATACCAACAGATATCCCCTGGAGAGAGGATTCCCAGTGTCCCGAGTGAAACCACACCTGGGAGTGGTCCCTGGACTCTGGACTAGTAACATACAGAATTTATCTCTGCTGGGAAACTTTTCCTGAACACGCCCTCCTTGGACAGGGAGGCTCCAGGTATTTGGTTATTCCACAATTTGCCCCAACCCCCAGGCCTGACCCTGTGTTGGGAAGATAAGGGTCAAATCAATTTATTAAATGCTCAGGGCTCAGCACCAGCTTGGACACCAAACACTAATTGATGATAAGTAGAATCACATGGCCCTTCTGGCTGGAGTCTTCCCCCTCCACCTCCAGAGCATCCTCCTTATCATTCTTGTCCTCATCACACTTCCTCCACCATTTTATTTCTCTCTCAAGAGAAAGGACAGCCTGTGCACATTTTAAGCTTCAGACCTTTACTATAGCTTGGCTTCTGGTAGGTACTCATGGAAGGGGTTCTACACATTCCATTTAAATTGAGTGGATGCAATGTTACAAAGCTAACATTTGGGCTGGAGAGTTAGAAAGGCTTGGACCTCAAGTGAGAAAGCTGGGAATGCTAGAGTTTGAATTGTATCTCATAAAATATGGGTCATCAAAAGAGATTCAGGCTGGGCACAGTGGTCATGCCCGTAATCCCAGCACTTTAGAAGGCCAAGGCAGGCAAATTACTTTGAGGTCAGGACTTTGAGACCAGCCTGGCCAACATGGTGAAACCCCATATCTACTAAAAATACAAAAATTACCTGGGCATGGTGGCACAAACCTGCAGTCTCAGCTACTCAGGAGGATGAGGCATGAGAATCACTTGAACCCAGGAGGAGGAGGTTGCCGTGAGCCCAAACTGTGCCACTGCACTCCAGCCTGGGTGACAGAGCAAGACTCTGTCTCAAAAAGAGATTTGGGACCAGGTGCAGTGACTCATACCTGTAATAATCCCAGCACTTTGGGAGGGCAAGGTGGAAGGATTGTGTAAAGCCAGGAGTTCGAGACCAGCCTGGGCAACATAGTGAGACCCCCCGCCCCCGTCTGTACAAAAAAATTTGTTAAATCAAAACCTAAATACCAAGTCTCCTTAAACTATTACATACACCTGTTGGCTGGGTTCAGTGGCTCACATGTAATCCTGTAATCCCAACACTTTGGGAGGCCAAGGTGAAAGGATAGTTTGAGGCTAGGAGTTCAGGACCAGCCTGGATAACACAGCTAGATCTCGTTTCTACTAAAAATGAGAGAGAGAGATTTTGAAACAAAGGGATGTTTTTCAGACTCTTCTGTCCCACTCCAGGGCATCAGTGTAGAGAACAGAGACATGGTAGCAAACAAGTGGCCATATAGACATAAGAGGCCAAGGACTCAGCCTGGAAAGGGACACTTTCTACAACAATGTGGATCTCAATGGAAGGAGGAAGGAAAGCAATTCAATTACTTGATTCAAGGAATCAAACTAATTCAATACCTGCTTTTTTTTTTTTTTTGACACAGTTTTGCTCTTTTTTGCCCAGCTGGAGTGCAATGGCGCCATGATCTTGGCTCACTGCAACCTCTGCCTCCCGGGTTCAAGCAATTCTCCTGCCTCAGCCTGCCAAGTAGCTGGGATTACAGGCATGTACCACCACACCCGGCTAATTTTGTATTTTTAGTAGAAACATGGGGTTTCACCATGTTGGTCAGGCTTGTCTTGAACTCCTGACCTCAGGTGATCCACCTGCTTTGGCCTCCCAAAGTGCTGGGATTACAGGCGTGAGCCACCGTGCCAGGCCCCCAAAGTCAGCTTTTACTACTCAAAAGATTGAGATTACATTAATAACCATTTTCAAAACACCTATCTTTGAGTTTCAGAAATGGACTATCAAAGTATTCAGATCAGAAAATAACAACAGCTTGGCTGGGCAAGGTGGCTCACGCATGTAATCCCAGCAATTTGGAAGGCCAAGGTGGGCAGATTACTTGAGGCTAGGAGTTCGAGACCAGCTTGGCCAACATGGTGAAACCCCATTTCTACTGAAAATACAAAAATTAGCCAGGTGTGGTGCCACTCACCTGTAGTCTCAGCTACTCGGAAGGCTGAGGCACAAGAATTGCTTGAACCTGGGAGGCAGGGGTTGCAGTGAGCCCAGATCTTGCCACTGCACTCTGAGCTGGGTGATAGAGTGAGACCCTGTCTAGGAAAAAAAAAAAAAAGATAAGAATAACAGGATGATTTTTTTAGGGAAGACACTATGTGCCTGGCACCATATTGAGTTTTACATTCATTTTGGCTTTTTTTTTTTTTTAGAGATGGGGTCTCACTCTGGTTTGAGGCTGCAGTGAGTTATGATGGCACCACTGCACTCCAATCTGGGGAGCTGCAGTGCAATGGTGCCATCATAGCTCACTGCAGCCTCGAACTCCTGAGCTCAAACAAGCTCAAACTCCTGGGTTCAATCCTCCCATTTCAGCTTCCCAACTTGCTGGAGTTACAGGCATGAGCCACTGCGCTGGCTTATTTTGCATTTAATGCTTATTACTCTGTGCGGCAGGTAACATTTTAACAACAAACAAATTAAGACACAGAGATATTAAGTAAATGGCACTGATCACATAGCTAAGGGCTGGTAGCTTGAAGCAAAACATCCACAACTTGATATGAGATTGGAGAGTACCATTTGTGATGTATACTCAAAGTCTGAGTCTGGGCTACAACTAGAGGTTAGTCATAACGAGAAAATCCAACCATCCATATTCTCAGGAAGCTCACCAACTGGTACAGAAGATAATGAGTGGAAAATTAGCTCTGTACAGGTGAAGATCAATTGCCAGGACTGTGAGTGCCCACCCAACAGGATCACTGAAGGCTCTTTAGAGCTGGATGATTTAGGAATTTGCAATGCAGGGAATGGCACAGGAAATAGCCAGCACATGGCAAGGAGGAGGGGGATTAGGAAGTACTCAGGGATCGGCAAGGGTTCAAAATCATTGACTCTTCTCTCACATCACGTATCTGATCCATCTGCAAATCCTATATCCAGTGGCAAAAGCACATGAAAAGATGCTCAATACCATGTAATTAGGGGAATGTAAATTAAAACCACAATGAGATTTACATGCCTATTAGAATGGCTAAAATTAAAAAGACTAATTATACCAAATGTTGATGAAGATGGGGAGCAATTAGAATTCTCAAATACTGCTGGTGGGAATGTAAAATTGTACAACCACTTTGAAAACTGTTTTTGTTTGTTTGTTTGTTTTTTTGAGATAGAGCCTCGCTGTGTATCCCACGCTGGAGTGCAGTGGTGAGATCTTGGCTCACGGCAACCTCCGCCTCCCAGGTTCAAGTAATTCTTCTGCCTGGGCCTCCCGAGTAGCTGGGACTACAGGCACCCACCACCACACCTGACTAATTTCTGTATTTTTAGTAGAGACGGGGTTTCACCATGTTGACCGGGGTGACTCAGACTGGCTGGTCTCAAACTCCTGACCTCGTGATCCACCTGCCTTGGCCTCCCAAAGGCTGGGATTACAGGCTTGAGCCACCATGCCTAGCCTGAAAACTGTTTCTTAAAAATTTAAATAGGGCCAGGCACAGTGGCTCACGCTTGTAATCCCAGCACTTTGGGAGGCTTAGGCGGGTGGATCACGAGGTCAGGAGATCGAGACCATCTTGGCTAACATGGTGAAACCCAGTCTCTACTAAAAAATACAAAAAATTAGCCGGGTGTGGTGGCAGGCGCCTGTAGTCCCAGCTACTCGGGAGGCTGAGGCAGAATGGCGTGAACCCGGGAGGCGGAGCTTGCAGTGAGCCGAGATCGCGCAACTGCCCTCCAGCCTGGGCGACAGAGCAAGACTCCATCTCAAAAAAAAAAAAAAAAAAAAAAAAAAGGGCTGGACATGGTGGTGCGCACCTGTAATCCCAGCTATTCGAGAGACTGAGGCAAGAGAATCACTTGAACCTGGGAGGTGGAGGTTGTACTGAGCCAAGATCACGCCACTGCACCCCAGCCTGGATAACAAAGCGAAACTCTGTCTCAAAAAAAGAAGAAAAAAAAACCTTAAATATACACCTATCATATCATCTAGTCACTCCAAGAAAAATGAATACATATCTCCACACAAAGCTTTTAGATAGCTTTGTTTGTTACAACCCCAAACTGGAAACAACCTAAATGTCAACAGGTGACTGAATAAACAAATTATAGATAAAAAACAAATATATCCATACAGTGGAATACTACTCAGCAAATGGAATAAATTATTGATAAAATATAAATAAGTTACAAACTGTGCCAAAAGAAGCAAAAGAGAGCATACTGTATGATTTTTTTCTTAATTTTTAAATTTTTTAGAGACAAGGTCTGGCTCTATAGTCCAGGCTGGAGTGCAGTGGAGCGATCTTGGCTCACTGCAGCCTCCATCTCCCAGGCTCAAGCCATCATCCCACCTCAGCCTCCTGAGTAGCTGGAACTACAGGTACACACCACCATGCCAGGCTAATTTCTTTTTTTTTTTTGAGATGGAGTTTCACTCTGTCGCCCCTGCTGGACTGCAGTGGCATGTTCTCGGCTCACTGCAACCTCCACCTCCTGGGTTCAAGTGATTGCCCTGCCTCAGCCTCCCAGGTGGCTGGGATTATAGGCACAAGCCACTGCACCCGGGTAATTTTTGTATTTTTAGTAGAGATAGGGTTTCGCCATGTCAGGCTGGTCTCAAACTCCTGACCTCAAGTGATCTACCCACCTAGGCCTACCAAGGTGGTGGGATTACAAGCGTGAGCCACCATGCCCGGCCTATAAGACTATTTATATAAAACTCTAGGCCAGGCACGGTGGCTGACGCCTGTAATCCCAGCTACCTGGGAGGCTGAGGCAGGACAATCACTTGAACCTGGGAGGCAGGGGTTGCAGTGAGCCGAGATCACGCCATTGCACTCCAGCCTGGATGACAGAGTGAGACTCTGCCTCAAAAAAAAAAAAAAACTCTAGAAGTTACACACAAATCTAAAGTGACAGAAACCAATCTAAAGTGACAATGGTTGTGGAGAGGAAGGGATTACAAGGAGACACAAGCACGTTTTGGCGCATGATGGATATGTTCCATTTGCATGACTCCAGGGGCCCCTTCTGAGTCACTGGAAGAAGTGTGGGGCCACTGACTAAAGGACAGGGCCATTAACCCTGCCTGTGTTTTTCCAGGCTCATGCCAGCCCTAGCGGTTTCTTTAGGTATGCAATTGCAAAGGGGGATAATTTAGATCTCTAAGACACCATCTAATCCAAATCCCTTGCATTCCTGAAGAGACTCGGTGCCAGGACCCTGGGCTACATTATACATACCCCATGGCGAGGCCCCCACCCCTGACCTCTACTCTGCACCCTCTGGAGCATCAGCTTTCGCCAACACTTAGTTCTTCTGTCACTTGCAGTTCAGTTCTTCTGTCACTTGGAGTTCAGCAATCAAACAGGGAAGGACTTGCGGGGTAGGGAGTTTGGGTTCAAAGTCAGGGAGAAACCGCGGGTGAACGCTAAGGCCTGCCCAGAGGCGGGTGGACCCAACCGCAAGCTCCTCCAGCCTTACGGCAGCTCCTGGCAACATCCTCACCCTCCTCCGTGAAAACCGGAGGGGAATGTCAGGCCTTGGAGTCAACCCGAGAGTCTCGCCGCCCGCAGGTGACCCGGGGCAAGTGACGTGCCCTGTTTCGAGGGGCCTCCCATGTAAACCGAGGCCAAAGGCTCCAGGATGCTCCATGGCAGCGCCCGCGCCACGGGCCGCCAGACTGCACCGTCAGGAGGGCGCAGGGGAACTCCGAGATCCCAGTCTGAGCCCGCGCCTGGGATCAGGCGGCCCGCGGGGCATCGCGGGAGTCGCGTCCCTGACGTCACCGTGGGGCGCCTGTGCGCAGGTACACCTGGAGCCGGGCTGCGACGGCTCTGGGGCTCTAACCAGCCCCGCGCCCCAGAGGCTTCTTCTCGGTGGCGTGGTCTCGTTCGTGTGGAGGACGGGTGAAAGAAAGTCGCAGGGATGAGAGGGAGCAAGGGAGGGACGTCGCAGACCTCGGACATTGTGTCGCCCCCGACCCCTGAACGGTCCATGACTTCCCAGTGTGGGTCAGAGGCTCTGGACCAGCCCCTCACACTGCATGCCCGGTGTTCCGTTTGCAACTATTATTAGGTTAATTTCTCTCAGCAATTAGGCTGTGAGCTGCGGAAGGGCAGCCCTGTAAGGTTGCCGAAGGGGTTTCACCTTGCCCTCTGCCTGGACACAGCCGATTTATCAAGACGGCAATTGCAATAGAGAAAGGGTAATTCACGCGCGGAGCGGGCTGTGCGGGAGACCAGAGTTGTATTATTACTCAAATCAGTCTCCCAGAAAACTCGGGGATCAGAGGGGTTTGTTTTTGTTTTTGTTTTTGAGACGGAGTCTCGCTCTGTTGCCCAGGCTGGAGTGCAGTGGCGCGATCTCCAGTTATTTTTACACTGTTACCTGCTAGGACTGGTATATATGTTTTCTTCTTTTGGTTTTGTTTTTGGTTGTCGTTGCTTTTTTATTTTTAAGAGTGAAGTTGGAACACTTGTTTGAATTTAAAAACACCCCTGCGCCGGGCGTGTGGCTCACGCCTGTAATCCCAGCACTTTGGGAGGCCGAGGCGGGCGGATCTCGAGGTCAGGAGATCGAGGCCATCCTGGCTCACACGATGAAACCCCGTCTCTACTAAAAATACAAAAAATTAGCCAGGCGTGGTAGCGGGCGCCTGTAGTCCCAGCTACTCGGGAGGCTGAGGCAGGAGAATGGCGTGAACCTGGGAGGCGGAGGTTACAGTGAGCCGAGATTGTGCCACTGCACTCCAGCCTGGGCGACAGAGCAAGACTCCGTCTCAAAAAAACAAAAAACAAAACAAAACAAAACACCCCTGCTCACCACTTTAGCTAGTTAAGCTTAATTTTACTAATAAAAACTAATCTGACATCACCACCTATGAAATATTCTTGCCAAAAATGTTTAATTCACAGTCAAGCCTTCAGACCTAACTTCAGTTTACAGGAAATAAGATAAAGGAACAAATTAATAGACACTATGATGAAGCAATGAGATAAATCCAGAATGTGAGATAATCTGCAAGACCCCTAATTTGATCTTTTCAAAAAATCAGTGTCTGGTCAGGAGGAGTGGCTCATGCCTGTAAACCAAATACTTCGGGAGGGCAAGGTGGGAGGATCACTTGAGTCCAGGAGTTCCAGACCAGCCTGGGCAACACAGTGAGACCCTGTCTTTACAAAAAATTAAAGAATTTGCTGGACATGGTGGTGCACGCCTGTAGTCCCAGCTACTGTGGAGGCTGAGGTGGGAGGATCAATTGAGTCCAGAAAGTTGAGGCTGCAGTGAGCTATGATTGTGCCACTGTATTCCATCCGGGGTAACACAGCAAGACCCTGTCTGAAAAAAAAAAAAAAAGATCATTTGTAAAAAAAAGAGGGAGACTGTTCTGGATTTAAAGAGACAGTCAAATACAATGTGTGAAGACTGACTAAATCCTGGCTTGAAAAAAAAATCTATAAAACATTCTGGGGGCAATTAGGGGACAGTCTGAATATGTATTAAACATTAAGTAATAGAAATGATAATGGCATTATACAATGAAGTATTTAGGGGTAAAATACTATTCTGTCTGCAATTTCATTTCAAATGTTTGGTAAAAAAGATTATACAGGGCCGGGTGACGTGGCTCACGCCTATAATCCCAGCACTTTGGGAGGCTGAGGCGGGCGGATCATGAGGTCAGGAGTTTGAGACCAGCCTGGCCAACATAGTAAAACCCTGTCTCTACTAAAAATACAAAAAATTAGCCCGGCATGGTAGTGCATGCCTGTAATCCCAGCTACTCGGGAGGCTCAAGGATAATTACTTGAACCCAGGAGGCGAAGGTTGCAGTGATTGTGCCACTGCACTCCATCCAGCCTGGGCAATAGAGCAAGACTCTGTCTAAAAAAAAAAATTGATTATACAGGCCAGGGTCAGTGGCTCATGGCTGTAGTCCCAGTTACTCAGGAGGAGAATCGCTTGAACCTGAGAGGCAGAGGTTGCAGCAAGCCAAGGTTATGCCACTGCACTCCAGCCTGGGTGACAGGGCAAGACTCCATCTCAAAAAAAAAAAAAAAAAAAAGATTATGCATATATTGGGATTTTTTTTTTTTTTCGAGACAGAGTCTTGCTCTGTCGCCCAGGCTGGAGTACAATGGCACAACCTCAGCTCACCACAACCTCCGCCTGCCAGGTTCAAACAATTCTCCTGCCTCAGCCTCCCAGGTAGCTGGGACTACAGGCGCCCGCCACCACACCCGGCTAATTTTTGTATTTTTAGTAGAGACAGGGTTTTGCCATGTTGGCCAGGCTGGTCTTGAACTCCTGACCTCAAGTGATCTGCCCGCCTTGGCCTCCCAAAGTGCTGGGATTACAGGCGTGAGCCACTGCGCCTGGCCTATACATTGGGATTTTAAGGTCTACATGTAAAAAAAATAAAAATAAAAATGATTATACATACGGAAAGCATATATGGCAATATATTAACAATTTTTTAAAGTCTGATGGGCACACTGGTGTTTAATATAGTATTCTTCACACTTTTCTGTTTCAAAGTGGGTTTTTTATTTTTTTTGAGACGGAGTTTTGCTCTGTTGCCCAGGCTGGAGTACAGTGATGCAATCTTGGCTCACTGCAACCTCTGTCTCTCGGGTTCAAGGGATTCTCCTGCCTCAGCCTCTTGAGTAGCTGGGATTACAGGCGCACACCACCACACCCGGATAATTTTTGCATTTTTAGTAGAGACGGGGTTTCGTCATGTTGGCCAGGCTGGTCTTGAACTCCTGGCCTCAAGTGATCTGCCCACCTTGGCCTCCCAAAGTGGTGGGATTACAGGCATGAGCAACCACGCCCGGCCCTCAAAGTTTTGTTTTTTCTTTTTTTAATGTAAACAGTTTTATTTAGAAACAGGTACCTGTTTGCATTGTAGAATATAAAACTTGGCTTATGCTCTATAAACAATAACCATTACCCCAATTCAAGAGAGCTAAGCATTCACAGAACACACAATTAGTTTCAAAGTTTTCACATAAATGGGAGAAAAAATATATCCTTGCCACAAGCCATCCATGGATGAAGGCGAAAAGCCTACTGACCCTGTGGCAGAACAGGCCTTGCTTCCTCCAAGGCACCTTCTTGGTCAGGAGAGCGTGGTGGGAGAAACTCCTGGTTAGTAGGCAGATTGCCAGTCTCTTCCGCAACTAGGCCTCAGTTATCCCTTTGAAAAGTGAAAGTGGAAGTTGGATTAGATTCAGATAGAACCAAAAAGTTCCTTGTAAGATTACAGGTGTTTATTCTAGTTACCTATTGCTGTATAACAAATTACTCCAAATCAGTGGCTTAAAACTGCCATTTTAAGGCCAGGTGTAGTGACTCATGCCTGTAATCCCAGCATTTTGGGAGGCCAAAGTGGGAGGATCGCTTTAGGCTAGGAGTTTAAGACCAGCCTGGGCAATATTTATTTCTATAGATATTTATTTGTTTTGGGGTAAAGTGCTATGATGTCTGCAATTTCATCTCAAATAAAAATAAATAGAGATGGGGTCTTGCTATGTTGCCCAGGCTGGTCTCAAACTTTTGGGCTCAAGCAATCCTCCCGCCTTGGCCTCCCAAAGTGCTGGGATTACAGGCATGAGCCACTATGCCCAGCTCCCCACAGCCCAAAAATATATATATATAATTTTAAAAATTTATATTTATTTTTTGAGACGGAGTTTTCACTCTTGTTGCCCAGGCTGGAGTGCAATGGCGCGATCTCGGCTCACCACAACCTCCACCTCCCGGGTCCAAGCGATTCTCCTGCCTCAGCCTCCCGAGTAGCTGGGATTACAGGCATGCGCCATCACACCTGGCTTTTTGTATTTTTAGTAGAGACGGGGTTTCACCATGTTGGTCAGGTTGGTCTTGAACTCCCAACCAGGTGATCCACCCACCTCGGCCTCCCAAAGTGCTGGGATTACAGGCGTGAGCCACTGCACCTGGCCTATTTGTTTTTTTTAAGTAGTTAGCATTTAATGAACCTCCCTCCATGTGGCCTCAAGCCACCAGGACACAGGTCCCCTTGACACCCTTAATCTTCTCAGCTCTTCTGCTGAAGAATTTGGCCTTCACAATGACAGGCTGCTTTGGGAGCTTTTCCTTTCCCAGAACTTTGTAGTAGCCCGATTGCACCACATCAATGAGGGGAGCAGCCCCAGGCTTGTTTTTAGCAGCATTCACCTGTGTCTGCTCACTGACCAAAGTCCACAATTTGTCAAGGCTGACAGCTGGGCAGAAACTCTGGTTTCTCTTTTTTTTTTTTTTTTTTTTTTTTTTTTTTGAGACGGAGTCTCGCTCTGTCACCCAGGCCGGACTGCGGACTGCAGTGGCGCAATCTCGGCTCACTGCAAGCTCCGCTTCCCGGGTTCACGCCATTCTCCTGCCTCAGCCTCCCGAGTAGCTGGGACTACAGGCGCCCGCCACCGTGCCCGGCTAATTTTTTGTATTTTTAGTAGAGACGGGGTTTCACCTTGTTGGCCAGGATGGTCTCGATCTCCTGACCTCATGATCCACCCGCCTCGGCCTCCCAAAGTGCTGGGATTACAGGTGTGAGCCACCGCGCCCGGCCACTCTGGTTTCTCTTTAAGTAATACCTCATACCAACTTTCCCAAAGTAACCTGGGTAGTATTTGTTGAAGTTGATCCTGTGGTGATGCATTCCACCAGCATTACTGTGGCCTCTGGGGTGCTTTTGGAGCTTGCCTATGCGGCCATGGCCATGGCTCACATGGCCCCGAAGTTTCTGGGTCTTCCTCAGTCTGGATGGCATTTTGGCGGCTCAGACGAAAGACTCTCTCTCTCTCTCTCTCTCTCTCTCTATATATATATATATATATATATATTTTTTTTTTTTTTTTCTTTTCTTTGAGACGAGTCTCACTCTGTCGCCCAGGCTGGAGTGCAGTGGCCCGATCTCCGCTCACTGCAAGCTCCGCCTCCTGGGTTCACGCCATTCTCCTGCCTCAGCCTCCCAAGTAGCTGGGACTACAGGCGCCTGCCACCATGCCCGGCTAATTTTTTTGTATTTTTTAGTAGAGATGGGGTTTCACCGTGTTAGCCAGGATGGTCTCGATTTCCTGACCTCGTGATCTGCCCCCCTCAGCCTCCCACAGTGCTGGGATTACGGGCATGAGCCACTGCGCCCAGCCACTCAATGTATTTTAAAATACATTTTTTAAAATTAGCTGGGTATGGTAGCATACACCTGTAGTCCCAGTTACTCGGAAAGCTGAAGCAGGAGGATTGCTTGAGCCCAGGAGGTTGAGGTTACAGTGAGCTATGATCACACCAGTGCACTTCAGCCTGGGCAACAGAGCAAGACCCTGTCTCAAAAAAATCAAAAACAAGGCTGGGCGCAGTGGCTCACGCCTGTAATCACAGCGCTTTGGGAGGCCGAGGCGGGTGGATCACTTGAGGTCAGGAGTTTGAGACCAGCCTGGTCAACATGGTGAAACCTTGTCTCTACTAAAAATACAAAAAATTAGCCAGGCGTGTTGGCACGTGCCTGTAATCCCAGCTATTGGGGAGGCTGAGGCAGGAGAATCACTTGAACCTGGGAGGCAGAGGGTGCAGTGAGCTGAGATTGTGTCACTGCACTCCAGCCTGGGAGACAGAATGAGACCCTGTCTCAAAAAACAAAACAAAACAAAAAAACAAAAATAAAAATAAAAACAAATATAACAAAATGGCAGTGAGGGCACACCTTCCTTCCCATTTTATTATATTCATGGATTCTGGGAGTCAGGAATTCACAAAGAACACAGCAGGGATGGCTTGTCTCTGCTCTATGACATCTGGGACCTCAATTGGGATGACAAAAGGCTGAGGTGCTTGATGGTTGGGGCCAGGAGTCATTTGGAGGTATCATCATTCATGTTTGGCAAGCGATTTATACCAAGATGCTGGTATAGACTGAGATCTCTGGCTGTTGGCCAGAACACCTATACATGGCCTATCCACGTGGCCTTGGACTTCTTACATGGAGGCTTGTGTTCTAAAGGTGAATGTCCCAAGATAACCAGGCAGAAGCTGTATAGCCTTTTATGAACTAGCCTCAGAGGTCACCAGCATCACTTCTGCCACGGTGCCAGATTCAAAGATTCAGAGGAGGGAACAGAGACCCCACCTCTCAATGGGAGGAGCATCAAGCCCACAGGATAAGAGAAGAGCATTTGGGTTGGGAGACAATCATTGAACACATTTTGGGTATGTATTTGGAACACACTGCCACAGCACTCCCCAGGCCTGTCCTCTAGCTGCTTATCTCCCAGCTTTGAGCTAGAGCCCCCAAATTCTTCTGCCCCTGGAGTGGCTTCCCCGTTCCCCAGTGCCCTGCCCTGGCTGGCAACTCTGAATAAGCCGTGTACTAGGGCTTGAGTATGGGAGAGAATGGAAGCCTATGAACAGAGCTTTACCATGAAGAAATCATTTGAAACTCAGGATTTGACTTGAGCTGTTCTTCCCAAGCTTTTAAATTTCTAACACTACTCTTTGACAAATGATTCTCATGACTTTAATTAACCACTCCATATGAACAACTCCACTCTTGAGACTGGACATCTTTTCTAAGCCTAAATTAGGGATTTCCAGCCATTTACTAGTTATTTCCACCTGTATTAATTGCCATAGTCTCAACTGGACTCTTATGCTCCAAAACCACTCATCCTTCAGACTCCCCATCTTTTTTTTTTTAATAGAGTTTCCCTCGTTACCCAGGCTGGAGTGCAATGGCATGATCTCGACTCACTGCTACCTCCACTTCCCGGGTTCAAGCAATTTTCCCACCTCAGTCTCCTGAGTAGCTGGGATTACAGGCGCCCGCCACGCCAGGCTAATTTTTGTATTTTTAGTAGAGACGGGGTTTCACCATGTTGGCCAGGCTGGTCTAGAACTCTTGATCTCAGGTGATCTGCCCGTCTCGGCCTCCCAAATTGCTGGGATTACAGGCATG
This sequence comes from Homo sapiens, assembly GCF_000001405.40. NCBI lineage: Eukaryota > Metazoa > Chordata > Mammalia > Primates > Hominidae > Homo > Homo sapiens. Next base: position 43,650,341 of record NC_000020.11, on the reverse strand, counting down.
AGCCACCGTGCCTGGCCTAGACTCCCCATCTTTTAATAGCTGCCCCCACTGTCCCAGGAAATCAAGCCCCAAATCTTGCCAATCTAACTTTCAACACCCAGACCAAAGTGTTTCAAAATGCCACCTTTCCTATAATACCACCTTAGTCCACATCCTTATTATTTGCTCTTGGGGTTGTATCAAACTCTTCTGTAAATGACCATCCTTCTACCATTCCCATCTTTATAGAACCCACCAGCTAAACTATTCCCATTGTGCAGCAATGGGAATTGCTCCTCCCCTCCCCCCTCCCCCCTTTCCTCCCACCTCCCCTCCCCTCCCCTCCTCTCCTCTCCTCTCCCTTCTCTCCTCTCCTATCCTCAGTGGCTCTGCAACCTTCCATCTGGCTTTCAGAGTTCCCCAAAGCTGGTTATCTGTGTATGTCAGTACACTGCTGTGCATTTCTATACACCAACTGCACCATTCTGACAGGTGCAGTCTCTCCCATTGTCCCATGACAATACCCTCTAGCCTCCTTGGAACAGATGATTAAATTTGGCCCTACATTATAACCCAAGATGATGATAGAACTGAGTGCTTCAGGAAGCCAGAGGACAGGGAAGAAGCATGGGTGGCCCATTCTGGAGTGCAGTGGTATGATCATAGCTAGTGCAGCTTTGAACTCCTGGGCTCAAGCAATCCTGCCACCTCAGTCTCCCAAATACCTGGGACTACAGGTGTGTGCCACTATACCTGGCTAATTTTCATTTTTGTAGAGATGGACTTTCACTTTTGTTCCCCAGGCTCAGCTTCTAAATCAGGAGTATCTAATCTTTTGGCTTCCCTGGGCAACATTGGAAGAATTGTCTTGGGTCACACAAAATACACTAACAATGGCTGATGAGCTAAAAAAATAATAATAATGGCCGGGTGCAGTGGCTCACACCTGTAATCCCAGCACTTTGGGAGGCCGAGGCTGGTGGATCATGAGGTCAGGAGATCGAGACCATCCTGCCTAACACAGTGAAACCTCGTCTCTATTAAAAATACAAAAAATTAGCCAGGCATGGTGGTGGGTGCCTGTAGTCCCAGCTACTTGGGAGGCTGAGGCAGGAGAATGGCATGAACCTGGGAGGTGGAGTTTGCAGTGAGCCAAGATAGCGCCACTGCACTCCAGCCTGGGCAAAAGGGCGAGACTCCTTCTTAAAAAAAATAAAAAAAATAAAAATAAAAATAATAATAAACACATCTATCTCTTAATTTTTTTTTTTTTTTTTGACAGTCTTGCTCTGTCACCCAGGCTGGAGTGCAGTTATGTGATCTTGGCTCACTGCAACTTCTGCCTCCCAGGTTCAATGATTTTCCCCACCTCAGCCTCCCAAGTAGCTGGGACTACAGCTATGAGCCACTATGCCTGACCATGTCTGGCTAATTTTTTTTTTTTTTTTGAGACAGTCTTGCTCTGTTGCCCAGGCTGGAGTGCAGTGGTACAACCTCAGCTCACCACAACCTCTGCCTCTGGGGTTCAAGCGACTGTCCTGCCCCAGCCTCCTGAGAAGCTGGGATTATAGGCCTGCACCACCACACCCGGGTAATTTTTGTATTTTTAGGAGAGACAGGTTTTCGCCATGTTGGCCAGGCTTGTCTTGAACTCCTGACTTCAAGTGATCCATCCACCTCGGCCTCCCAAAGAACTGGGATTACAGGCATGAGCCACCGTACCAGGCCTCTACACCTGGCTAATTTTTGTATTTTTTGTAGGGACAGGGTTTCATCCTGTTGGCCAGGTTGGTCTCTATCTCCTGGCCTCAGGTGATCCACCCACCTTGGCCTCCCAAAGTGTTGGGATTACAAGCATGAGCCACTGCACCTGGCCTCATAATGTTTTAAGAGTTTACAAATTTGTAGGCCGGGCGCGGTGGCTCACGCTTGTAATCCCAGCACTTTGGGAGGCTGAGGCGGGCGGATCATGAGGTCAGGAGATCGAGACCACGGTGAAACCCCATCTCTACTAAAAATACTAAAAATTAGCCGGGCGTGGTGGCGGGCGCCTGTAGTCCCAGCTACTCGGAGAGGCTGAGGCAGGAGAATGGTGTGAACCCAGGAGGCAGAGCTTGCAGTGAGCCGAGATCGCGCCACTGCACTCCAGCGTGGGTGACAGAGCGAGACTCCGTCTCCAAAAAAAAAAAAAAAGTTTACAAATTTGTTTTAGGCCACATTCAAAGCCGTCCTAAGCCACATGCAGCCCATGGGCTGCGGGTTGGACAAGCTTGCTCTACATGGTTGTGTCCTATGGGCAACTGGGAGATGAAGGGATGAGATCTATATAAGGAAGGTATCTGTCTACTCTTTTATCTTCTTCTTTAGGTACAGTGGGGTAAACAGACTATGGGTTAAGTTCTGTATCCTTTTTTTTTTTTTTTTTTGAGACAAGAGTCTTGCTCTGACACCCAGACTGGTATGTGGTGGTGTGATCTCAGTTTACTGCAACCTCCGCCTCCCGGGTTCAAGTGATTCTCCTGCCTCACCCTCCCGAGTAGCTGGAACTACAGGTGTGTGCCACCATGCCCGGCTAATTTTTTGTACTTTTAGTAGAGATGGGGTTTCACCATGTTAGCCAGGATGGTCTCGATCTCCTGCCCTCGTGATCCACCCAACTCGGTCTCCCAAAGTGCTGGGATTACAGGCATGAGCCACTGCACCTAGCCTCCCATCCCCCCCTTTTTTTTTTGAGACAGAGTCTCACTGTCACCCAGGCGGGAGTGTAGTGGCGTGATCTCGGCTCACTGCAACCTCTGCCTCCCAGATTCAAGTGATTCTCCTGTCTCAGCCTCCCAAGTAGCTGGGATTACAGGCACATGCCACCACACCTGGCTAACTTTTGTATTTTTAGTAGAGACAGGTTTCACCATGTTGGCCAGGCTGGTCTTGAACTCCTGACCTCAAATGATCCGCCCGCCTCGGCCTCCCAAAGTGCTGGGATTACATGAGTGAGCCACCGTGTCCAGCCACTGTTGTATCCTTTCAACCGGTCCAGAAAGCTGTACAGTATTTACAACAAGCTTGAGAGTTAATTATGTCTTTGATAAAAGACTCAAATCCAGAACTGGGGTTGAGAAAAAAAAATCAAGACTGTTTCATAGGGTATAAAAAGACAGATGCAACCATACATTTAATTTTTAAAAATGGAATGTATCTTACATAAGGATTTTGTGAAAAATCTTATACCTATCTGAGTATTACAGAAGATGCATATACCTTCCAGAGCTCATGGAGGAAAGAGTGTATAAACAATTTTGATAAGGAGTTGAAAAACAATTTGAAAATAGTTTACAAAGAGAGAATCAGGAGGCAGAAAAAGCTTCAAGAGGCATGGTCTTCAGAAATTGTTCTGGAATGCTGTTTCACTTGTATCGATGTCATGTTCCTGGATGAGAGAATAAGACACAGAATTTTAGTATTTCAGTATAAAGCCTGAAATGTAAACTCTTCAGTGCTTTGGACTTTAGAGATTCTGAATCTTTATTAATTAGGACATATACATAATATCTGGCTTTAGGGCTGAATCCAACCCAAGGATCAAATTTTGATCCTTTTGCCCTACCATGGCAGGGCTTGTGACCACTGCCCACCACCCACCATGATGAGTAACAAACAGAGTTGAAAGCACTGGTGCAAAGACCACACCAGACTTCTTATATTGGCCTCGGGTGTCTGTCCTAGCATGCCACCAGAGTGAGTACTGCTGGGAACCTACCTGACCTCCCATCCCATCATTCACTGCTGAGCAGCCACATCAAAACCCTCATCTCTGGGTTCCCTTCATGGATGGCACTTAGACCACGGTAACTGCCAATACACTTCTGTCTCCCACTACACAGAGCTCTGAGAGGCACAGCAAGAACCGCAATCATCTTGTTCACTGCTATGGCCCCAGCCTCCAGCACCATGCTAGACGTGGAGAGTAAAACACTGCCAAATGAGCATCCGGCACAGCCAGCTTCCTTCCAGGAGAGGCTCAGAACCTAATTGGTCTTTCCACTCAGCATCTGAAATCCTAAGCTTGAATTTTGCCTGCTTACATTAAACAACAAAACACTCTTTTTTTGCTGCAAAAGTGACACAGTCACTATAGAATTTTTTTTTTTTTTTTGAGACGAGTCTCGCTCTGTCACCCAGGCTGGAGTGCAGTGGCGTGATCTCGGCTCACTGCAAGCTCTGCCTCCCAGGTTCATGCCATTCTCCTGCCCCAGCCTCCCGAGTAGCTGGGACTACAGGTGCCCGCCACCACGCGCGGCTAATTTTTTTTTGTATTTGTAGTGGAGACGGGGTTTCACATGTTAGCCAGGATGGTCTCGATCTCCTGACCTCATGATCCTCCTGCCTCGGCCTCCCAAAGTGCTGGGATTACAGGCGTGAGCCACCGCGCCCGGCCCACTATAGAAATTTTAATAAAGAAGGAAAATAAAAATTAAACACTATCTTTTTTTTTTTTTTTTAAACAGGGTCTCACTCTATCACCCTGGATGGAGTGCAGTGGCATGATCACTGCTCACTGCAACCTCAACCTCCCCAGGCTCAGATGATCCTCCCACCTCAGCCTCCCAAGTAGCTGGGACTACAGGTGCACACCACCACACCTGGCTAATTTTTGTATTTTTTTATGGATGTGGAGTTTCTGTTGCCCAGGCTGGACTAGAACTCCTGGGCTTAAATGATTCACCTACCTTGGCCCCCCAAAGTGCTGGGATTGCAAGCGTGAGCCACTGTGCCCAGCCCAAGGATAAATATCTTCTTTTTTTGGGGGGGACAGAGTCTTACTCTGTCACCCAGGCTGGAGTGCAGTGGCATGATCTCAGCTCACTGCAAGCTCTGCCTCCCGGGTTCACACCATTCTCCTGCCTCAGCCTCCTGAGTAGCTGGGACTATGGGCACCCGCCAACACGGCCGGCTAATTTTTTGTATTTTTAGTAGAGACGGGGTTTCACTGTGTTAGCCAGTATGGTCTCGATCTCCTGACCTCGTGATCCACCTGCCTTGGCCTCCCAAAGTGCTGGGATTAATTACAGGCGTGAGCCACCGCACTGGGCCCCAAGGATAAATATCTTTATGTTATTTTTTTATTATGCAAAATAATTCTATGTGTGTATTGTATTCTGTAAAGAAAGTAGAATCTCTCTATATACTGTTCTTTAGTCTCTCCCCACCACATATTTACTGTATCACGAATGTATTCCCAAGTCCTTAAACTTTTTTTTTTTTGAGTCTTACTCTGTTGCCCAGGTTGGAGTACAGTGGTGCAATCTTGGCTCACTGCAACCTCCGCCTCCCAGGTTCAAGCGAATCTCTTGCCTCAGCCTCCTGAGTAACTGGGACTACAGGCACGGGCCACCACACCCAGCTGATTTTTTTATTTTTAGTAGAGATGGGGTTTCACCATGTTGGCCAGGCTGGTCTCGAATTCCTGACCTCAAGTGATCCGCCCACCTCAGCCTCCCAAAGTGTTGGGATTACAGATGTGAGCCACAGCGCCTGGCCCAAGTCCTTAAACATTTTTATTTTTATTTTTTATTTATTTTTTTGAGATAGAGTCTCACTCTGTCTCCCAGGCTGGAGTGCAATGGCACGTTCTTGGCTCACTGCCAACCTCTGTCTCCCGGGTTCAAGCAATTCTCCTGCCTCAGCCTCCTGAGTAGCAGGGACTACAGGTGCACGCCACCACACCTGGCTAATTTTTGTATTTTTAGTAGAGAGGAGGGTTCACCATGTTGGTCAGGCTAGTCTTGAACTCCTGACCTCGTGATCCACCCGCCTCAGCCTCCCAAAGTGCTGGGATTACAGGCGTGAGCCACCATTCCTGGCCAAACATTTTTAAAAACATTTTTTATCTTATGGATGTACCCTAGGATACTTAACCAGTTCCCTATTGATGAAGATTTTTCTTCTATAAAATAATGTGGCACTGAGAATCCTGGTTGATAAATCTGTACGTATTCCGAATTATATTATTAAAACAAATTCTGAAGATTAGAATGGGTCAACGGTATATACATTTTAGGGCTTTTCAACAGTATTATAAAAATATCTCCAGACAAGTGGAACCAACTTATTCTCCATCAGTAGTGTATGAATGCCTATTTACCAAAGCTGGTTGGGCATTCAATTTTTGAAATCCTTGGAAAAAAGAAGGCCAGGGATAATTTTGAAGTTCTTGGTCCTCAGTCAGAGAAAGATGATTTCTTTTTCTTTTTTTTTTGAGACAGAGTCTTGCTCTGTCGCCAGGCTGGATGGACTGCAGTGGTGTGGTCTTGGCTTACTGTAACCTCCGCCTCCCAGGTTCAAGCAATTCTCCTGTCTCAGCCTCCCGAGTATGGGAGCTGGGACTACAGGCATGCACCACCACGCCCAGCTAATTTTTGTATTTTTAGTAGAGATGGGGTTTCACCATGTTGGCCAGGATGGTCTCAATCTCTTGACTTTGTGATCTGCCCGCCTTGGGCTCCCAATTGCTGGGATTACAGGTGTGGGCCACGGTGCCCGGCCTGAGAAAATCATTTCTTACATAAGGTGATCACCTCATGTTCTACTGCTCTGTCCTTTCCTCTGTTCTCTTGTCACACTGGCATCACTGCCGTTCGTCAAGCATACCAGGCACAGCCCAGCCTTAGGAACTTTGCACACATCTCCCCTCTGCCTGGGACACTCCTCCCCCAGATATCTGCATGGCTAAGTCTCTCAACACCTTCAAATCTTTGCTCCAATACAACTTTGCAATGAAACCCACCCTGATCTCCCTATTTAATACTCACCAGTCATCATGGCCACACTCAGCACACTTGATCCCTCTTACCCAGCTCTATTTTTTTGTTTTTTTTTTGAGACAGAGTCTCACTCTCTTACCCAGGCTGGAGTACAGTGGTGCCATCTTGGCTCACTGCAACCTCCGCCTCCTGGGTTCAAGAGATTCCCCTGCCTCGGCCTCCCTAGTAGCTGGGATTACAGGCGTGCACCACCACACCTGGTTAATTTTTATATTTTTAGTAGAGATGGAGTTTCACCATGTTCGCCAGGCTGGTCTCAAACTCCTGACCTCAGCTGAACCACCTGCCTCGGCCTCCCAAAGTGCTGGGATTACAGGTGTGAGCCACCACACCCAGCTGTTTTTTTTTTGTTTTGTTTTGTTTTTTTGTTTTTTTTTGAGACAGAGTCTCACTGTTGCCCAGGCTGGAGTGCAACGGCACGATCTCAGCTCACCACAACCTCTGCCTTCTGGGTTCAAGTGATTCATCTGCCTCAGCCTCCTGAGTGGCTGGGATTACAGGCACGCACCATGATGCCCGGCTAATTTTTGTATTTTTAGTGGAGAGGGGGTTTCACCATGTTGGTCAGGCTGGTCTCGAACTCCTGACCTCGGGTGATCTGCCTACCTCAGCCTCCCAAAGTGTTGGGATTACAGGCGTGAGCCACTGCGCCCAGCCTCCACTTCTTTTATACCAAAGCACTTACCATTTTCTAGCATCCTATGTGACTCACTTATGTTTACTGCTTATTGTCTACATCCTCCAGCTAGTATATAGGTTCCATAAGTACAGGGTTTATTGTCTGTTTTGTTCACCTAGTAGATGCTTAATAAATATTTACAGGCTGAATCAACGTCATAAAACATGGCAAGCACAGTCCATGGAAGATACCAGTACTGGAGGGGCTCCCACTACACTGTGCCTTGTAGGCTCTGTACCTGGTTCAATTTCTTGAACTCCACCACTTGGAAGAAGACGTGCTCAAGGATATGTTTGGCATCCTGTTGGTCCTTTGGTAGTTTACTGGTTACTCCAAGAATATCACCACACTTCCTGACATAAAATTCCAGGTCTTCTTCAGTACCTAAGACAGTTGGAGTAGTAGTTAGATTAATTCTTAACTTCTGCCCTTCCCAAAGTACAGACTTAGTGTGTTTCAGGTATGCCCTGTCATGTTTCCACATTTCCTAAGATCACTCACCTCTTCCTAAAGTAATGTGACTACAGGATTTCAACACTGAAAAACCCTAGAGCTCTCTAATGTGCTGCTTTTATAATAAAAGCACTCCTAATCAGAATAAAACTGGACTGGTACTGGCTTTCCTATTCCTCAGATCTAGTATTCCTACATTAGAAAGAACAGGTGCAACAGTAGGAAATCAAATTATCATTCCCTGAATGCAACAAAGATGACTATAGAGAAGCATATGGGTAATTAAAAATAGCATTTACTAAAACAATATTGTATTGGCTGGGCGTGGTGGCTCATGCCTGTAATCCCAGCAATTTGGAAGGCTGAAGCAGGTAGATCACTTGAGGTCAGGTGTTCAAGATCAGCCTGGCCAACATGGCAAAACCCCATCTCTACTAAAAATACAAAAATTAGCCAGATGTGGTGATGCAGGCCTGTAATCCCAGCTACTCGGGAGGCTGAGGCAGGAGAATCACCTCAACTGGGGAGATGGAGGTTGCAGTGAACAGAGATTGCGCCACTGCACTCCACCCCGGGCAACAGAACAGACTCCATCTCAAACAAAACAAAACAAAACAGCCGAGCGTGAAGGCTCACGCCTGTAATCCCAGCACTTTGGGAGGCCAAGGTGAGCGGATCACGAGGTCAGGAGTTCGAGACCAGCCTGGCCAGCATGGTGAAACCCTGTCTCTACTAAAAATACAAAAAAATTAGCCGGGCATGGTGGTGCGCACCTGTAATCCCAGCTACTCGGGAGGCTGAGGTAGGAGAATTGCTTAACCCTGGGAGGCGGAGGTTGCAGTGAGCTGAGATCACGCCATTGCACTCCAGCCTGGGGGACGTGGTGGCTCACATCTGTAATCCCAGCACTTTGGGAGGCTGAGGCAGGTGGATCATCTGAGGCCGGGAGTTCGAGACCAGCCTGACCAACATGGAGAAACCCTATCTCTACTAAAAATACAAAATTAGCCGGGCGTGGTGGTGCATGCCTATAATCCCAGCTACTCAGGAAGGCTGAGGCAGGAGAATCGCTTGAACCCGGGAGGCAGAGGTTGCAGTGAGCTGAGGCTGTGGTGAGCCAAGATCGTGCCACTGCACTCCAGCCTGGGCAACAAGAGCAAAATTAGGTCTCAAAACAAAACAAAACAAAACAAAACCCCAAAAAACAAACAATATTATAGAAAGAAAATTAAAGAAAAAAATCACCCATAATTCCACCAACAACATAGCTCTGTGAAGCCATCCTCTGGAGCCCTACATGTAGGATAGACAGCCATTACTGCCCTTCTCACATTATACTGTAATTTCTTTCTTCCTTTTTTTTTTTTTTTTTTTTTTTTGAGACAAGGTTTGGCTCTATCACCCAGGCTGGAGTGCAGTGGCATGATTTCAGCTCACTGCAACTTCTGCCTCCTGGGCTCAAACCATCCTCCCACCTCAGCCTCCCAAGTAGCTTGGACTACAGGTGTGTACCACCACGCCTGGCTGATTTTTTGTATTTGAGACGGGGTTTCACCATGTCGCCCAAGCTGGTCTCGAACTCGTGAGCTCCAGCAATCCACCTGCTTTGGCCTCCCAAAGTGCTGGGCTTATAGGCATGAGCCACTGAGCCCAGCTGTAATTAATTTATTCTCCCTCTGATTTGCATTTTAAGTTTTGATAGAAATGTATGTTTTTTACTAAGACATTCAAACCCACAGCTGTATCAATGTTTCATCCTAGTTCTACTGCCACCAACTACCTAGAATTATTATTGCTATGTATGCTTCTGTGTGTAAATGTAAGTTTTCACAAAAATGGGATCAAACTAGAATAGTTTTCTAAGTTGACTTCATCATTTAATGATGTATTATGGACATTCCGAATCAAAGTTTATGCCCTGCATTTTTTTTATTTTCTTTTTTGTTTTTTCAGATGGAGTCCCACTCTGTCACCCAGACTGGAGTACAGTGGCGTGATCTTGGCTTACTGCAACCTCCACCTCCCGAATTCAAGCAATTCTCCTGCCTCAGCCTCCCAAGCAGCTGGGATTACAGGCACCTGCCACCATGCCTGGCTAATTTTTTATTTTTATTTTTAGTAGAGACAGGGTTTTACCATCTTGGCCAGGCTGGTCTCAAACTCCTGACCTTGTGATCCACCTGCCTCGGCCTCCCAAAGTGCTGGGATTACAGGCATGAGCCACTGCGCCTGGCCTTTTCTTTTCTGAGACAGGGTCTCGCTCTGTCAACCAGGTTAGAGGACAGTGGCACAATCTTAGCTCACTGCAGCCTTGACTTCCTAGGCTCAAGCAATCCTCCCACCTGGGCCTCCTGAGTAGCTGGTACTACAGGAGTGAGCCACCATGCCCGGCTAATTTTGTTTATTCTTCTATAGAGAAGAGGTCTCACAGTGTTGCCCAGGCTGGTCTCAAGTGATCCTCTTGCCTCAGCCTCCTAAAGTGCTGGGATTATAGGTGTGAGCCATCGCACCCAGGCTACATTTTTCTTTTAACAGGTATGTAATATTCTATTTTGTTTCTATTTATTTATTTTTCAGAAACAGGGTCCTTTGTCACCCAGGCTGGAGTGCAAGGTGTATCATAGCTCACTGCAGCCTCCAACTCTTGGGCCCAAGTGATCCTCCCACCTCAGCCTTCCAAGTAGCTAGGAATATAGAAATGCGTCACCGCACCTGGCTACTTAAAAAAATTTTTTTTTTTAGATGGAGTTTCGCTCTTGTTGCCCAGGCTGGAGTGCAATGACACGATCTCGGCTCACCGCAACTTCCAACTCCTGGGTTCAAGCGATTCTCCTGCCTCAGCCTCCCCAGTAGCTGGGATTACAGGCATGCGCCACCACACCCAGCTAATTTTGTATTTTTAGTAGAGAAGGGGTTTCTCCATGTTGGTCAGGCTGGTCTTGAACTCCCAACCTCAGGTGATCTGCCCACCTTGGCCTCCCAATGTGCCGGGATTACAGGCGTGAGCCACTGCACCCAGCCTTTTTTTTTGTTTTTTTGAGACAAGGTCTCATTATGTTGTCCAAGCTGGTCTTGAAATCCCAGCCTCAACTGATCCTCCTGCCTTGGCTTTTTGAAGTGTTCAGATTATAGGCATGATCCACCGTGCTCAGGCAATTTTTTTTTTTTTTTTTGTAGAGATGGGGTCTATGTGACCCAGGCTTATTTCATACTCTTTTTAACCAATCCCCCTAATGATGGATGGACCATTAGACTGTTTCCAATTTTTTGAATGCTATAATTAATATCTATATCTTTTTTGTCTTGCATTTCTACAAGGATTTCCATAGGACAGTTGCTAGAAACAGAAATGCCAAGTCAAAGCTGCTTCTTCACCGTTCTGTGATTCCTCCTGGACTCATCACTATGTCCTGCTCATTTTTGACTGCCCAGGACCCACAGCAATGCCTGCCACAGAAGAGAGATGCAGTAAAGGTCTTCGTTTACACTGAACTGTTTCCATTTTGCTTACTTCTTTCTGGGCTTTGGGCACATACAGATGTTACTGACATAGCTGGTATCCTCTTGTACATGCAGTTTTATATCTTGCTTTCTTCATTCAGGATTCTCTCTTAAATTCTGTCTGTGTCATATGTGTCATTCCCTAGCCTTTGTGAACCTCTTTTATAATGACTACATATTCTCCTACCAAATGAATGTGACGCATTTTAAGACCATTACTCTGCTAGTGGACATTAAAGCTATTCCCAAATTTATAGTTTTTTTCTATTTTTAAAAATTGTTATTTTTTTAAAATATATTTTTAGAGACAGGGTCTTGCTATGTTGCCCAGACTGGTCTTAAATTCCTAAGTTCAAGCGATCCTCCTACCTCAGCCTCCCGAGTTTATTGTATTTTAAAAATAAATAGTGTAGAAGTTGGCCGGACGTGGTGGCTCATGCCTGTAATCCCAGCACTTTGGGAGGCTGAGGCGGGTGGATCACCTGAGGTCTGGAGTTTTAGACCAGCTTGGCCAACATGGTAAAACCCCATCTCTACTAAAAACACAAAAATTAGCCATGCGTGGCGGTGGGCAACTGTAATCCCAGCTACTTGGGAGGCTGAGGCAGGAGAATCGCTTGAACTCAGGAGGCGGAGGTTACCTCGAGCTGAGATAGCACTATTGCACCCAAGGCTGGGCGACAAGAGTGAAACTTTGTCTCAAAAAAAAAAAAAATATAATCTCCTTAGATTAGAGTTCCAGGAGTGGGGTCACTGCCTCAAAGTGGATGGTTAATTTTATGCCTCTGAGCATATATGTGCAGACCCATTTGCTGTGTTGGAGGCAATTCATGTCAGGAGCAGCCCCAGACCAAAAGTCAGGAGGACCACTCACCGTGGAGCTGTGTGGCCTGGGGCCTCATTTCTTCATCCACATGTCAAGGTGGGCACACTTGGCTCTCTCTCAGATCCTGTCCAATTTGAAGTCTCTATCATTCTTTGGGCCTTACTCAATTTCCTTATTTAGCTGCTCCTATGACCACTGACTGAGATTTGCTAAGTGGCAGCCAGGGTCAAGATTAATTCTATGGTCTCTCAATAGGTCAGAACTAAGGACTCACAGGGATCAAAGCTGAGACCTTTGGCTTTCTGCTTGGCACTATGTTCTAATTCACTGAACTAAATAGCCTCGAGAAGAACAACCAACATTATTTACATGACATAAATAAGAATGGTAAGTTTATACTCCTATTCATATTTTGTTTTCCCTAAACAAACTCTAAGCAGTCTCTCATAGCAATTCTCAGAAATTCATGATTAAATAAAACTCATAAGAGAAAACAAAGTTTAAAAGTTGGCCAAACTTAGGCCAGGCATGGTGGCTCACGCCTGTAATCCCAGCACTCTGGGAGGCCGAGGCGGGCTGATCGCCTGAGGTCAGGAGTTTGAGACCAGCCTGACCAATATGATGAAACCCCGTCTCTACTAAAAATACAAAAATTAGCTGGGCGTGGTGGCGCATGCCTGTAATCCCAGCTACTCGGGAGGCTGAGACAGGAGAATCGCTTGAACCTGGGAGACAGAGGTTGCAGTGAGCCGAGATCGCACCATTGCACTCCAGCCTGGGCAACAAGAGTGAAACTCTGTCTCAAAAAAAAAAAGTTCGCCAAACTTACACTTATTGGTAATCTGAGCCAGCCGTGCCTTCTCAGAGGAGAACGTTTCATCTAAATCAAATAGCTCCAGAGGAGGAGGTGGTAACTCCCGGAAACTGGGAGGAAAAACCTAAAAGGAAATAAAGTCATTATTTAGAAATGAGGGAGGATAAGGTAAAGGAAATAAAGTCTCTCAAGAAAGAGCTTGTCCAAAATCATAACTAACAGTGATAAGACACAAGGAGAATAAGGAAGTTCACATCCTTAATTCCTCAGTTGGGAACCACACCACATGGAAACCCCTACAGAACAGTAACTCGGCTCTTCCCTGAGGATGAAATACCCAAACTCCCATCACCTCGTCTACCCTCACCCATTAGACCCATACCAAGAAAGATTATTAGCCCACTGTAAACAACCAAGTAGAACCAGCTCTAATTACCACTAAACTGACCAAGCTGACATACCAATGCTAATTAACTCAGAACGATGACACAAAGCTTGGGGCTTAGGTTTGTGTTGAACATTTGATTGTACAACTTGTTTCTCATTTAATCATAAGTTTTTAGGGATGGAAGTTATTTGGAGAACCAGATGCAGATTAGTGTAGAAAGTATTGAACCTGGAGTCACATTTTGTAGGTATGAACCAATGGTATGCGGGTAAATGTTTAACTACTTTCAAAACAAAACAAAACTGAAGGCCTGTTTTGTAGCATTTACCATTTTCTGTAATGTAAATCCTCTCACCATGGCCAATTTCAAGCTACCAAGCAAGATCAAGCTAACTGGCTCATAACATTTCAGAATGTGGTGAGACAAGGTAATTTTAAAGGCAAGTTGAATGTTGGACTGAAATGTTGAAAAATAACCTATTTACACACATGACCATAACTATCCCCTGGGCTGTGAGAATTATGTTATGAATCAGGCCCTGACACCTGGAATGGCAGTACAAAGTTTTCTTCCTTTTTATCCAAGAAATCTCATATATGCCCTCCAACCCCACAAGATGAGAATAGGAAATGTTTAATAGCCAGAAGGCTCCACATCCTTGATTCCTCAATTTGGAAGCATACCACATGGAAGTCTCTATAGAACATTAACAAATTTGGTGTCCATGCATGTTTAGAGACAGAGCACTATGACTCCACAAGGAGTGCCACAAATGGCACATGGAAGGGACCACAGCGAATGCCTGCTGACAAGATAAGGGCAACAGTGGGGCTCTGCAGTGGGATCTCCCAAGCACACCTACTCACCGCAGGCTGAAGGGTTGGCAGCGGCGTCTCAAACTGAGGCTGGATGAGCTGGAGTGGTTCATGTTTCACATTTAGCTGCTCGTGAGCCCTGTGTTCATAATCAAACAAAAAAGCAGGGATCAAGACACTATAGCTCAGCACGTCTAACTGACCACACTGTGTTGTTCTCCATGAAATACAGTGGTTCAGTACTATTTTTAGAAATACCACTGGACCCAGCAATCCCATTACTGGGTATACACCCAAAGGAATATAAATCATTCTATTATAAAGACACATGCATGCATATGTTCACTGCAGCACTATTCACAATAGCAAAGACATGGAATCAACCCAAATGCCCATCAATGATAGACTGGATAAAGAAAATGTGGTACATACCATGAATACTACGCAGCCATAAAAAAGAATGAGATTGGCTGGGCGCAGTGGCTCACCCCTATAATCTTAGCACTTTGGGAGGCCGAGGTGGGTGGATCACCTGAGGTCAAGAGTTCGAAACCAGCCTGGCCAACATAGTGAAACCTTGTCTCCACTAAAAATACAAAAATTAGCCGGGTGTGGTGGCTGGCGCCTATAATCCCAGCTACTCAGGAGGCTGAGGCTGAGGCAGGAAAATCGCTTGAACCAAAGAGGCGGAGGTTACAGTGAGCAGAGATCGTGCGATTGCACTCCAGCCTGGGCAAGAGAGCAAAAATTCTGTCTCAAAAAAAAAGAATGAGATCATGTCCTTTGCCAAGGACTTGGATGGCGCTAGAGGCCATTATCCTTAGCAAACTAATACAGGAAGAGAAAACCAAATACCACATGTCCTTTTTTTTTTTTTCTCTCTCTCTCTTTTTTTTGGAGACAGAGTCTTGCTCTGTCACCTAGTCTGGAGTGCAGTGGCGCGATCTCGGCTCACTGCAACCTCTGCCTGCCAGGTTCAAGTGATTCTCCTGCCTAAGCCTCCCAAGTAGCTGGGATTACAGGCACGCGCCACCACACCCAGCTAATTTTTGTATTTTTAGTAGAGATGGGTTTCACCATGTTGGTCAGGCTGGTCTTGAACTCCTGACCTCGTGATCCACCCGCCTCAGTCTCCCAAAGTGCTGAGATTACAGGCATGAGCCACCGCACCCAGCCTACTACATGTCCTTATAAGTGGGAGCTAAATGATGAGAGCACACAGACACATAGGGGAGAATACACACTGGGGCCTATAGAAGGTTGGAGGTTGGGAGGAGGGAGAGGATCGGGAAAAATAACTAATGGATACTAGGCTTAACACATGCGTGATGAAATAATCTGTACAACAAACCCCCATGACACAAGTTTACCTAGGTAACAAATCTGTACTTGTACCCCTGAACTTAAAAGTTAAAAAAAAAAAACACCTCATAAAATAATATCAATGTTACTTAATCAACTCTCTAAATAGAATATGCATTCTAACTTACATAGATTACATAGTTAAATCTTTTTTCATTTTAGATCAGAATATGTTAACGTATTTCAAGGGGATTTCAATGAAATATTTTAATGGAATTTAATTTCATGGAAGTTAGTCTAGTTTCTGTCTGTTTCAGATACTCATGTAGATATGCAGTGTTTCACTTTCTTTGGTGACTGGTTGAAATTCTGAATTTTTTTCTTTGATTTAGTGTAAAGGTTTGAGATTTCCCCTTCCAAAATAATAATACCTATATTAATTCCAACTTTGAAATTTGAATTTATTCTTCCCATATCACTCATATGCATCAATATGTTTAAAGTATTATGTGCTTTATCTTTTTTCTTCTTCTTCTATTTTTTTTTTTCATTTATGCACAAAAACCACAATCTAAACACTTACTTTGAGATAAATTTTGACTCTGTCACCCAGGCTGGAGTGCAGTGGTATGATCATAGCTCATTTTAATCCTGAACTCCTGGACTCTAGCTAGCAATCATCCTACCTCAGCCTCCTGAGTAGCCAGGACTACGAGCGAGTGTGCACCACCATGCCTTGCTAATTTTTAAAAAAAAATTTTAGTAGGGACAAGGGCTCACTATGTTGCCCAGGCTGGTCTCGAACCCCTGGCCTCAAGAGGTCCTCCTGTTTCAGCTTCCCAAAGTGATGGGATTACATGCATGAGCCACCGCACCCAACCTTTTCTTTTTAAATCAGTTTCTGGTATTGAGATTTGTCCAAAGATGGAAATTGATTTCCTGGGAATGAGGGTCTTCATCATTCTTTACAGCTACTTCAATCTTAAATTTTCTTTTGATTGGTATTAACTGCTCACCTAAGGCAGCCAAATTCTCTTTTATTTATTTATTTTTTTGAGACAGAGTCTCACTCTGTCGCCCAGGCTGGAGTGCAGTGGTGCAATCTCAGCTCACTGCAACCTCTGCCTCCCGGGTTCAAGCGATGCTCCTGCCTCAACCTCCCGAGTAGCTAGGACTACAAACGCGTGCCACCATGCCTAGCAAATTTTTGTATTTTTAGTAGAGATGGGGTTTCACCATGTTGGACAGGCTGGTCTCGAACTCCTGACCTCGTGATCCACCCGCCTCAGCCTTCCAAAGTGCTGGGATTACAGGTGTGAGCCACTGTGCCCAGCCCCAAATTCTGTCTTAATCATAGTGGATTACAAATAATAGTTAATACATGATTTGAAAGATAAATAATTTTGACCTTTTTTTTTTGAGACGGAGTTTCGCTCTTGTGGCCCAGGCTGGAGGACAATGGCATGATCTCGGCTCACCGCAACCTCCGCCTTCCGGGTTCAAGCAATTCTCCTGCCTCAGCCTCCCGAGTAGCTGGGATTACAGGCATGCGCCACCATGCCCGGCTAATTTTGTATTTTTAGTAGAGACGGGGGTTCTCTATGTTGGTCAGGCTGGTCTCGAACTCCCAACCTCAGGTGATCCACCCACCTCAGCCTCCCAAAGTGCTGGGATTGACAGGCGTGAGCCACCAAGCCCGGCCAATTTTGACTTTTAAAAAGTTAAAGCTATGAATACAATAAAGTCCAAATTAAAAAGAGACAAAATGTGTTGTTATAAATAATGTAATGATCCTTTCAGGAATCTTCTCTACCGTATCATACATTATTACTCATTGAGAACTGAAAAGAAACATTTCTTTCAAGTTTCATATCAGGTTTCTCCTAAATAAGCTTTTTGTTTTGCCTGATGGACACAGTGAATCTTGCAACTCCTGTGTTTTTTTTATTTCTTTTCACCATTAAGAGATAGGAGTCAAATCTGAAATCTGTTTCTGGCAAGTAAACAGATCTGTATGATATGCACTTCTGCGTGCTCACTCAACAAATAATTACTGAATATCCACTATGTACCAGGCAGTTCTACACATGAGGAGTACAGCAACAGTAAAAGAAGATGCCAAGGCAGGCCATCACGGAACTTACATTGTAGGGGGAGGGGAGGCACACACTAAACAAAAAAACTAGTAAGATGTCAGGAACTGGCCGAGTGCAGGGGCTCATGCCTGTAATCCCAGCACTTTGGGAGGCTGAGGTGGGTGGATCACCTGAGGTCAGGAGTTGGAGGCCAGCCTGGCCAACATGGTGAAACCCCGTCTCTATTAAAAATACAAAAATTAGCTGGGCGTGGTGGCGCGTGCCTGTAATCCCAGCTACTCAGGAGGATGAGGCAGGAGAATTGCTTGAACCCGGGAGGCGGAGGTTGCAGTGAACCGAGACTGCACCACTGCACTCTAGCCTGGGAGACAGAGCAAGACTCTGTCTCAGAAAAAGAAAAAAAAAAGATGTCAGGAACTGATAAATATTAAGAAGACAAATAGGCTGGGCGCAGTGGCTCACGCCTGTAATCCCAGCACTTTGGGATGCCGAGGCAGGCGGATCACCTGGGGTTGGGAGTTCAAGACCAGTCTGACTAACATGGAGAAACCCCGTCTCTACTAAAAATACAAAATTAGCCAGGTATGGTGGTGCATGCCTGTAATCCCAGCTACTCGGGAGGCTGAGGCAGGAGAATTGCTTGAACCCAGGAGGCGGAGGTTGTGGTGAGCGGAGATCGTGCCGTTGCACTCCAGCCTGGGCAACAAGAGCGAAACTCTGTCTTAAAAAAAAAAAAAAAAAAGACAAATCAGAGGAGAAAGAGACAGGGAAGGGGCAGAGGCAGGGAGTGTGGCTTGTCAGAAGAGCCCTGAGTGAGGGAGGCGGGAAGTCACGCAGTTATCTTCAAAAGTGTCCCTGGCAGAGGCAAGAGCAAGAACAGGCAGAAGGGTGCCCGGCATTTTCACAGAATAGCAGGCCAGCCAGAGTGACTCCAGCAGAGGATCAGTGTTAGGAGCGAGCCTACAGAGCTGAGCTCATCTTACCCCTGCATTATTTTTCTATTGTGGCTTCTCCTTTGCCTTCATTCTCTCAAACATTCATGTTATCCTTTTGCATTGTATGCAATTTTTTAAGCTGGCTAAACTTTTCTGGGGAAGAGGCAAAGTAAAATATTGTCATCCAGTTTAAATTGTACATATATTTGTAGCCCTTCAAAGTTAAGCTAGAAAACCAAATGCCAATGAGTGGACAAAGATCATGGCAGCTTTTTTCTATGAGTGAGGTCTGTGACTGCAGAAAGACGATTAAATGAGCTCACTGCTGTCACCTCCTCCACTATTTCCAGGTGCTTGGGGAGAATCTTTCCTAGCACTGAGCAGCAGATCTCCACAGAGGGAAGAGAAATAACTTTTATCAAGCACCTGCTATATGCCATGTATTATGCCAACCCTGTGTTAGGCACTTAAACTTATTTAATCCTCAATACAACTGTGGAAAGTCGGATAATCTCTTATAGAAGAAACTGAGGTACAGGAATGATAAACAGTAGCTTCCCCAAATCATATGGTTAAGATGGGACAAAGGCAAGATCAGAACTCAGACGTAGCCAATCTCTGCCAACCAGAATCTTTACTTTGGTCTGCCCCAAAATCAAAAGTGATTAGGGGCAGTTTTAAACTAAAATTCTTACTACCTGCTCACAAAGAATCCTGCTGCTGAGTCCTAGCCTCAGCTATCCCAGCTGTGAATTTATTTCCGCTTTCTGTCCCCAGAGAGAGCTGACTGTGCTGGAGCAAAGGCTTTGTCCCATTAAGTCTTCCCTTCCTCCACTCTGCTCACCACCTGCCCTAATTATCCTCCTACCATTAGCCAACATGGCTTGATGGGAACCGGGTAAGGGACTGGAGAAACTCATCTTAAAACCAAGGGAAGAACAGATGCAAAAGCTAAATATAAATCTGTGAAATGGCGCTGAACTAGATCTTTCGGGAATGGCCTGACCTCTGGCACTGCGTTTTCACCACTCCATGTTTCAAGCCCCAGCCCATCAGACCATGAACTCTAAGGGCAGGGACTCCACACCATCTGCCTCTACCTCATACTCCACAGGCATTGATAAACACCCAATGGACAAATGAAATTACTTCAGAGCAACACCCTGTAGTTGACATAAATATTTAAAGCCTAACTGAATTTTAACTCAGAAAAGATAAACTATTGAAAGATGTTACTAGCAAATGAAAATATCTGAGCTTACCATATAGACACCAGAAGCCAGTAACTACTGGCCTCTGCTGTGGTATGTAAGACAAATACAAGAGTTGTCTAAGTCTCTGAAACATCCACTATTTGACTCTGCTGACACTAAGACAGTAGGCAGTTCCAATTAATCCTTCATTTAACACTGAAGAATTATCATAATGATCTGGTTTAAACATATCAGGGGAGAATTAGGCCAAAACAGCAGAAGCTGGTCAGACTGCAACTGGCTAGCGGAGTGGTCAGATGTATCTTTTTTTATTCTAAGAAAAGCCCTGAGCTGCAGAGGAGGAAGAGAACACCAGAGCTCAAAACCAAGCAAGTTAAGAGCCAAACATGCAGCCAGGAGCTACAGGATTTGTGACCAGGCTGTTACCTGTGGAAGGGGTGATGCAGATGTCACGCCCTGGTAGCTCTGAAGGCTTTGGTCCTGCTGTTTCTTAAAAGCACCCTCACCTCCTACAGTAACACATTTTCAGATAATTTCTTCCAAGATTCAGAGTTAAAATTGCCTGGCTTCAAATTCAGGTCCCAATGAAAACTAGTTGTGTGATTTCAAGCAAATCACTTAATTTCTCTGTGCCTCAGCGTCCTCAGATGTAAAATGGAGATAACAGCCTCACTGTGGTTGTTACATGATAATGCAAAGTACATAAATGTTAGTTGTTATTAATATTGAAGGAAGGGGAGATGAGAGGGGAGCTAAAGACAATTGTTAGTCAGGGCTTGATTAGTAGCTGTTTAACTTAGAGCAAATTGTCCCAAGCCTCAGCTTCTTAGAAGTTAACTATGGAGCTATTCTCTACTTTTCAGAATTGTTGTAAACAGTAAATGTGGTAGTATTTGCAGGCTCTTGGCAGAAAGTGGGGGTTCAATGTCTGTAAAACTTAAGTTGGGGCCGGGCTCGGTGGCTGACGCCTGTAATCCCAGCACTTTGGGAGGCCGAGGCGGGCAGATAACGAGGTCAGGAGATCGAGACCATCCTGGCTAACACAGTGAAACCCTGTCTCTACTAAAAATACAAAACATTAGCTGGATGTGGTGGCAGGCGCCTGTTGTCCCAGCTACTGGGGAGGCTGAGGCCGACGAATGGCGTGAACCCGGGAGGCGGAGCTTGCAGTGAGTCGAGATGGCGCCACTGCACTCCAGCCTGGGTGACAGAGCAAGACTCCATCTCAAAAAAATAAAAAACAAAACAAAAAAACAAAAACGTACAACAGAGCTTTTGGATATGATGTATAAGGTTTTACAAAATAAGCTAATTAAAACCACAATTATAGCAGTTACTGTTTATACTAAAACATGCAACTAAGTAATTCCTGGGCATTTACAAAAGATATTGCCCCTTCCTCTTTATACTACTTGCTTGACAAAATCACAATAGTTAAATCCATGTCTGGGCCCACTCTGCCGGCAGCTACACAGCTAAACAAGTTTGGAGGAAAACATACCACTCTACTGGTTTGTAGTTAGATCCAAAACCTCTAACCTCCCGTGGGACTGGCAAATCCTTCTACAGAAACCTTGTCTACTCCCTCTCCCACTCCCCTAGAGGCCTAATATATGCCTTCTCTCCTAAATCTCCACTATCTCTTTGGCAATTTTTTTTTTTTGAGATGGAGTCTCGCTCTGCCTGTCGCCCAGGCTGGAATGCAGTGGCGCGATCTCGGCTCACTGCAACCTCTGCTTCCCAGGTTCAAGAGATTCTTCTGCCTCAGCCTCCCGAGTAGCTGGGACTACAGGCGCGCACCACCAAGCTCGGCTGATTTTTGTGTTTTTAGTAGAGACAGGGTTTCACCATACTGGCCAGGCTGGTCTCAAACTCCTGACCTCGTGATCCGCTCGCTTCGGCCTCCCAAAGTGCTGGGATTACAGGCGTGAGCCATCATGTCCGGCTTCTTTGGTAATTTTTAACTGATGATCTTGTTTCCTATTTCATCAAAAGGACTGAAGCCCTGAGAACTTCCACAATCTTCAATCAACAACTTTTCTCATCCACCAGAGTCTGCACCCATGTTTCCCATCTGTGCTTGAGTAGGCGATTTTCCCTTTACAGCGTAAACAAAGCTGCTGGGAAGTCTGAACTGGGTGGAGCCAACTGCAGCGCCACAAAACCACTGTAGCCAGACTGCCTCTCTAGATTCCTCCCCTCTGAGCAGGGCATCTCTGAAAGAAAGGCAGCAGCCCCAGTCAGGGTACCAACTGAATGATCCATGATTCTGTCTAAAAGCTAAGACTGGGCTGGGCGTGGTGGCTCATGCCTGTAATCTCAACACTTTGGGAGGCTGAGGCGGGTGGATCACTTGAAGTCAGGAGTTTGAGACCAGCCTGACCAATATGGTGAAACCCCGTCTCTACTAAAAATACAACAATTAGCCAGGTGTGGTGGTGCACGCCTGTAGTCCCAGCTACTATGGAGGCTGAGAGGTAGGAGGATCACTTGAACCTGAGAGGCGGAGGCTGCAGTGAGCCGAGATCGTGCCTCTGCACTCCAGCCTGGGTAAAGAGTGAGACTGTATCTCAAAAAAAAAAAAAAAAAAAAAAACTCTCTCTCTCTCTCTCTATATATATATGACATAATAAAAATAAAAGCGAAGGCCAGGCTGGGAATGGTGGCTCACATCTATAATCCAACACTTTGGGAGGCCAACGTGGGAGGACTGCTTGAGCCCAGGAGTTCCAGACCAGCCTGGGCAAGAGTGAAACCTGTCTTCAAAAAAAAAGAAAAAGAGCTAAGACAACTTACCAAACCCCCTTTCCCATTGTCTCTTGCTTACTCTTGTGTTTCACGCCAGCCATTTTCCTCGCTCTCTCCTACATTATCCATTTTTCTCTCTACTGGAACATTCCCACCAGTATAAAAATATCCTGTGACTTCTTCCATCCAAAAAACACCTTCTTGACCTTACTTCCTCCAGCTAGTTACTGACCCTGGCCCTTGCCCCTGCTCTGTTCCTCTCTGTAGCAAATACCATAAAAGAGCTATCTATGTTTGCTATGTCCAATTCTCTCTTAAACCAATTTCAAATGAGCTTTCACCCTCACCATGTCATAAAGAAGACCCTGTCTAGATCACCAGTTACCTCCATGTTGCTAAATCCAATGATAAATTCTCAACCCTCATTTTTTATGACCCATCAGAAGTATCTGACACTGCTGATTACCCTTTCCATCTTGACAGACTTTCTTTGCTTGGCTCTCAGAATACCATGCACTTGATTTTCTTCATCTCACACTCGCTGGCGCTTTTCCATCTCTTCTTTTGGCTTTTCTATTTCTTCCTTTCTTTTTTTTTTTTTCTGAGATGGAGTCTTGCTCTGTTGCCCAGGCTGGAGTCCAGTGGTGTGTTCTTGGCTCACTGCAACTTCTGCCACCCGGGTTCAAGTGACTCTCCTGCCTTACCCTCCCGAGTAGCTGGGACTACAGGCGTGTGCCACCATGCCTAGCTACTTTTTTTCTATTTTTAGTAGAGATGGGGTTTCACCATGTTGGCCAGGCTGGTCTCAAACTCCTGGCCTCAAGTGATCCACCCACCTCGGCCTCCCAAAGTGCTGGGATTACAGGCGTTGAGTCACCGTGCCCAGCTGGATTTTCTGTTTCTTCCTAAATTCTAAACTCTGGGGTGCCCCAGGGCTCAATAGATGGTCCTTTTTTCTTCTCTATCAACACTTTTAACACTTTGTGAGCTCATCCAGTCACATGGCTTTACATACTATCTACCATATTTCATCAAATCTAAGAATCCACCAAAGGTAAGATGCATCATAATTTATGGTCCATTGAAAGAAAAAAAATGCTAATTAAACTCATACATCATCTATTGTTAAGATTCATCCTGAAAAACAGAAAAAAAGGAAAAGAAAGAAAAAAAGGCAAAAAATAAGAAAAAAGATTCATCCTGATTTTATAGATTTGAAAATAGGTCCAGGTGCTGTGGCTCATGCCTTTAATCCCAGCACTTTGGGAGGCCGAGGTAGGTGGATCACCTGAGGTTAGGAGTTCGAGACCAGCCTGGCCAACATGGTGAAACCCCGACTCTACTAAAAATACAAAAATAGCTGGGCATGGTGGTGCTACTCAGGAGGCTCAGGCAGGAGAATTGCTTGAGCCTGGGAGGCAGAGGTCGCAGTGAGCAGAGATTGCGCCACTGCACTCCAGCTTGGGCAAAAACAGTGAAATTCTGTCTCCAAAAAAAAAAAAAAAGGAAAAGATGTATGCTTTAGATGAAGTACAGATGTGCCCCCAAACTCCCAAATTAAATGTGCAGCTCAGAGATCTCTTCTGACCACCAGGTTAAAATATAAAACTGCTACTAAACATCATCTGGATACCTAATTGACATCTCAACTCCATATACCTCAAACTGAACTTCTGCTCTTCCTGCAAAATCTACTCGCAGTCTTTCTCAACTCAGTTATTGCAACTTTTTTTTTTTTTTTTTTTTTCCGGAGACAAGATCTCTCTCTGTTGACCAGGCTGGAGCGGGTCACTGCAGCCTTAACCTTTGGGGCCCAAGCAATCCTCCCACCTCAGCCTCCCAAGTAACTCATGCCTGAGTTACTGTGACCGCTCCCTTCAGGCCCTACCTCCATTCTTGCTCCTTGACGTTCGGGATATAAGGAAGTCATTATGCCATACCTCTGCTCAGAACTCTCAGTGGCTCCTCTTTTCACCCAGAGTGAAAGCCAAGGAAGTCCTTACAGAGGCAAAAAAGTAGGCCAGGCCTGATCTCCCACCATTCTCACCCCTACTCACTCTGCAGTGGCCACGATGGCCTTGTTGCTCTTCCTTGAATGTATCAGGCATTCCTCCGTCTTGCAGTCTTAGGACTGGCTGTTTCCTCTGCCCAGAATACTCTTCCCTCAGATAGCCACAAGGCTAAATTCTTTACCTCCTTCAGGTTTTTCCTCAAATATCTAACCTTTTCAATGAAGCCATCCTGATCACCCTATTTTTTTTTTTGAGATGGAGTCTTCCCGTCACCCAGGCTGGAGTGCAATGGTATGATCTTGACTCACCGCCATCTCTGCCTTCTGGGTTCAAACGATTCTCCTGCCTCAGCCTTTGAGTAGCTGGGATTACAGGTGCCCACCATCGTGCCCAGCTAATTTTTGTATTTTTAGTAGAGACGGGGTTTCGCCATGTTGGCCAGGCTGGTCTCGAACGCCTGACCTCGCGATCTTCCCATCTTGGCCTCCCAAAGTGCTAGGATTACAGGTGTGAGCCACCACGCCTGGCCTGAACACCCTATTTAAAATGCAATGTGCCTGGCACTCCCCTACCCCAGTACTCTGCTTGACGTATGTAATCATCTTCTAACATATTCTTTAATTTACATCACACATATAGAAATGTCTTGATGCCTGTCTGTTTTGCTAGATAATAAACTTCAAAAGGGCAAAGATTTTCATTATTGAGGTCCCTGAAGCATCCCAAGATCCTGGAAAAGTAGTTGTGCCACAAATACTTGCTGAGTGGATGTATAAGCAAGGCACAAGGAGAATGGCAGCATGCTAATTTCACAAACATCCCCCAAATGCCCAGGATGTGCTGGGCTCTGGGTCTTAGGCAATGAGGATTCCAGGTTGATAAGACATGGCTCTTGCTCTCCGGATACACGGGGGTGAGAAAGGAAGACAAGCTAAACAATTTTCTCCCTGAGCAAAATTCAGGTTAGAAACAGTGAAGATGAGCCCTGGCCCTTTCTGAACCCCTCTGCTTCTGTGTCATTTCCTCCTCCTTTGCCTTCAGGATGCTGCCCGCTGTCCTGTACTTTTAACTGCTTTTCCCCAGCTTCTGTCTTTGGCCCTCTTCTTCTCCTGCCTCTCAAGCACTGACAGCTGTGAGGTCCTGTCTCAAGGCCAATTCCCATTCTTGTGCTGTCCCTGATGTCCTCATCCCATCCCACGGCTTCCCTAACGGCTTTACAGATCTTTTCATCTTTAAACTTGTAGTTCCACCTGCACATCCGCACTAGACTGAGAGTGCCCAGAACACAGCCCATTTATCATTCCTTTTCCTGCATTCTAAGTGCCAGTTAATAGCATTACCAGTTGCCCAGATACCCAGAGAGAAATGAGGTGACCACCATCTCCATTTACTGAGGGACTTGGGACTCCATTTTCCTGGGACTTGGGACTCTCTGTGCTAAAACCAGAAGTCTGGGGCAAAATGAAACAAGCTGGTCAGGCTAAATGCCTGGTCCAGAATCTGGAACACGCAGGGGCTAATAACCTCTGGCAGTTCCTCTACATCAACCCCTCATGCCCAGCCCAGTTTCTTTGTTGACCTCATCATAGATCTGAGAACATGTTCTGCATGCCACATTTACTGTGACCCTAATTCCCGTTCCCAGGTTCATGTTTCCAAACCAAACACTCAGAATGGAGTGCAGTGTGGCTCAGAGGC
This sequence comes from Homo sapiens, assembly GCF_000001405.40. Taxonomy (NCBI): domain Eukaryota; kingdom Metazoa; phylum Chordata; class Mammalia; order Primates; family Hominidae; genus Homo; species Homo sapiens. The sequence continues at coordinate 43,624,059 of NC_000020.11, read as the reverse complement.
CCACAGGTACTGACTCGATGACGCTGTGGAAGGAGGTGGTATCCAGCTGGAAGATGGACAGGTCGAAGAGGGTGGTAAAGTCCCTTGGGATCTCATCACTCTCCTGGAGACACTCTCGATTCCGCTTTGATAGGGTGGCTGTGTAGGGCAGCATCATGTAGTCAGAAATCTGAAAGCCACAAGAGGGTTCCTTTTAGCACAGCAAGAGCAAGCATTTATTCTGTCAAGTCTCCACTGTCTCAGGTCTAAATCTGCAACATTTATATTCTCTTGCCAAGAAATTTTACTGTTCATGATCACTGACACTAAACCTTAAATAAGCCAATTTATGTGCAAAGAGGAACAAAACTCACTTGGCTAAACCCCAGTACTGGCTAAATCCAAATCTCCAATTACACCAGTACTCACATGGCTGAAAACAGCTGGAGAAACATACAACCCTATCAACTGGTCTTTTAATTTCATGATCTCTGATCTTGAGCGCTCAGCAATCAACTACATCTCCGTAGTCTACTCACTTTCCCATTCTTCTAGACAATAATTCCCTTTTGTCAGTTCAGCCATCAAAATGATTTTCCCAGCTGGGTGCAGTGGCTCACACCTACAACACTTTGGGAGGCTGAGGTGAGTGGATCGCTTGAGCCCAGGAGTTGGAGATCAGCCTGGGCAATATGGCAAAACCCTGTCACTACAGAAATACAAAAAAATTTAGCTGAGCATGGTGGTGTGTGCCTGTAGTCTCAGCTATTTAGGAGGCTGAGGTGGGAGGATCACCTGAGTCCAGGAGGTCAACACTGCAGTGAGCCGTGATCAAACCACTGCACACCAGCCTGGGTGACACAGTAAGACTTTGTCTCAAAACAAAAAAATTGGTTTTCCCTTTCACCATTTTAGCAATGACCTTATTTTCTATTTTAGTAAGAAAATAGAGGAAATCATGAAAGAAAGTCCACAAGCTCCCACCATAACATGTGCCCACCCCCTAGCATCCAGGCCCTATCTGCTTCTTTCCTCCTGATACATGCCAGAGCACCTGTGACACCAGTACAGACAGTTCCTCCACTGCTACACTAGATCCCAGTCCTTCTCCCCTAGCCAAGGACATCCCTCCAGCATTGCTGAGAGCCCTCAGTCATGACACATGCTGTGGACTAGTAAAAGACCAGGAAAACATAAATGCCTGCCAACAGGAGAGTGGTTAAATATATGTATATATTTATATTTACACATAAAAATATGTATATATTTATATTTACATATAAAAATATGTATATATTTATATTTACACACAATTTGTATATATTTATATTTACATAAAAATATGTATATATTTATATTTACATAAAAATATGTATATATTTATATTTACATAAAATATGTATATATTTATATTTACATATAAAATATATATAAATATAAATATAGAATATATATATGTATAAAAAATTTATTTTTTTTGAGACGAGTCTCGCTCTGTCGCCCAGGCTGGAGTGCAGTGGCATGCTCTTGGCTCACTGCAAGCTCTGCCTCCTGCGTTCATGCCATTCTCCCGCCTCAGCCTCCCGAGTAGCTGGGACTACAGGTGCCTGCCACCATGCCCGGCTAATTTTTTTTTTTGTATTTTTAGTAGAAATGGGGTTTCACTGTGTGAGCCAGGATGGTCTCCATCTCCTGACCTCGTGATCCGCCCGCCTCGGCCTCCCAAAGTGCTGGGATTACAGGCGTGAGCCACCGCGCCCGGCCGAGAGTGGTTAAATATATTACACTTAAATAATGAAGCAAAATATCCACATGCTTAATGTTTCCACATAAGGAAATATTTTAGACATGCAGCTCTCCTGTTTCCTAACCCAAATCAGTCTCTGAGAAGCCATGTCCCTAGTGAGGGAGGAAGCAGTCAGTGGACAGCCATCTTCGACTGTCTTCTCACCTACCTCCTATGACCAATGGCCAGGAAATCATTTTCCTGACATTTCAGAGTTTAAGAAATAGAGAAACAATTGTAGAGTAAGTGCAGTTTGAATTAGGAGACCTGGATTTGGATCCTGGCTCTGCACTTGCCTGCCATTTGAACACACTGCAATCTTGAAGGATTTCAGTTTCCTCATCTATAAAATGAGAATAAGACCATGTGCCTCCCAGGGCAGTTATGAGGATTAAATAAGATGACTTATGTGGAAGTATATGGCATACAATGCCTGACACATTACCATCTATTAACTTAGCCCACACAACCATCCTGTGAGGCAGAGAACACGGGTATTAGTGTTCCCTGTTCACAGATAAGAAAACTAGAAGGCTGGGCCCAGTGGCTCACGCCTGTAATCCCAGAACTTTGGGAAGCTGAGACAGGTGGATCACTTGAGGTCAGGAGTTTGAGACCAGCCTAGCCAAAATGGTGAAACCCTGCCTCTACTAAAAATACAAAAATTAGCCAGGCATGGTGGTTCACATCTGTAATCCCAGCTACTCAGGAGGCTGAGGCAGAAGGATCGCTTGGACCCAGGAGACAGAGGTTGCAGTGAGCTGAGATTGTGCCACTACACTACAGCCTTGGGCGACAGAGCGAGACTCCATCTCAAAAAATAAATACAATAAAAAATTTTTTTAATAAAGAAAACTAGGATGAAAAATGGTCAGAAAGAACCTGTATAAGGTCCAAGAGCCGGTGGTGATTTCACTGTGCTGGTTTCACCACTTTCCCTTGTCTGATGAATATTATTATAATGCCTTTAGAACTGTTAAATCTAAAGGCAACAAAATTATAGTTTACAACATAAATTCTGATACTCTTTGTTTCTTTATGAGAAAATTTCAGATTTCTGAAAAAAGTATTTTTCTGCAGATGCTCATTTTGAAAGTCTGGGCCAGAGTGCCCATAATTTAAATTCTAATTTATATACATACTGTATGTATGTATGCTCCCCCTCCAATTAATTCTATGATTAATTACATATATTGTTTATTGACTTATTTTTTACAATATGGCCTTCATCTCCCCCAAATCATTCCTTCGTTCCATCTGTCTTACAGATGAGTTAAGACAGTCATGTATTCCTTTTGAGCTGTGAGAAGTGGTACTGAGAAGCTGGACTCATTTTTCATTTAAAAGTTTCTAATAATTCGGTGTCTACCTCTGGGTCCTCAGCATCAATCTGGTTTAGGTGGATGTCTCCTGTCGTGAGCCACTGGAAAACAACATCCTAAATTAAAAAAAAAAGTATATAATTAGGACAGTTGGTTATTTGAAAAAGCTGAAGGTCAGGACTAGAGAATTAAATCAAGAAGAATGATAAAGGAAGAAAGATTAAACCAGTGATTCAGAAAAGGGTAGCCAGCCTTGTCTTGATGCAATCATATGAGAACTCAAAGGTTTTCTTCACCCTAATGCACCTTTTATTTTTGAGACAGAGTCTCGCTCCGTCGCCCTGGTTAGAGTGCGGTGGCGCAATCTTGGCTCACTGCAACCTCCACCTCCTGGGTTCAAGCGATTCTCCTGTCTCAGCCTCCTGAGGAGCTGGGATTACAGGTGCCTGCCACCAGGCCTGGTTGATTTTTGTATTTTTAGTAGATGGGGTTTCACCATGTTGGTCAGGCTGGCCTCGAATTCTTGATCGCAGGTGATCCACCTGTCTCGGCCTCCCAAAGTAGTAGGATTACAGGCATGAGCTGCCATGACCAGCATAATGCAACTTTTATTATCAGAAATTTATAATGTATCTTTAAGCACCCTAACCTCTAACCACAAGCTAAAATTTATTAACCTTTGTTCACAATCCTGAATTAATCCCTATTTACTGTGATGACAGTCTGAAATTAAAACTTTTGAAAAGAAGAATACCTAGGCCGGGAGTGGTGGCTCAAGCTGTAATCCCAGCACTTTGGGAGGCTGAGGCAGGTGGATCACCTGAAGTCAGGAGTTCGAGACCAGCCTGGCCAACATAGTGAAACCTCATCTCTACTAAAAATACAAAAATTAGCCTGGTGTGGTGGCGCACACCTATAATCCCAGCTACTCAGGAGGCTGAGGCAGGAGAATCGCTTGAACCCGTGAGGCGATGGTTGCAGTGAGCTGAGGTGGTGCCATTGCACTCCAGCCTGGGTGACAGACAGAGACTCCATGTCAAAAAAAAAAAAAAAAAAAAAAAAGTAGAATATCTAGATCTCCCATAATGTGTCTAGAGACATTGAAACTTCATGTAAATTCCACAGAAATAAGATCTTTATCAATCTCCCAATATAACAATTATAAGGCGTTTCTTTCTCTCACTGGAATCACCAATGGACAGCTCTGGCACATGCTGTACAGACATGTGCTTCCCTACTCTGCCATCTTCCGTAAGACATGTTCCCTTGGCATTTTTTTGACAAAATTGCAATGCCTTTACTTTATTTGCCACATCAGTCAGTGAGTAGTCCTCTACAGAGCCTTTCCTAATTCCCATTCCTACCAGCCCCTCCTCTCCACTCACACCTTGACTCCCGTAATTCAGGTCCCCATTTCTCCTTGCCTGGTGACACCACCACCTTCCTAATTGGCTCTAGGCTGCCTCCTCCTTTCCACTTTCCACACAACTGACAGAAGAATCTTTCCAAAACATTCTAGAAGTTCTTTCATAAACAACAACAACAAAAAAAGAAGAAACACAGATCTGGCTATGCTCAAGGCTGCTGAAAACCCAAGGGCTCCCTGTGGCTTTCAGCATCAAGTTCAAGCTCCTTGGCCTTACACGTGATACTGCTATTGAGCCTGTTCCTCTCCGCTTCTCCAGGCTCAGCTCCCACCCCACCTGACATGCTCAGAAACACCCTTCTGGGTTTACTAATTTGTCTCTCTCTCTCTCAGTGTATTACAAACTTTTCCAAAGCAGGGACTGGGACTATGCCTGACTCGACTTTGTATTCTCAGTGCCTGGCATATAATGGGTTCTGAGTAGCTGCTTTTAAATGAGCAAATAAACTTACCAGTATTTTTTTAAATGACATGAAAATAATACACATTGTATATTAATATGACAAAAGAAAAAGCTTACCATGATTTTGCTGTTTTCTTCTTTGTCCAAATATTGATCACTGAACATGTGACATGAACCAAGCACTGCCAGCTTCCCACCTTGGTTCTATTGATGACAAAGCAGGGTCAGATACTCAAATCCGAAAGTGCATCTCATGTATCCTAGTACCCAGACACTTATTAGAATCATGCTAGCAACTGTCTTATATACTGAAGAGTGCCAATTCACACCCAGATTTTAAAGTTTAGAAATACCAACTATAGGCCAGGCGCAGTGGATCAGCCTGTAATCCCAGCACTTTGGGAGGCCGAGGCAGGCGGATCACCTGAGGTTGAGAGTTCAAAACCAGCCTGGCCAACATGGTGAAACCCCGTCTCTACTAAAAATAAAAAAAAATCAGCCAGGTGTGGTGGCATGCGCCTGTAGTCCCAGCTACTCGGGAGGCTGAGGCAGGGAAATCGCTTGAACTTAGGAGGCGGAGGTTGCAGTGAGCTGAGATCGCGCCACTGTACTCCAGCCTGGGCAACAGAGCGAGACTCCATCTCAAAAAACAAAAAAAAGAAAGACCAACTATAATAACTACTACACTTTAACCTGCCTCTCATTTTAGATACTTCTATATTTTTTTATTTGGCTTTAACGAAAACTAACATAAATTAATTCTACATTAGCTGGGTGTGGTGAGGCATACCTGTAGTCCTAGCTACTTGGGAAGCTGGGGCAGGAGAATCACTTGAGCCCAGGAGCTCGAGGTTACAATGAGCTATGACTGCACCATGCACTCCAGCCTGGGAAACCCTGTCTCTAAAAATTAAAAAAAAAAAAAAAAATTAAATTGATTCTACAGCATTTTCCTATTGTTGTTTATCTTATAAACGAAGATCATAATTTTAAAGGGAAAAAAGATAAACTCAAAGACAGTCTGTACAATTAAAGATACCTATGGGTACCAAAAAAAAAAGTATTTAAGTAAGATCCAAATAGAAAGCTAAAGCAGGCTGAGTGCAGTGGCTCACGCCTGTAATCCCAGCACTTTGGGAGGCCAAGGTGGGCAGATCACCCTGAGATCAGTAGTTCAAGACCAGCCTAGCTAACATGGGAGGCAAAACCCTGTCTCTACTAGAAATACAAAAATTAGCTAGGGTTGGTGGCACGCACCTGTACTCCCACAGCTACCTGGGAGGCTGTGGCGGGAGGATTGCTTGAACCTGGGAGGCGAGGTTGCAGCGAGCTGAGATCGCGCCACTGCACTCCAGCCTGGGCAACAGAGTAAGACTCAGTCTCAAAGAAAGCTAAGGCAAGGCTGGGCGCAGTGGCTCATGCCTGTAATCCCAGCATTTTAAGAGGCCGAGGCGGGTGGATCACTTGAGGCCAGGAGTTCGAGACCAGGCTGGCCAAGATGGCCAAACTCCGTCTCTATTAAAAATACAAAAATTAGTCAGGCATGGTGGTGCATGCCTGTAATCCCAACTACTCAGGAAGCTGAGGCATGAGAATCACTTGAATCTGGGAAGCGGAGGTTGCAGTGAAGCAAGATCGCACCACTGCACCCCAGCCTGGGCGACAGAGTGAGACTCCGTCTCAAAAAAAAAAAACCAGAAAACTAAGGCACAAGCATGAGAGAGTCATAAAATAATGACTGGTTAATAAGAAAAATTTTCAATACTTGTAACTTTTAACAAATAAAAACAAAGTACTTTTTCCTATCAGATAAATAAATATGAAAATATGATATAAACAGCGCTAGTCGAATTTTAGTGAAATAAGTTCTTTCACACATTGTTGCTGAAACTATTAACATATGCAACAAAAGCAGTCTGAAACATAAAAAATTCTATGCCCAGTTGTGTAGTTATAGTCACAAAAAATTAGAAATAAATCCAAATGTTCACAAAAAAGTAATTCAGAATGATGCAACCTTCTTCAGCAGTTAAATTTCATATTATAAAGGGTTTTCAGTAACATGGGAAAATGCTTCCAACACATCATTCGGTTAAAAAAAAAGTATACTATAATTTTTTTCCCATTTTTAGAGATAGGGTCTCACTCTGTCTCCCAGGCTGGAGTGCAGTGGCACAATCATGGCTCACTGCAGCCTCGAACTCCTGGGTTCAAGTGATCCTCCTGCCTCAGCCTCCCAAGTAGCCAGGACTACAGGAGCATAACACCACACTCAGCTAACTTTTTCGTAGAGACAGGTCTTACTATGTTGCCAAGGCTGGTATCAAACTCCTGGCCTCAAGTGATCCTACCTCCTTAACCTCCCAAAGTGCTAAGATTATAGGCATGAGTCACCATGCCTGACCTATACTATAAATTATATTGCTATTCTACTTTAAAGCTTACGAGGCAAATAAATAAAAATAAGGCAAAGCAAAAGTAGGAGAAAGTGAATAATATGTCAACCTGGGCTGTCTTAGAGTCTTGGAGTAGTGCGATGGGGGAATTTTTTTTCTTTTGCTTTATCTCTGTATTGTTCATTTTTTCTACAATTATTGTAACATTTCTACAATATTACTTTTTTTTTTTTTTTTTGGAGACAGTGTCTTGCTCCACTGCCCAGGCTGGAGTGCAGTGGCATGATCTTGGCTCACTGCAACCTCCGCTTCCAGGGTTCAAGTGATTCTCTTGCCTCAGTCTCTGGAGTAGCTGGGATTACAGGCACTCACCATCATGCTGGGCTAATATTTTTGTATTCTTAGTAGAGACAAGGTTTCACTATGTTGGCCAGGCTAGTCTCGAACTCCTGACCTCAAGTGATTTGCCCGCCTTGACCTCCCAAAGTGCTGGGATTACAGTTGTGAGCCACCACGCTCAGCCCAACAATGAGCACATTATTACTTTTGTAATGAGAAAACCAGTTCAATAGTAAAAATACAAAATGAAATCGGTTTTTTTAGCTACATCACATACAGGGAACAGGCATAGTTATAACTTCCCCAGGAAAAGAATTATACTAAGCCAGAGATGTCAAGAGACATAAATACACACATTACATACATTTTTAAAAAATTGGTAAAAAAAACCCTCTGATTTGTACCAGGTTAAAAGCAAATGCTGCAAAGCCTGCCACCGTGCCTGGCTAATTTTTCAATATTTTTTTTTTCTTTGAGACGGAGTCTCACTCTGCCTCCAGGCTGGAGTGCAGTGGCACAATCTCGGCTCACTGCAACCTCCTGGGTTCAAGCGATTCTCGTGCCTCAGCTTCCTGAGTAGCTGGGATTACAGGCGCGTGCCACCACACCACGCCCAGCTAATTTTTGTAATTTTAGTAGAGAGGGGGTTTCACCATGTTGGCCAGGATGGTCTCAATCTCCTGACCTCGTGATCCACCCGCCTTGGCCTCCCAAAGTGCTGGGATTACAGGCGTGAGCCACTACGCCTGGTCAATTTTTGTATTTTTAGTAGAGACGGGGTTTCATCACGTTGGCCAAGCTGGTCTTGGACTCCTGACCTCAAGTGATCCACCCACCTTGGCCTCCCAAAGTGCTGGGATTGCAGGTGTGAGCCACCACGCCCAGCCCGAGAGCTTTTAAATAAGAAGGGAAAGGTAATTCCTAGGTACCACAAAGAAAAATAGGATTGTTCAGAGCTAGAGACACCTAGGTCCCTAGAAAAAAAATTAGGAGATCAGCTGGTGAATTCTGTCTTAGGGGGCAGATGAAGGTAAATTCAGCAAAATGTGAATTAAAACGCAGTGGGGGCTGGGCACAGTGGCTCATGCCTATAATCCCAGCACTTTGGGAGGCTGAGGTGGGGGGGATTGCCTGAGCTCAGAAGTTTAAGACCAGCCTGGGCAACATGGTAAATCCCCATCTCTATTAAAATACAAAAATTAGCAGGGTGTGGTGGTGCAGGCCTGTAATCCCAGCTACTTGGAAGGCTGAGGCGGGAGGCAGAGATTGCAGTGAGCCAAGATTGCGCCACTGCACTCCAGCCTGGGCAACAGAGCTCATGCCTGTAATCCCAGCACTTTGGGAAGCCAAGGTGGGTGAATCACTTGAGGTCAGGAGTTCGAGATCAGCCTGGCCAACATAGTGAAACTCCATCTCTCCCAAAAATACAAAAATTAGCCATGCTTGGTGGCAGGCACCTGTAATCCCAGCTACTCGGGAGGCTGAGGCAGGAGAATTGCTTGAACCTGGTAGGCGGAGGTTGCAGTGAGCCAAGATCATGCCACTGTACTCCAGCCTGCACAACAGAGTGAGACTCCATCTCAAAAAAAAAAAAAAAAAGAAAAAGAAAGGCAGTGGGATGTTGGGTCACTGCCTGGGACTAGCTGTGCCCACATTTCTATGGGGTCTCTAGGATAATAACTGGAAAAATAGTTTTCTGATATATTTTCCTAGTATAAACTAACAGCAACATAATTCTGTGCTATTTTGTGTAATATGTTAACTCCATCTGTTCCTGAATGTATTCTCTTTACACTGAGGGTGACAGCCCATAGTCACAGACAGGATTAAAAGTTATTTTCATCAATATGCTGCCATGGGATCAAAAAAAAAAAAAAGTTATTTTAAAAGTTATAATACAGCACTTCGGGAGGCCAAGGCGGGTGGACCACGAGGCAGGATGGTCAGGAGATCGAGACCATCCTGGCTAACATGGTGAAACCCTGTCTCTACTAAAAATACAAAAAATTAGCTGGGCGTGGTGGTAGGTGCCTGTAGTCTTAGCTACTCGGGAGGCTGAGGCAGGAGAATGGCGTGAACCCGGGAGGTGGAGCTTGCAGTGAGCCGAGATTGCACCACTGCACTCCAGCCTGGGCAACAGAGACTCCATCTCAAAAAAAAAAAAAAAGTTATAATACAGGTAGCCTCATGCTACAGTGGAAAAGCTTCGGGTTTAGAATAATAAGAGCTAGGTTTAGGCCTTAACTTCATCAATTACTGGACAATCCACTGTTTCCCCATAAGCAAAATGTATATAGCTGAAATGCTACTTTGCAGGACTGGCAGGAAGACCAGTGAGAAAACATATAGAAGCCTTCTGGAAATGGTAAGGTGGTTTTTATTATTTCAACAATAAAAATAACATCTATACCCATATCTAAGAAAAGCTGTACCTTTGAGTGATAGAAAGCCAAAATGGGTCTGTTAAGTGGGAAGCAGACAGAACCTGTAGACAGAACCGCCACTGCTGGTTTCATGACACTCAATGTGGCACCAAAAGGATACACAAAGGTGAGAGCCCTGTAAGAAATTAAAGAAACACATTCAAATTTTAAAAACATGAATACAAAAATTCTGAAAATAATCTCAATGTTTCTTGAGTAACACTCTTTTTTGAAACAGTCTCACTCAGTCACCCAGGCTGCAGTGCAGTGGTGCGATCTTGGCTCACTGTAACCTCCGCCTCTCAGGTTTAAGCTGTTCTGCAGCCTCAGTGCCTGCTATCACGCCCAGTTAATTTTTGTATTTTTAGTAGAGCCAGGGTTTTACCATGTTGACCAGGCTGGTCTTGAACTCCTGGCCTCAAGTGATCTGCCCACCTTGGCCTCCCAAAGTGCTGGGATTACAGGCGTGTGCCACGGTGCTCAGCTGAGTAACACTCTTTGATTCATTATCAAACAAAAAATTTTTTCTAAGCTTTGGTTTGTTAACTTAAAAACTGGGACAACTCTAGCTACACATTTAATAAAGCATTTTAAAAAACATGAAAGTAAATTAACAGGAAAGTGTAAGTGACTGTAACTGGGAGAACTAAAGAAGCCCCTGATGGAGGGAGGAGGAAGAGGATGGGGCCTCATCCAAGAACTGAACTCAAGCTGCTCTGCATAATAATATCTTACTGGTAAATACGTTCTTCTTCCTTAGGTTTGGCTAGTGCTATCTCTAAGAATTAATGTATATCACTGGATGGGTATGTTACCAGTTAAATGTCACATGAACAGAGGCATAAATATACGCTATAATGGACACTTCTACACAGATCTGCTTTGGAGTCCCTCCTCTACTCTCCACTGTCCTAACAAAGACTTGTCTTAGATTATCTAGAGTGAATTGGTCTGACCTGGGGCAATGTACTCCTGGAGAGGGTGTGGGATAGAGGAGCAAAGGTGGGGTGCAGATTCTGGGGTGAAGCCAACCCATGTAGGAGGGGTTAGGGTTTTACTCAAAGATGGAGCTCTGCAAAGCTTGAAGGAAGTGCTCTCAGAATGGAGAGAAACACAGATCTCAACACCAGGGCGTAAGGTTAGAAACTGGGGGAGGGGGTATAGGGGAAGCACCCATGAGGGGTTCCTCATAGAGATTTTAATTTCCCTTTTTCTTTAGACAACAAAAATTCTTTTTGGCTTAAGTTTAAAATTATTTCCCTCTAGTGTTTTTGTTTGTTTTGTTTTGTTTTTTAAGACAGGATCTCACTTTGTTGCCCAGGCTGGAGTGCAGTGGTATGAACATGGCTCACTGCAGCCTCAATCTCCTGGGCTGAAGCGATTCTCTTGCCTTAGTGCCCTGAGTAGCTGGGACCACAGGTGCATGCCACCACACCTACTAATTTTTATATTTTTTGTAGAAACGGGGTTTCACCATGTTGCCCAGGCTGGTCTTGAACTCCTGAGCTCAGGCAATCCGCCCACCTTGACCTCCGAAAGTGCTGGAATTACAAGCATAAACCACCGGGCCTGGCCTCCCTCTGGTGTTAATCTTCCCCATTCCTTCAGTAAAATCTCATCTACCCTATGACTTTTGTTGTCATACTATGAAAGAGAAGTGGTACTTGGCCCACATTCTCCAAACTCCACCTTCTACCCTTACTCCAGCAGTATCCCAGCAAGGTGGATTACAGCCCATGATCTCTGGGCCAGAAGCAGAAGAAAACAAGCAGTTGTCCATGGAGGAAGAAAAAGTAGGTGGGAGAAATAGTCATATGGAGGTCAATGCACATCTATCCCCCACATTTTCCCAAAATGCAATCAATGGAAGATGATTCTCAAGGCATAAGGGAGAACGGACACTTGAGTAGCAAGATAAAAACTATCTGCTATTATTATTATTATTATTATTTTTCGAGATGGAGTTTTGCTCTTATCACCCAGGCTGGAGTGCAATGGCGTGATCTCAGCTTACTGCAACCTCTGCCTCCTGGGTTCAGGCAATTCCCCTGCCTCAGCCTCCCGAGCAGCTGGGATTACAGGTGTGCACCACCACGCCCGGCTACTTTTTGTACTTTTAGTAAAGATGGGGTTTCACCATGTTGGTCAGGCTAGTCTCAAACTCCTGACCTCAGGTGATCCACCCGCCTCAGCCTCCCAAACTGCTGGGATTACAGGTGTGAGCCACTGTGACCGGCCTATTTGCTATTATTTACACTCCTGTATTTCTTTTATTACTACTAAAAAAATCAATGAGACTAGGCCAGACTAACCTGAGGTTAGGAGTTCAAGACCAGCCTGGCCAACATGGTGAAGCCCTGTCTCTACTCAAAATACAAAACTTAGCCGGGTGTGGTGGCGGGCACCTGTAATCCCAGCTACTCGGGAGTCAGGAGAATTGCTTGAACCCAGGAGGTGGAGGTTGCAGTGAGATGAGATGGTGCCATTGCACTCCAGCCTGGGCGAAACTCTGTCTCCAAAAAAAAAAAAAAAAAAAAAAAAAAAGACTGACATTTTGATAAGACTAAGTATAAACTTAAACACCCATCCCCAAAACAGAACTTTCCAAACCATGTGAATGAATAAGATTAGCTCAGTGAAAAGTTTCAGAAAGAGTTTTCCTAAAAGACGGAATAGCTTGTGTAAAGTCCCTAAGATGAATACAAGCTTCACTTATTTAAGGATTGAAACAAAGTCAGTGTGGCTACAGCAGAGTGAGAGAAGGGAGAAGGGACATAACAGGAAATAAGGATAAAGGAGAATCTGAGACTCCAACAGGCAAAGATACCTCAAAGCAAGAAGCAGGACTAGTCCATACCTCAAAGTCTACCAGGAAGCTGTTTCCTGGATAATCCAGGAAAGGAACAACTAGACATATTCCCTTCACTATAATTAATTACAAAGTCATAACGCAACAACAAGTAGGGCACTAGGCTTTCAACTTTACAAAGCACTTTCACAAATATCACCTTACTGAAATTTTCCAACAATTTTGTAAGGTTAACATTATCCCCACTACACAGATAGGGAAACAGACACTAACAGTTACTATGCCTTGGGTCACCCTTGGCAAGTAAGAGAGGGAATCAGGAACTTCTAACAATTCCTTCTAATTCCAAGTCTACAGTTCTTTTACCTATACCAGTTGGATAAGCTGACACAAAGTGAAATAATTAGATTGATTCCTTTTTTTTTTTCTTTTTTTTTTGAGACGGAGTCTCGCTCTGTCGCCCAGGCTAGATTGCGGTGGCGTGATCTCGGCTCACTGCAAGCTCCGCCTCCCGGGTTCACACCATTCTCCTGCCTCAGCCTCCCGAGTAGTTGGGACTACAGGTGCCCGCCACCACGCCTGGCTAATTTTGTTTTGTTTTGTTTTTAGTAGAGACAGGGTTTCATCGTGTTATCCAGGATGGTCCTGATCTCCTGACCTCGTGATCTGCCTGCCTCAGCCTCCCAAAGTGCTGGAATTACAGGCGTGAGTCACTGCGCCCAGCCTAGATTGATTCTTGACAGTCAAAAATATTAACTCTGTGAATTATATTGCTATACATATTCCCCCTTATGACTTGACTTTGTTTCTACTAAGAAAGGTCTTCCCTACTCCAAGAATTTAAAATATTCACTTATTTTTTTTAAGGTTTTTTTTTTTTTTTTTGCGTTGGTGTCTCGCTCTGTCGCCCAGGCTGGAGTGCAGTGATGCAATCTCGGCTCATCGCACCCTCCGCCTCCCGGGTTCAAGCAATTCTCCTGCCTCAGCCTCCCGAGTAACTGGGATTACAGGCTTGTGCCACCACGTCTGGCTAAGTTTTGTATTTTTTAGTAGAGATGGGGGTTGGCCAGGCTGGTCCTGAACTCTTAACCTCAGGTGATCTGCCTGCCTCAGTCTCCCAAAATGCTGGGATTACAGGCATGAGTCATCGTACCTGGGCTTCTTTAAGTACTTCTATGCTTTCTTTTAAAATTTAATTTAATTTAATTTAATTTTATTTTATTTTTTCAAGACGGAGTCTTGCTCTGTTGCCCAGGCTGGAGTGCAGTGGTGCGATTTTGGCTCACGGCAACCTCTGCCTCCTGGGTTCAAGCAATTCTCCTGCCTCAGCCTCCCGAGTAGCTGGGATGACAGGCATGCACCACCACGACAGGCTAATTTTTTTTTTTTTTTTTTTTTTTTGAGACGGAGTTTCGCTCCTGTTGCCCAGGCCGGAGTGCAATGGTGTGATCTCGGCTAAATGCAACCTCCGCCTCCCAGGTTCAAGTGATTCTCCTGTCTCAGCTTCCTGAGTAGCTGAGATTACAGGTGCCCGCCACCATCCTTGGCTAATTTTGTTGTTTTTTTTAATATAGATGGGGTTTCACCATGTTGGTCAGGCTGGTCTTGAACGCCTGATCTCAGGTGATCCGCCCACCTCGGCCTCCCAAAGTGTTGGGATTACAGGCGTGAGCCACCGCGTCCGGCATATGCTTTCATTTTTAATATTAAAAATTTTAGCCTATCCAGAATACATTTTGGGGTGTGGTATGAAAATGAAACTATTTCTCCAAATGTTTACCCAGAATTATGCCATCCATCTCTAATATTTGAAATGCCACTTTTACTATACACAAATAATCCCCACCCTCCATATATGTTTTTGGTCTAATTTTAATCTGTATTATTTATTTTTTTAAAACTATTTCTGAACTATGACCACATTTTATTATTTTTTTGAGATAGTCTTGCTCTGTCACCCAGGCTGGAGTACAGTGGCATGATCACGGCTCACTGCAGCCTCAACCTTCTGGGTTCAAGCAATCCTCTTGCCTCAGCCTCCAGAGTAGCTGGGCCTATGGGTGTGTGCCACCACATATGGCTAATTTTCAGTTTTTTTTTTTTTGTAGAGACAGGGTCCCACTATGTTGCCCAGACTGGTCTTGAACTCTTAGCCTCAACCCATTGGCCCATCTCGACCTCCCAAAGTGCTGGGATTATAGGTGTGAGCCACTGCACACAGCCAATCACATTATTTTATTTTTTAATTTCATTTTATTTACATATTTTTTGAGACAGAGTCTCATCTGTCACCCAGGCTGGAGTGCAGCGGCGCAATCTCGGCTCACTGCCACCTCTGCTTCCTGGGCTCAAGCAATTCTCCAGCCTCAGTCTCCTGAGTAGCTGGGAATACAGGTGCGAGCCACCAACGACCGGCTAAATTTTTGTATTTTTTTGTAAAGACAGGGTTTCGCCATGTTGCCCAAGCTGGTCTTGAACTCCTGAGCTCAAGTGATCTGCCTGCCTCAGCCTCCCAAAGTGTTGGGATTATAGGGGTGAGCCACGGTACCCGGACCACATTATTTTCACTACTAAAACTTTGTAACATGCTTTAACTACATAAGAATGTCAATTTTTACTGGGTAAAATATTTCAAAGTACAGAGGTATTATAAATGAATGCGAAAAGACAAACCATCAATTGAAAAATGGCCAAAAAGCAATGAACATGAAGTTCACAGAAGAAATACAATCAGCCAATAGACTTTAAAGGTCATCCTATGCACTAATAATTTAAAAAAATGCAAATTAAAAGAAAGAGATACGATGTTTACTAGAATACTCCATGCTGGCAAGAGAGGAAAAAGGTGTGTGCTCATAGGGACTGTAAGTGGTACCACCTCCCTGAGAGACATCTGGTAACACATTACATTTGGTAACCCATCTGTTGGAAGACCTCTGACCCAGAAATTTCAATGCTGAGAAATTTACCCTAAAAAATACTCCCACTCCCTCTCCCTCTCCCTCTCCCTCTCCCCACGGTCTCCCTCTCCCTCTCTTTCCACGGTCTCCCTCTGATGCCGAGCCGAAGCTGGACTATACTGCTGCCATCTCGGCTCACTGCAACCTCCCTGCCTGATTTCCTGCCTCAGCCTGCCGAGTGCCTGTGATTGCAGGCGCGCACCGCCACGCCTGTCTGGTTTTCGTATTTTTTTTGGTGGAGACGGGGTTTCGCTGTGTTGGCTGGGCTGGTCTCCAGCTCCTAACCGCGAGTGATCCCCCAGCCTCGGCCTCCCGAGGTGCCGGGATTGCAGACGGAGTCTTGTTCACTCAGTGCTCAACGGTGCCCAGGCTGGAGTGCAGTGGCGTGATCTCGGCTCGCTACAACCTCCACCTCCCAGCCGCCTGTCTTGGCCTCCCAAAGTGCCGAGAGTGCAGCCTCTGCCCGGCCGCCACCCCGTCTGGGAAGTGAGGAGCGTCTCTGCCTGGCCGCCCATCATCTGGGATGTGAGGAGCCCCTCTGCCTGGCTGCCCAGTCTGGAAAGTGAGGAGCGTCTCTGCCCGGCCGCCATCCCATCTAGGATGCCATCCCATTTAGGAAGTGCGGAGCATCTCTGCCCGGCCGCCCATCGTCTGAGATGTGGGGAGCGCCTCTGCCACGCCGCCCCGTCTGGGATGTGAGGAGCGCCTCTGCCCGGCCACGACCCCGTCTGGGAGGTGAGGAGTGTCTCTGCCCAGCCGCCCTGTCTGAGAAGTGAGGAGCCCCTCCGCCCGGCAGCCGCCCCGTCTGAGAAGTGAGGAGCCCCTCCGCCCGGCAGCCACCCTGTCTGGGAAGTGAGGAGCGTCTCCGCCCGGCAGCCACCCAGTCCGGGAGGGAGGTGGGGGTCAGCCCCCGCCAGGCCAGCCGCCCCGTCCGGGAGGGAGGTGGGGGGGTCAGCCCCCCGCCCGGCCAGCCGCCCCGTCCGGGAGGGAGGTGGGGGGGTCAGCCCCCCGCCCGGCCAGCCGCCCCATCCAGGAGGTGAGGGGCGCCTCTGCCCGGCTGCCCCTACTGGGAAGTGAGGAGCCCCTCTGCCTGGCAACCACCCAGTCTGGGAGGTGTACCCAACAGCTCATTGAGAACGGGCCATGATGACAATGGCGGTTTTGTGGAATAGAAAGAGGGGAAAGGTGGGGAAAAGATTGAGAAATCGGATGGTTGCTGTGTCTGTGTAGAAAGAAGTAGACACGGGAGACTTTTCATTTTGTTCTGTACTAAGAAAAATTCTGCCTTGGGATCCTGTTGATCTGTGACCTTACCCCCAACCCTGTGCTCTCTGAAACATGTGCTGTGTCCACTCAGGGTTAAATGGATTAAGGGCGGTGCAAGATGTGCTTTGTCAAACAGATGCCTGAAGGCAGCATGCTCGTTAAGAGTCATCACCACTCCCTAATCTCAAGTACCCAGGGACACAAACACTGCGGAAGGCTGCAGGGTCCTCTGCCTAGGAAAACCAGAGACCTTTGTTCACTTGTTTATCTGCTGACCTTCCCTCCACTATTGTCCTATGACCCTGCCAAATCCCCCTCTGCGAGAAACACCCAAGAATGATCAATTAAAAAAAAAAAAATACTACCACAAGTGCACAAAACTGTACATACAAAGATGTTCACTTATCCCAGCACTTTGGGAGGCCGAGGCAGGTGGATCACCTGAGGTCAGGAGTTCAAGACCAGCCTGACCAACATGGTGAAACCCCATCTCTACTAAAAATAGAGAAATTAGCTGGGTGTGGTGGCAGATGCCTGTAATCCCAGCTACATGGGAGGCTGAGGCAGGAGAACCACTTGAACCTGGGAGGCGGAGGTTGCAGTGAGCTGAGATCATGCCACTGCACTCCAGCCTGGGTGACAGAGTGAGACTCCATCTCAAAAAAAAAAAAAAAAAAGATGTTCATTTGTGCTTTATTATCTATAATGACAAATATAATTTTTTTTTTTTTAGACGAAGTCTCCATCTGTCCCCCAGGCTAGAGTGCAATGGTACGATGGCAGCTCAATGCAACCTCCACCTCCCAGGTTCAAGTGATTCTCCTGCCTCAACCTCCCCAGTAGCTGGGATTATAGGCGCCCACTACCACGCACAGCTAAATTTTCTATTTTTAGTAAAGACGGGGTTTCGCCATGTTAGCCAGGCTGGTTTCAAACTCGTGACCTCAGGTGATCCACTCGCCTTGGCCACCCAAAGTGCTGCAATTACAGGAGTGAGCTACCACACCCGGCTATAAAATTGTCTATAACAACAATACGGAACAGAAGTTAAGAGTGCAGGCTCTAGAATAGACTGCCTATGTTTGCATCTAAGTTCTGACACAGAGTAGTCATGTGCATTTGGGCAATTACATCTCTGTATCTCATCTCTAACTTTCCAGAGTTGTAAGGATTAAATGAGGTAATACATGCCTGTCACACAGTCGATGCTTGACAAACATTAGGTGGTATTATTAAAGAAAAACATTATAAACTACTTAAATGTCCAATAATAGGGAGTTGGTTAGATAAACTGGGATATATCCAATTTAATCCAGTCATTAAAAATGAAGAGGTACTCACCTATAACTTTATACATGGAAAAAAAAAAACCTAGAAATCTAAATACCATACTATATATTTTTTGAGATGGAGTCTTGCTCTGTTGCCCAGGCTGGAGTGCAGTGGCGTAATCTTGGCTCACTGCAACTTCCGCCTCCGGGGTTCAAACAGTTCTCCTGTCTCAGCCTCCCGAGTAGCTGGGACTACAGGTGCACACCACCACGCCTGGCTAATTTTTGTATTTTTAGTAGAGATGGGATTTTGCCATGTTGGTTACACTTGTCTCTAACTCCTGACCTCAGGTGGGCCACCCACCTCGGCCTCCCAAAAGTGCTAGGATTACAGGCGTGAGCCACCATGCTGGGCCTAAATACTATATTAAGACTACCTTCAGGGGGAGGAGCATGGACTTACAGTGCAGAGCTTCTACTTTTTTCCTCTTGAACTGTTCAAATTCTGATTATTTTTGTAACCAGAAACAAAAGCTCTTTTCATTTTGAAAAAGAAGACTCCAAAATGATACATCTTCCTCATGTGGCATCAGAAAACACACTCACTGGGCATTGTTTCCACTGCTTTCCTCATCAATGATCCCAGGCACAGCCTTTCCTGCAGCTCGGCTAATTTCCCTTGAAGAAGAAAAATTAAAATCTAGTAAACAAAAAAAATTTGAGAATTTCACACTGCATTCATTAGTACAGCAAGTATGAGGCTAAGGTGGGAGGATTGCTTAAGCCTGGGAGGTCAAGGCTGCAGTGAACTGTGTTCCCACCACTGCATTCCAGCCTGAGCAACAGAGCAAGACTCTGTCTCAAAAAATACATATATATATAAACAAAAAATAAATTGAATGTGAAGTAAGTTTCAAAAGATGAAGAAAAATAATTTGATGAATGAGTAGTAGTAATATAGTAAAATAAATTATAATAACACAAAACAAAAAGGCAAGAAAGAAGAAAGGGCAGTGAAAAGAATGTATGAGAAGAGACGAGGGAAGATTTATGTAGAAGAAATGAGAGTTATGTGTAAGGATATTTCTGCTTTATTTTTTTTTTGAGATGAAGTCTCGCTCTGTCAGCCAGGCCAGAGTACAATGGTGCAATCTCAGCTCAATGCAACCTCTGCTTCCCGGGCTCAAGTGATTCTCCTGCCTCAGCCTCCCGAGTAGCTGGGATTACAGGCGCCTGCTACAATGCCTGGCTAATTTTTTTTGTATTTTTAGACAGGGAGATGGGGTTTCACCATGTTGGCCAGGCTGGTTTGGAACTCCTGACCTCAAAATGATCCATCCACCTTGGCTTCCCAAAGTGCTGGGATTACAGGTGTGAGCGACGATGCCTTGCCAAGATATTTCTGCTTTCAACATGCTTACCTGTTCAAGACTCCACTGGAAACTAGAGCTTCTTTAGGATGGAAATATTTGTGATATACATTTCTAACCACAGCATCTATGAGGGAAAAAGAGAAGGAGGTATATTTTAGGTTAGAAATAAATTCGATATTATAGACTCATACCAATTTTGACCTGAAGGGCACCCTGGAACTTGGTTCCAATCCATCTCGCTTTATAAATGGAAGCAGCCCAAGCCTAGGAGGCTCAGACTGCTGATGAGAATGGAACATTAAAACACGCACACACAGCCCAGGGCTTTTTCCATTATGCCACTGGACCTAGAGGGCTATGATATCAAATAATAGATAGAAAAGTACTGCCTCTACTGAAAATAATAATACTAATTACCATTATTAACCATGATTCCATATTCTTCTAGTAAAAAGTTAATATTGGTGTCAAATCTGGATTCTCCACCTTCTCCTAGCATCACAAAGACATCTCCACCAGTGTCAAGATATTTCTTCAGGATTTCAAACTACACAAAGGAAAAAAGCAATCTATGAATATACTTGAAAGACTTTTGCCCGAAATACCATGAATAAGACCTTAACTAGATGAAAAATACATATTTCAAATCTATAAGGCATTTACATATAAATGTATATAAGATAAAAAGTACTCTCTATGTAGGATCTCCAAGCTTGTCTTTGAGCATAAAGCTCCAAAATACTCAAAGTAAATTGACAATTTCAAAGCTGACTATCTAGAGAGCAAGTCAAAAGTGAAAAACTTAACTAAAGGAAGCACTCAGTTCTCCATTCAGCAGCACCCCTGGTCTCCACCTACTAGATGCCAGTTGTACCTACCTTCCCCTGGCAACCAAAAATGTCTCTTGAGATTGCCACATGTTCCCTCAGGAGAAGAAGAAATAGAATCACCCCTAGTTAAGAACCACTGATTTAGACAATGCCTTCTCTTGACTGCCCACAGAGGATATCAGGATGAAGTCATTTCATACCACACCTGGGAGGAATTCTGTTCAAGGTCATTGACCAACCAAACCATAGAGAGAAACGCATGTTTTCTGCTTATCTCCTGGAAGCTCTCTCATTTTCACAAAGCTGGGGAAGGGAGAAAAATCTAGGGTTGATCTTGCTGGTCTAGCCTGAGAAAATCTGGGGTGGGTGGTCCAGACAAATAGTTTCTCAACTTTCTTCATCAAGCACTCCAGCAGAAAAAAATCTGAACATGTATATAAATACATTCAATATGTATGTATCTCTATATAAAATATGTACTTTATAATTCAAAACAACTCCCAAAAAGGAAATGTTTTAAGGGTAATGAAAATATGAATAATAAACATAATTTCCTTTTGGCACCCCACTGATTCATCACATGCATCCTACTTTGGAAACTACTGCCCAGACTAGATTTGCCACAGCACGGCCCTCTCGCTCTTGTATGCTCCCTGAATTTTCCTCTCCCCCTGCCTTCCCCACACTGTATAAAACAAATGAATCTTCAGAGGCCAAGGTAGGCGGATCACTTGAGGTGAGGAGTTCGAGACCAGCTTGGCCAACATGGTGAAACCCCCGTCTCTACTAAAAATGCAAAAATTAGCCAGGCGTGGTGGTATGCACCCGTAGCCCCAGCTACTTGGAAGGTTGAGGGAGGGGAATTGCTTGAACCCAGGTGGTGGAGGTTGCAGTGAGCCGAGATTGCACCACTGCATTCCAGCCTGGGCAACAGAGCAAGATTCCATCTCAAAAACGAAACACAACAAAAAAACAAAACAAAATAAAAAATGAATTATTTCAAAATCAAAATTAAGGCGGGGTGCAGTGGCTCATGCCTGTAATCCCAACAGTTTGGGAGGCTGAGGTGGGTGGATCACTTGAGGTCAGGAGCTCGAGACCAGCCTGGCCAACATGGTGAAACCCCGTGTCTACTAAAAATACAAATAGCCAGGTGTGGGGGCAGATGCCTGTAATCCCCGCTACTCGGGAGGCTGAGGCAGGAGAATCAGTTGAACCTGGGAGGCGGAGGTTGCAATGAGCCGAGAATGCGCCAATGCACTCCAGCCTGGCGACAGAGCAAGACTCTGTCTCAAAATAAATAAATAAATAAATAAATAAATAAATAAATAAAATAAAAATCAGCTCAAAGTCCATTTCCTCTGGACCCAATAATCCAATGCCTCTTTTCTGTGTTTCTGTAGAAATGTGGAACTTAGAACATTGATCATTATTGGTAGATGGTCCATTTGTGTCATTTCCCCTAGACTATCGGTTCCTTGAGTGGAGAGATCATGTGCTATTTGACTTTGATCCCTAGCGTTAGTCCTAGGACCTGTTACTAGGTGTGTAACAGATCCTTAGTAAACATTTTTTGGAACAACAACAGAAAAACAAAACAAATGGGTTATAACTGCATGATCCTGGACCCTGAACAACAGACTGAATCTCTCCCTAAATTCATCTTCCTTTTCCTTCCTTTTGATTTCCTCTCAAACTCCTCTTCCCAGACAGCCCTAAATATATGCTATGTTCTATGACTGATAATAGCAAGCCAGGTCTAGTTTGCAATATATATTCTCAGAACATAGCTTTTGCTTGGGAAATTCTACTGGGACTTGGTTTTCATGATTATGTGGTTCTGGGATTTGTCCATGTTGCCTAAATGCAATGAGTATATAGTAGTTATTGGTATCTACTGTGTCCTATTGGCCATCTGGCATTTTAAGAAAAAGATACATGAAGGATGTGGTGTGCAATAACACAGGTGGGCAAAAGTTGAAGGAGCTTACATGAATTATGACCCAGTTTCCAGCTATACACGTAAGTGAGACCCTTCTAACAAAAGAATGGATATTTGGTACAAACTGGAGGTTTCTTATTTCTTTATGGCAAAAACAGGAAGAAAGATTAATTTTGCAGACTTGAATTTTAGAAATTGGCTTAGAATGCATTCACACTGTTAGTGTGGCAGCAAATGTGAGGTATTTCCTGTAATCGAGACTGGATGATCCAGGCCAGTGGCTCTCAGTGGAGGCATTTAAACCATCTAGCATGTATTCTGGATCACCATAATATTAATATTAATATGGCAAAATATTAATGCCATAATATTAATGTTTAAGGACATTTTAGCGGGTGAAGGGCAGGGAAGTTAAGGTCCTGCAATATTCAGACCAGTCCCACACAGTAAAGAACTATTCCACAGCATTTGAATATCTTCTCAGATAGTCACGGAGGTTTAAAAAAGAAAAAGCAAACAAACAAAAGAAGCTCAGCCTAAAATCTAACTCCAATTTCTTTATTTTTTTTGAGATGAAGTCTTGCTCTGTCACCCATGCTGCAGTGGCTCGATCTCGGCTCACTGCAAACTTCGCCTCCTGGGTTCAAGTGATTCTCCTGCCTCAGCCTCCTGAGTAGTTGTGACTACAGGAGCCTGCCACCACACCTGGCTAATTTTTGTATTTTCAGTAGAGACAAGGTTTCACCATGTTGGCCAGGCTAGTCTCAAACTCCTGACGTCTGGTGTTCCACCCGCCTCGGCCTCCCAAACTCCTGGGATTACAGGAGTAAGCTACTGCGCCCAGCTCAAATTCTATGTAAATACTGTACAAAGTATTTTTTGCACGATTTAACATATACTGAATTCGGAGGTACCCAACTACCATGTAAACTGAGAGAAGAATTATACTCTTTTTATTAACAGAACTTTACCAGAGGCCAAGGCGGGCGGATCACAAGGCCAGGAGATCGAGATCACCCTGGCTAACACGGTGAAACCCCATCTCTACTAAAAATACAAAAAATTAGCCGGGCGTGGTGGTGGGCACCTGTAGTACCACCTACTCGGAAGGCTGAGGCAGGAGAATGGCGTGAACCCGGGAGGCGGAGCTTGCAGTGAGCTGAGATCACTCCACTGCACTCCAGCCTGGGTGACAGAGCAAGACTCCGTCTCAGGAAAAAAAAAAAAAAATAGAACTTTACCAAGAGTTAGTCAGTATTTTGGAAAAATCACATCACCGACAGCAACACGGCTCATGATTTGAATTGCCAATACATCACTTCCACCAGTCTGCATATGTACCTATCCCATTCATCGGAGTTCTACATACTTATTAAACATTTATTTCAAAATGTCAAACATAAAGAAGTGTTCTAATGCATGTATGACCAAGCATTAACAAACTGAAATATGTATATTCTTCTAGTATATATATGCATAAACATTTACAATTTGAAATACACATATTCTTTTATAAATCATCCTTTAATTTCTGTACATTAAAGTTAGGAAGTTATATTGCTTTACTTTTTTAATGGTGGTGGGTTAGATTATCTTTG
Source organism: Homo sapiens (assembly GCF_000001405.40). Taxonomy (NCBI): domain Eukaryota; kingdom Metazoa; phylum Chordata; class Mammalia; order Primates; family Hominidae; genus Homo; species Homo sapiens. The sequence goes on along the minus strand of NC_000020.11, from coordinate 43,599,936 downwards.
CATTTCAATTCAGGGTAACAAAGTTGGCATCTGTAATATAGGTGGATGCTGGTCTGTTAGGGTTGGAAAATACTCGTCTCAGCCACGTGGTTACCTGGTCGTAACTGAATACCACCACAAAGCTAGTGTAATGCGTCAATGTAGTTGAGGTGGAAATAAGGAAAGACTGTTCAGCCTAGTTTCTAGCATGATACTAGCATCTAATATCAGACATATGATGTCTGTCCTGTCACAGAAGTTTCTGGAAGTCAACATGAAAAAGGCATCACACAGCTCTCCAGGGGTAACAGTCTAGGAGGCCAGCAGCAATGACAAGGAAAGCAGTGATCTCACAAGCATGAGCCCATTGGAAGAACTGTAACACAAAGGAATGCTGATTCCTAGAAAAAAAGCTAACAGCTTTTTTCCCTTTTCTTCCCACCTCACTCCAACTCTAAAGAGAAGGTATGGTGTCAGGGACTGGTCTGGGAGAGGACGTTTTATTAGGCTAAAGTTACATCAAATTTGCCTCTCGAAGGACTTGTGTCTCTTGGATGCATCAGCCTACCATGCCTGGAAGCCCAAACTAAGGCTTGGCCTGGCACCCATCTCCACTTGGGAAAAGGCCCAGGCACCAGGTTCTGACCCTCTCTTTGGATGCCCCTGTGTTCCTGAGGCTGGTTGGTCCCTGGCAAACATCAGGCCAACTCTCTCATTGGCTTCGCTAGGTGGATGGGGAGATGGAGCCGAAGCCCAACAAGCAATAGAGTGTTGCTCTGCAGGCCACTGCCCTCTGTGTGTACATATCCCTCAGGGTCTCAGTGGGTAGGAGTTGCTGGTTACCTCCACATTCCCAATGGTAATTTCTACTCCTTCTGTCAATTAACCTGATCAAACAATCATGTCCCTCTCCATGCCATTCCCAGCGGGGGAAGGTCACTTTGCAATCAAATTGAGAAACAAAGTGCACTAGAAATGCTCCCCAGTGGACCTCTTCCCCATGGCACCACCCAGAGTAACAGCAGGAGACCTTGGCCTGCCTCAATCTAAGGACCACATTGGCCTTGCCCTGCCTCAACCTCTCTATTCCCCATATTCTCTCTCAGCACAAAGGTACTTCCCATTCTCTGTAAAATGGCTCTTTCTATGTTCTGGGTTTTTTGTTTTATTGACTGTGAAAAAACACACCTAATCTTTCCTAAATTTACCATCTTAACCATTCTGAAGTATATAGTTCAGCAGTTTTTTGTTTGTTTGTTTTTTCTTTTCAGACAGGGTCTCTGTCGCCAGGCTGGAGTGCGGTGGCGCAATCTCGGCTCACTGCAACCTCCGCCTCCCAGGTTCAAGCGATTCTCCCACCTCCACTTCCCAAGTAGCTGGGAGTACAAGCATGTGCCACCAAGCCCGGCTAATTTTTGTATTTTTAGTAGAGATGAGGTTTCACCATGTTGGCCAAGCTGGTCTCAAACTCCTAGCCTCAAGTGATCCACCCACCTCAGCCTCCCAAAGTGCTGGGATTACAGGTGTTAGCCACCGCACCTGGCCTAGTTCAGCAGTATTAAATATACTCACACTGTTAGGCAATCAATCTGCAGAACTGTTTTCATCTTGCAAAACTGAAACTCTATACCTATTAAGCAGCAACGCTCCATTCCCCACCTCCCCCAGGCCCTGGCAACCACCACCCTTCTATTTTCTGTCTCTACGAATTCGACTACTCTACGTACCTCATGCTTGCATAAGTGAAATCATACAGTATTTGTCTTTTTGTGTCTGCCTTATTTTCGTTTGGCATAATGTCCTCAAGATTCATCCATGTGTAGCATGTATCAGAATTACCTTCCTATTTAAGATTGAATAATATTCCATTGTATGTATATACCATATCTTATCTACTCATCTGCCGATGGATACTTGGGCTATTTCCACCTTTTGGCTATTGTGAATAGCGCTGCTAGGAAGATAGGTGTGCAACTATCTCTGAGATCTGGTTTTCCATTCTTTTGGGCATATACCCAGAAGTGGAATTGCTAGATCATATGGCAGTTTTTTTTTTTTTTTTTTTTTGAAAGAGTCTCACTCTGTTGCCAACGCTGGAGTGCAGTGGCCCGATCTCTGCTCGCTGCAACTCCGCCTCCCAGGTTCAAGTGATTCTCCTGCCTCAGCCTCCCAAGTAGTTGGGATTACAGGCGCACACCATCACGCCCGGCTAATTTTTGTATTTTTAGTAGAGATGAGGTTTCACCATGTTGGCCAGGCTAGTCTCGAACTCCTGACCTCAAGTGATCCACCCTTCTCAGCCTCCCAAAGTGCTGGGATTACAGGCGTGGGCCACCACACACAGCCATCATATGGCAATTTTATGCTTAAATTTTTGAGGAACTACCATACTGTTTTTCATGGTGACTGCATCATTTTACATTCCCACCATCAGTGTGGAAGGGTTCCAATAACTTCCCATTCTCACCAATACTTGTCATTTGTATTCTGGGCCTTACATTTATCATTCTTTATCCATTCCATGAACTAGAATAATAAACACTTTTATTTTAAATGAATTCCTATTTTCTTTCTTTTTTTTTTTTTGAGATGGAGTTTTGCTCTTGTTGCCCAGGCTGGAGTGAGATGGCGCGATCTTGGCACACAGCAAGCTCCGCCTCCCAGGTTCAAGCGATTCTCCTGCCTCAGCCTCTCATGTAGCTGGGATTACAGGAATGCGCCACCACGCCTGGCTAATTTTGTATTTTTAGTAGAGACGGGGTTTCTCCATGTTGGTCAGGGTGGTCTTGAACTCCCGACCTCAGGTGATCTGCCTGCCTCGGCCTCCCAAAGTGTTGGGATTACAGGTGTGAGCCACCGCGCCTGGCGGAATTTTCCTATTTTCAAAGCAAAAATATAGCAAAGAAATGTGGCTACTGGCTGGGCTCGGTGGCTCACACCTGTAATCCCAGCACTTTGGGAGGCTGAGGTAGGCAGATCACAAGGTCAGGAGTTTGAGACCAGCCTGGCCAATATGGTGAGACCCCATCTGCACCAAAAATACAAAAATTAGCCGGGCGTGGTGGTGGGCACCTGTAGTCCCAGCTACTCAGGAGGCTGAGGCAGTGAGAATTGCTTGAACCCGGGAGGTGGAGGTTGCAGTGAGCCGAGATTGCGCCACTGCACTCCAGCCTCGGCGACAGAGCGAGACTCTGTCTCAAAAAAAAAAAAAAAAAAAAAAAGAAGTGTGGCTAATATTTAATTGGCCCACACTATGTGTTTGGTACTTTACATGGAGTATCTCAGTTAATCATCACAACTCCATGATGAAAAGAGAGATGAAGTGACTACCTTAAGGCCACACAGTAAGTGGTGAAGGGGGATTCAAATCCGGTATTTCAAAGCTCAGACTCCTAATCATTTCACCATATTCCTTCTTTAGTGGATATTTCTTACCTCAGCTGCAGTAAATTTTTCCCTTGGCCCAGCTGTAATCCACAGTTTCACTCCATTTAACTTCTCAGATGTGATTTCATCTTTTAAGCTGGAAATACAATTTTAAAAGCAAATATGAAGTCCATAATTTAAACCAATTTATGTATTATTTTAGTCTCTTAACTATTTGGAAGCAGAGGCCACAGAGGCTCAGAGATGAAGGGATTTAGAGGTAACTGGTCCAGTCTCTCTCCCAAAGTGAGAATTCCCTCTACAGGCCTGCCCCAGAGTCATCTGGCCTCTGTTCAAATACTTCCAGTAAGTCAAGGTGTTCAAATCAAGCCATGCTAAAGCATAAGGAAGTCTGCAACTACTAATTCAATCAGCCCTACCATTAGCTTGTATGATTACATATCCTCACCTATTAAGAAAAACATGCACATACACAAAGTTATTCTCATTTAATTCTCATGTTTCCTTTCCCTAGTACTGACCTGAGTCAAAATATGAAGAAAGCCTCTAACATCTTAAAAAGCTACATGTGTATAATTAGAATAATCTTTTGGCTTGTGATTTGGAAAACAACTTAATAATATGCTGCTTTAATAATATCCTAATTGCTGATTTCGAAAGACATTTTTTTTTTAATTTTTGTTTTTGACAGAGTCTCCCTCTGTTTCCCAGGCTGGAGTGCAGTGGCATGATCTCGGCTCACTGCAGGCATTCACTTCCTGGGTTCAAGGGATTCTTGTGCCTCAGCCTCCTTAGTAGCTGGGATTATAGGCATGCACCATCATGTCTGGCTAATTTTTGTATTTTCAGTAGAGATGAGGTTTTGCCATGTAGGCCAGGCTGGTCGCCAACTCTTGACCTCTAGTGATCTGCCTGCTTCAGCCTCCCAAAGTGCTGGGATTACAGGCATGAGCCACCGCGTCCTGCCCAAGAGACGTTTTAATAAGAATTTATTTCATTCTGAATAATGTTTTTTTATTTTTTTAGACAGAGTCTCGCTCTGTCACCAAGCTGGAGTGCAGTGGCGCAATCTCGGCTTACTGTAACCTCCGCCTCCTGGATTTAAGCGATTCTCCTGCCTCAGCCTCCCGAGCAGCTGGGACCATAGGCACGCACGATCATGCCCAGCTGATTTTTGTATTTTTAGTAGAGACAGGGTTTCGCCATGTTGGCCAGGATGGTCTTGATCTTTCTTTTTTTTTTTTTTTTTTTTTTGAGACGGAGTCTCACTCTGTTGCCCAGGCTGGAGCGCAGTGGCACAATCTCGGCTCACTGCAACCTCTGCCTCCCGGGTTCAAGCAATTCTCTGCTTCAGCCTCCCAAGGAGCTGGGATTACAGGCGCCCACCACCACACTTCGCTAATTTTTTTTTTAATTTTTAGTAGCGATGGGGTTTCACCATCTTGTCCAGGCTTGTCTCGAACCCATGACCTCATGATCCACCCGCCTTGGCCTCCCAAAGTGCTGGGATTACAGGTGTCAGCCACCGTGCCGGCCAGTCTTGATCTCTTGACCTCGTGATCCGCCCGCCTCAGCCTCCCAAACTGCTGGGATTACAGGTGTGAGCCACCACGCCAGACCTAATTCTGAATAATCTTTAAATTGAGCTTCTCCCACCTAAACAATCTATGTTACCTAAGAAAATAAAGACTTCTCAGCTTTATCAGCAGGACAATATCATTTAGAAGGGAAAACAATATACATGGTCAGTCACCTCTGAATCTTCCAATTACTCCGAAGTTTTTTCTGCATGGATTTGTAGCCATTGTTGGTGGTAAATATCTCCTTTTTGTAGGCATTGAAAAGAATGGTGCTCCGCAGCTCTTTCTCCATGGTTACCTTATGGAAGAAAGATGGGATCAGAAAATCAATAAACAATATTCCAAAGACCCTAAAAGTAATAAATAGTTGCCTTCTACTACTAATTTATCAAGAAAGGGTATACAACTGAAACCTATCTAGGAAACTCCTACAATTCTCAAAGGTTGAGAGTGAAATGCAAAAGCATAGCACAGAAACCTAAGACCAAAACCAACCCAGCCCTCCCCTACCCGCTTTTGCTTTCTGCCTCTTGCCCAGATCCTCCCAACAGCCTACACCTATGGCTCTGCCCTGCCATCACCCTGCTCTTGTGTCCCAAGACCATGTTTCCATCCTGATTCATTACTGCTAACTACTGTTAAGCGCAGGGTATAGTCTTCTAGATTCTATTTTTCTTTTTTTTGAGACGGAGTCTTGCTCTGTCTCCCAGGTTGGAGTGCAATGGTGTGATCTTGGCTCACTGCAACCTCCATCTCCCGGGTTCAAGCGATTCTCCTGCCTCAGCCTCCTGAGTTGCCAGGATTACAGGCACGTGTCACCATGCCCAGCTAATTTTTGTATTTTCAGTAGAGACGGGGTTTCACCATGTTGGTCAGGCTGGTCTCAAACTCCTGACCTCATGATCCACCTGCCTTGGCCTCCCAAAGTGCTGGGATTACAGGTGTGAGCCACTGCACCCAGCTCGAGATTCTTTTTATACATATATTAACTTACAGTTTTATTTTATGAAATAGGATCTTACCATATGCATTATTCTGAAACACCTGTTTCACCTAACCTTGTATATTTGACATCTTTCTTTGTCAGTACACATGGATCTACCATATTCTTTTAAACAGCTACACAGGGCTGGGTGCAGTGGCTCACGCCTGTAACTCCAGCACTTTGAGAGGCTGAGGTGGGAGGATCGCTTGAGCTCAGCAGTTCCAGACCAGCCTGGATAACATGATAAAACCACATCTCTACAAAAAAAATTAGCAGGGCATGGTGGCACATATCTGTAGTCCCAGCTATTCGGGAGGCTGAGGTGAAAGGATTGCTTGAGCCCAAGAGGTTAAGGCTGCAGTGAGCCACAATCACGCCACTCTGCACTCCAGCCTGGAGAACACAGCAAGACCCTGTCTTTAAACAACAACAACAACAAAAACAGCTACACAGTATTCATTTTATGGATCTACCATAATTTATTTAACCAGTCATCTACTGGCTGACATCTTTTATCAAATATTTTCTAAAACAATACTAAAAACATCAATGTTAAACAACATGTTTTTCTGCAATTTGCATATTTGTAGAGATTCTTATCTATTGAATGGCTGAGTAAATCATTTCCAAATTGCCCTCCAAAAAGTTATACTCATTTATATTTCCACTAACACCCTTCTGTTTCCACACAATCCTATTTCCAGTCTTTGTCATGTTTGCCAATAAAGGGCCAAAAAACCCCCCTCATTACTGTTTTAATTTCCACTTTGAAGTTAGTGAGATAGTTGTCTCTTGCTATAGATTTTTGCCACTTGTATTTCTTCTGATTTTCTTGTCCAGGTACTCTTGATCATTTTTCTCTTTAAATTTTTCTTTTTAAAAACTTCTTCTTATTATTATTATTTGAGATAAAAGTCCCACTCTGTGACCCAGGCTGGGAGTGCAGTGCTGCAATCACAACTCACTGTAGCCTTGACCTCCCAGGCTCAAGCAATCATCCCACTTCAACCTCATGGGTAGCTGGGACTACAGGCGCGCACCAGTGTCCAGCTAATTTTTAAATTTTTTGTAGAAGCAAGGTCTCGCTATGTTGCCCTTGAACTCCTGACCTCAAGTGATCCTCCTACCTCAACCTCCCAAAGTGCTGGTTTACTGGCATGAGCCACTGCACCCAGTCGGGTTTCATAATTTTCTAATTGATCATTAAACAAACATTTTCATAAGTTTATTTGGCTTCTGGTAGTTTTTTTGGTTTGGTTGAATTTTGCAGGCCATATAGATTTTAAATTTTATAGAGTTAAAAGTATGAATCTTTTCCTTCCTGGCTTCTGGATGACATGAAACACTTAGAAGAGTTTTTTGTCATTCTAAGATTATAAATAAATTCAACAATGCTTTACTTCAGTACTTCATGATGTAATTTTTTTTTTTTTTTGAGAGAGTCTGCTCTGTGGCCTAAGCTGGAGTGCAGTGGCACGATCTCGGCTCACCACAACCTCTGCCTCCCAGATTCAAGAGATTCTCGTGCCTCAGCCTCCCAAGCGGCTGGGACTACAGGCGCCCAAACACACCCGGCTAATTCGTGATGTAATTTTTTAACATTTAAATTTTAGTCCATTTGGAAATTATTGTGGTGCTCAAAATGGGCTTCATTCCTTTTTTTTTTCCTTCTTTTTCAAAGCATAGTCTTGCTCTGTCACCCAGGCTGGAGTGCAGTGGTGCAATCTCGGCTCGCTGCAACCTCCGCCTCCCAAGTTCAAGCAATTCTCCTGCCTCAGCCTCCCCAGTAGCTGGGATTACAGGCGCGCGCCATAGTAGAGACGGTGTTTCACCAGGTTGGCCAGGCTGGTCTGGAACTCCTGACCTCAAGTGATCCACCCGCTTTGGCCTCCCAAAGTGCTGGGATTACAGGTGTGAGCCACCTCGCTCGACTGGTTTAATTATTTTCTAAATTGCTAAAAAAGCTGCCTGACCCCAATTCATCTCTTCAATGCTGATTTGAAATACAGTACCACCTCGCCTATATAATAAATCCCTATATATAAATCGCTCTTATTCTGAGTTCTAATATATTTTATCTACCTGTAAGCTCCTGCTGAGTCCCAAACTTTTTAAATTAATTTATTTATTTTCAGAGACAGGGTTTCCTTTTGATACCCATGCTGGTCTCTGACTCCTGGGCTCAAGGGATCCTGCCGCCTCAGCCTACCAAGTAGCCAGGACTACGGGCCCACACTGCTGCACCCATCTTCTATGCTAGTTTAATTGCTATACCTTTATGTTATAATATCTGGTGGTTCTGGAGAGCTAATCTCCCTTATTAGCATTAATTTTAGAATTTTCCTGGCTACTTTCACATATTTATCCTTCTTTAAGCACTTTAACATCATTTTGTCCAGTTGAAAAACTGCCCCCTCCATGGTCCCACCACCGTGATACATCTATCTTTTTTTGTTCTGTTAGTTCAGCCCCTGGTGAGAGTAGCAGGTCTGCGTTCCTGTACTGTCAGACTTAGCCAGAAATGCATTTCCTTAATAATAGTATAAGGCCTTTAAAACTATAAAAATAACAAATATTTGGGTAACGCTGCCAAACCATTCTCTCGCTTTCTCTTCAATAACATTACCAGTCAAATCAGTATTTTCCCACATGAATACCGAGGGGTCGCAGCCACGACAGAAGAGAGATTAAGACTGTACGATTCCTCGTCCCATGCTCTTTCATAGTCAGCGGAACGACTAAACACCTGCACCACCCGAGGCCGTGGAGATGGGCGCCCAGCCGGGGCGCCAGGAACCCGGGCTACGTCCGCGCCCACAGTTTACTTCACCCCGGGGGACCCTGGATGTTCTATGACCGGCCCAGCGGCCTCGAAGAGTGCGGCGAGTCCCTCGCCAGCTCCCAGGCCGCACCAACGCCCCAGCCGGCCCACCACTGTTGGCGCCCTTTACCTGAGGCCCAGCGACCACCGCTCACCTGACGCCGCCCAGCATCCCGCGGCCAGGTATCCAAGGCCGCTTAGTAACCGGAGAGGCGCGTCGGTGCGCCGGGAGGCGTGGCCCAGGACGCAGCGCTAGCTCCGGCCGACGTGATGACGACAGCACGGAAGGCGCCTCTCCGTCGCAGGCGTCAGGGGTAGGCAGCCTGACTGATGTGGGGCTGTACCATTTGGTGCATGAGGGGCAAATCCAAACATAAGGAGAATTAACTTTTCACCAAAAATAAACCCATTTAATTTTGTTCTTTAGTATCAATTACGAGTAAAGACTAATAACAACGGTAGGACCCAAGTGCCCAAACTTCGCTCCACCCACAGGGAGGAGAATAGTGAAGGCTTCCAGCGCGGGGGGGTTGGAGAACGCCCCAGCTTCGATTCCCAAAGCGCAGGAGCAGAGTGGAGCCAGGCGAGGGCGGGGCCGGGCGGAAGGCTGTGCTGGACTATTAGGAACTACTTAACGGAAAAGGGTGCGCAGGTTTAGTGTTGAGAATGATAAACCGTATAATTCTGTTTTATTAACTCCGCATCTTTGCTTGCCATGGTACTAGGCTTGAGCGCCGGCGAGCATGGCGGGGAGTTAGAACTTGAATAGATTCTACAAAAATGTGAAAACTATGAACTGTATTAGGGAGTCTAACGACTAAGCTGGTCAAAAAGGCGCCCCTGTTGAGCAGAGATTTGAAGAGAGAGTGGTATTCATTAAGGCAAAGGCTGGGGAAGGGCGTTCCCGGCAGAAAGAACTGCTTGTGCAAAAGCACCACCAATACAGGTTGCCCTGCCATCGCCATTAAGATGGGAAACCAGAAGCCTGCAACTACCAACAGGCCACCCGACTACCCAGGAAAGCGCTCTGTGCCTGCCTTTAGAGGTGTGTGGATTTGTGAACAACGCTGCAGCAGCCTGGAAGACCCAAACTGAAGATTGCAGAGAGCTCTGACAGTTTTTATTTACATTTATGTTTGTCTTCGAATCTAGGATATTAAAACACATACAACTCGTGTTGCTTTCCACAATTTCTGTCACTGGAAATTTTAAAAGTGGAGACGGGCCGGGCGCAGCGGCTCTCTCCTGTAATCCCAGCACTTTGGGAGGCCGAGGCAGGTGGATCTCTTTAGCCCAGGAGTTTGAGGCCAGCCTAGGCAACATGGCGAAACCCGGTATCTACTAAAAATAGGAAAAATTACCTGGGCGTGGTGGCGCGCGCCTGTAGTCCCAGCTGCTTGGGAGACTGAGGTGGGAGGATTGATTGATTGATCCTAGGAGGTTGAGGCTGCAGTGAGCCGTCATGGTGCCGCCGCACTCTAGCCTAGGCAACACAGTGAGACCTTGTCTCAAAAAGAAAGTGGAGAACAGGGTGATTTGAGAATTCTCTTTGGTCAGATGAAGTGGCTTCTGCCTGTAATCCCAGCATTTTGGGAGGCCAAGGTGGGAGGACTGCTTGAGGCCAGGAGTCTGGGACCTGGGTAACAGTAACACCTTTTCTCTCCAATAATAATAGTAATAATAAATAAAAAAAGAAAATTAGCCAGGCATGGTGGCACACACCTGTAGTCTTAGCTACTTGGGAGGCTGAGGTGGGAAGATCGCTGGAACCCAGGAGTTCGGGCTGCAGTGAGCCATGATCGCTCCACTGCACCCCAGCCTGGGCAACAGAGTGAGACTCTGTCTCTTAAAAAAAAAAAGTTCTCTTCTTGGGGATGCTGTATTTTGGTGCAGAATTGGGTGAATACAGTTTGCAGTTAGGGTAATAATGGAAATGAAGTATTCTCACTGAAGAGAGAGTAGGCCGTCCCATTTGAAGGCTGGGACAAATCTTGGGATCTTTCTGCCTGATATGCAGTCAGTGTTTGCTACAGCACCTGCCCAGAGCATTTCTCCCACTGTTAGAGATTGCAGAAAGAGTAAGAGTTTTGGCCGGGTGCAGTGGCCCACGCCTGTAATCCCAGCACTTTGGGAGGCCAAGGCAGGTGGATCACTTGAGGTCAAGAGCTCGAGACCAGCCTGACCAACATGGTGAAACCCCGTCTCTATAAAAAATAAAATAAAAATAAAAATACAAAAAATTAGCCGGGTGTGGTGGCGGCCGCCTGTAATCCCAGCTGCTTGGGAGACTGAGGCAGGAGAATCACTCGAACCCAGGAGGCAGAGGTTGCAGTGAGCTGAGATTGCGCCATTGCACTCCAGCCTGGGCAACAAGAGCATAACTCCGTCCCCGCTTCCCCCCCCAAAAAAGCAAGAGTAAGACTTTTAGAATCAGTAGTTGTCACCAAGTTCAATTCCTCGCTGTGACTTGTACCAGCTGGGTGACCTTGGGCAGTTTTCATAATCTCTGAGCAAATGTATCCTATCTGTAAAGCGAAGTTAATAATTTCTTTCTTTCTTTCTTTTTTTGCCGAAACTGAGTCTTGCTCTGTTGCCCAGGCTGGAGTGCAATGGCATGATCTCCGCTCACTGCAACCTTCGCTTCCTGGGTTCAAGCAATTCTCCTGCCTCAGTCTCTCAGGTAGCTGGGATTACAGGCACCCGCCACCATGCCCGGCTAATTTTTGTATTCTTAGTAAAAACGGGGTTTCACCATTTTGGCTAGGCTGGTCTTGAACTCTTGACCTCGTGAATTGCCTGCCTTGGCCTCCCAGAGTGCTGGGATTACAGGCGTGAGCCACTGCGCCCAGTCTGAAGTTCATAATTTCTAAATGCTGGCTTATAGTGAGGATTGTAGATAATGCATATAAAACTTGGAATGTGCTCAATAAACATAGGTTGTAGCATGTTCCATTCAACAGCATAGTTTTTCATTTTTATTTTTTATCCTGATGAAAATAATTGTGCTTTTACAATCTCAGAACAGATAGAACCATTATATGTTTCACCGTCCACAGCTGATTGTGTGCTTCTGACACTACTATTACGTTTCTGATCATTATACTCCTGTTTTTTTGCTTTGGGAAGTTAGGGGGATTTTGACCTCTCCCTCATCTTGTCCCAAATTTGTCAATTATCTGGCACTATTAAGATGGAAATCAGTGTGTATCTTTCAGCGTTCTTAGCACATGTGAAAGCTTAACATGAACTCTTCCTGACCCAGTTTTGATCTCTAATAGCTCAGTGTCATTGGTGTTTTTTCTGTGGTCTCCCAGACTTCTTCCCCGTGATTCCTGGGGCAGGAGGCTGGGTGAACAAGACTTGAGGAAGGGAAAGAGTGGGATTGAATTAAGAGGAAAAGGCAATAAAATCACCAGCACACACTGATCCAAGAAAGTTCCTTCCCTTGTCTCCCAACCAAAAAAGCTAATAAGGCCACCCAGGAGTATGAACCACACATTTGTAAAAAAACAAACCACTTTTCGTATTTATTTATTTATTAATAAGACAGTCACACTCTGTCGCCCAGGCTGGAGTGCAGTGGCACGATCTTGGCTCACTGCAACCTCTGCCTCCCGGGTTCAAGTGATTCTCGTGTCTCAGCCTCCCGAGTAGCTGGGACTACAAGCATGCACCACCACACTCAGCTAAATTTTTGTATTTTTAGTAGGGACAGGGTTTCACCATACCGGCCGGGCT